>NC_000011.10:115657273-115960303 GCF_000001405.40 Homo sapiens
GAAAGAAAAGAGGTTTAGTTGGCTTACAGTTCTGCAGGCTTTACAGGAAGCATGATGCTGGCATCTGCTCAGCTTCTGGGGAGACCTCAGGAAATTTACAATCATGGCCAAAGGCAAAGGGGAAACAGGCATGCCACAGGGCCAGAGCAGGAGCAAGAGAGCTGGAGAGTGGGAAGGAGCCAAACACTTTTAACCAACTAGAGAACTCACTCACTATCATGAGAACAGCATGGAGATGGTGTTAAACCATTCATGAGAAATCCACCCTCATGATCCAACCACCTCCCACCAGATCCCACCTCCAACATTGGGGATTACAATATAACGAGATTTGGTGGGGACACAGATCCGAACCATTTTAGAGACTTAAGCAGGCTCTCAGAGGAAGAGAGGCTGGCCTCCGCCTATCCACTTATCGAACTAGCTCTCAGCATCCTCTCCTTCCTAACCATCTAAGTCTTGCTTAAGTCATTTGAAAATGGAAGGGTACTGAAAGAACAGGGTAGAAGAGAGAATTATGTGAGAAAGCAGATGGGAATGCTTTATAAACCACAAAGCACTAACAAAAGTTAGCTATTGCTATTGTGTTGTGTTCACTTTTAGTAGCTACCAGTAGGTAGCATTTTATATCAAGATGTATAATACAAAGGTTTCTTCTACCTTGACCACAGAAACTGACCATTATCTCTGTCCCAAAAAGGTAGTGAGGGTGTAAAAGATAGCCTAATTTTATTTATTATTATTATTATTATTATTTTTAAGAAACAGGGTCTGTCTGCCAGGCTAGGTGGCTCACACTTGTAATTTCAGCACTTTGGGAGGCCGAGGTGGGAGGATTGCTTGAGCCTAGGAATTTGAGACCAGCCTGGGCAATATAGGGAGACCTCGCCTCTACAAAAAAAACACAAATAAATTAGCAGGAAATGGTGGCACGCACCTGTAAGCCCGGCTACTTGGAAGGCTGAGGTGGAAGGATCACTTGAGCCCTGAGGCAGAAGTGGCAGTGAGCCAAGATCGTGCCACTGCACTCAGCCTGGGTGACAGAGTAAGACCCTATCTCTGAAAAAAATAATTCAAAAAAAAAAGACAGGGTCTCATTCTGTCGCCCAGGCTTGGGTGCAGTGGCACAATTATAGCTCACTGCAGCTTCGAACTCCTGGGCTCAAGCCATCCTCCTGCCTCAGCCTCCTTAAGCACTGGGATTACAGGTGTGACCCACTGTGCTGGGCCTGAGCTAGGTGTGAACAGCCCCCCATCTCCTCCACCACAGTCCACCCTCATTCCTCCACACCTTCCAGCTCCTAAGTGCTTGGACAAGTGGCCTAACCTCTATGGATCTCACTTTCAGAATAGGGATAATGTTGGAATTAAACGATCTCATAAGCTCTTTTAGCTGTGATTTATATAATTCATGGCCATCACCATCTTCTGCCAGCCTCTCTCCTGCATTCCATTTCTTCCCCAGCCTGTTCTAAACTTTTTCTTCTACTCCCTAGGGATCTACATGTGATTCCCTTTGCCACCCTCACCCAAACATCCCCTTTCCTTACATCCTTTGGTCTCTCCAGGTTTTGACAAGCGCGATCTGTCTGCTTCCCCAAGAAGTGTCCCTGAGAATTCTTTAAGTAGCTGGGAGGTGGAAAGGATCTCATGTATTTTTGGTACCAGAGATAATCAGATAATTGTGCAATTAGTAGTAATTTTACCGCTCCTGTAGTTTCTTTCTAACAAGGGCCCCCTTTCAAAAAAATAAGAGGGATTTCTTTTTGTCAGTCCCTTGTTGTTGTTTTGTCTGGAGTGTCTGTCATCAGGAATTTGGCCCGACACCCACGCGCTCCGCAAGGGAGCCAGGGGGAGGGGAAGGACACAGGAGACAGAACTCCTGGGGGAGAGAATCTGCCTAGCAGGCGGCTCTCCCCTGCTCCCCCACCGAGCACAGACCGTGGGAGGGGACCCTGCGGGAGGAGGCTGCTTCAGTCTCCAGAGACCATCTCCCATCTCTACAGCGACTCCCCTATGACCGTCCCCCACCCGGTGCTCTCGGGCCACGGGGAAGGGACACTCGGGAAAGACACCAGAGACCGGGAGGGTGCAGCTGGGCTCTTCGCGGGGAGCGGGCGGGAGGCCTTCCTGTTACATGTCGCAGCTGGGACACAGACGGCAGCGCTCCAGGGTCCACTTGCCGGCTTCGGTTCCCTCAGGCCCAGGACCAGGCTCCACACCGCTGTCGCGTCCCTTAGCCGTGTGGGCTGTAGCACAGAGGGGGCAAACACCTCCAGGGGCTTGTGCCAAGTAATTACCAAGCAAATTCCCGGCGATTTCCTCTCCTCCCCCCGCCCCCCCGGGCAGTGCCCGCTGCGTGTTCCCTGATTCGGCCCCCGGCTGTGCAATCAGCTCCAGGTAACCTGCGGGGACCCGTAATTGCTCTGGAGTTGCCTGCGAGTTTGCAAGGTAAGCACGCGCGGCGCTTCTCCCTGGCCCTGGGGCGCGCGGTGGAGCGCCTTGCGCCCGCCCCCGATGGGCCGGATGCCGGGGACCTGCGGAAGCAGAGGCTGCGGGGGTAGAGATCCAACTCCACGGAGTGAGAGAGCAGCTTTGCGCTAATGGGGCCGGGTGCAGGAAGCTGGTGCAGAGAGGAAAGAAGGAAGGGAGTCTGGGCGACTTGCGGGAGGAGAGGGGCCACCTCGCCATGTCCCCAAGGAAGGGGACCTTGGGGGACATGGGATCCTTCTGTCCCTTCCCTCCAGTGAAGAGGCGCTTCATTGATGAGCCTTGTCATCATCCTTCAAGTGTAATTTTTTTAAATTGCAAAAATCTTACAGAGCTATTAACCTCAAAAGAGTTTAACATATGGCAGACCGAGTCTCCCTCTTACCCTAATTATAAGGCTTGCAGTAATGGGGCTGTCTTTTAAGTTACAGCTGCTGCGCTTTTGGCTTTCGCTAACATTACATCCTATTAAAGAGCTACATTAAATGCATGCAAATTGCCGGAGCGACGGCGCTCTCCCGACCAGTGAGGGGGACGGATTGCAGCCGAGGCGGCGATATCGGGGTCAGACTCACCCTGCTGCGAGCGCCATATGATCTATCAATCAAACTCCTCTCATTAATTAACTAATTCATTAAATATCTTTATATATGAAGGCCCGGCCAGGCAGAACATTGTGTTGACAGGGACGTCCCGTCAGCACTTAGCCCTGCTCTCCCCACCCCTCCCCTCCTGCACAAATCTCCCGGTGACTAAGAGAGGTCAGCTTCCCAGTGTTGGCGGGCACGGAAGCAACGGCTGTGTCCACTCCTGGGGGCGCCCTCCTTGGGCCTCCTTCCGCATGAACCCCATCTGTCCGGCTTCCTCCTGGCGCGCCTGCCCTCACTCACCTATTGCTCGAATGAGCTGTGTGTGTATCTGATACCTCCGCTCGCCTGGCAACCCTTAGGTTGCTCATCTTGTGCCCCAGGGCCCAGCACTGGCAGATGCTTTGAATGTTGGGCTGAATTGGAGTGCATTCCTCTCCAGTACTTCCAAGTCATCAAGGCCTTCCTCTGCAATATGCTTCTGGAAGACTGGTCACTCTAGGGAGGAGAGGAGGTCAGCCATGTGTTCAGGCGGCATCCCGGGAGAGGAGGAGGAGGGCTTATTGGTGGTCCTAGAAAAGGTATGGGGGCAGGCGGGAGGAACTTTTAAAGTTCAGAGCTGGCCAGTGATGTAGCCACAACACCCAGAATCCGAAGCAAACCCTTGTGCCAAGGAGAATGAATCTATGTCTTCTATGAACAACAGAGACACATTTTAGAATGGATGCTAGGGTTGAGCATGGTGGCTCCTGCCTGTAATCCCAGTACTTTCGGAGGCTGAGGCTGGGGGATCACTTGAGCTTGGGAGTTTGACACCAGCTGGGCAACATAGGCAGACCTCATCTCTACAAAACAAACAAACACACAAACAAACAAACAAATAAATAAGCACGGTGTGGTGATGTGTGCCTGTGGTTCCAACTACTTGACTGAGGTCGGAGGATCACTTGAGCCTGGGAGGTTAAGGCTGCAGTGAGCTGTGATCACACCACTGCACTCCAGTCTGGGCAACAGAGGGAGACCCTGTCTCAAAAAAATAACAATAAAATAATAAGAATTAAAAAAATAGAATGGATGCTGAGTTTCTTTCATATATATATATATATATATATATATATATATATACATTTGATATATACTGTATGTATCCAATTCCTCTCATAATTAACTAATTTATTAAATATATTTATATATGAAGACTGAGCCACTTGGAACATTGTATTACATTGTATTCACAGGGACAATGCAATATATATCATATAGATATTTGACATTGGTTGAACAACCATTATTTGTCACTTCTTTCCCACATTATGTCATTTAATGTGGACAACATCTTTGCTAGGTGTTTATTTTTACTTCCAGACCATAGGAAAAGAAACAAGCTCAGAGAGAGTAAGTAATTAGTCCAAGGTCAACTCAGAATTCAGACTTGGGCTTTCTAGATTCAAGACCAGTACTGACTGCTATGTAATGACAAGGTAAGGATGGCGAGATCAGTGGCTTTGCTGCTCTCCAAGGTCACCTGCTGCCTCCTTTGTCCACACAGCTGTCTTTCTCTTCTTGTTTTGCAGCAGCCACTATCACCACTACCTTCTTGGCTGGGCTGGTGGGTTTGGGAAGGTGGAGGTCATAGCACACTCCATAATAAAGGCTCTTGACTGTGCTTAGAATGGGTTGGAGTGATTTTCCATACATAGCACCTGGAATGGACAAGCCAGTAGCCTTCTGCCCCTGGGTCCCCACACCTGGGCCCAGAACAGCTGGGTATAGGAATGAAAATGGGATGGGCAGCCTCTAAGCCAAACTCCTGGAGAACATTCCTCTACCAGGCTCTGGCCCCAGCTGGAGAGGGCAGTTACCAGGCAGGACTTCATGTCAAAATGAAAAGGGTCTTATGCAGGTGTTAGCCTTGGTTCCTGCTGTTCAGCTCACCCAAGTTCCCAACCCATACAAATGAAGTGAGGGATGCAGGGAAACTTCCAAAGCCTAGGAATTCTTGGGAAAACACATACCCAGATCTTTTTTTTGTTTTTTGTTTTTTGGATAAAGGGTCTTGCTCTATCACTCAGGCTAGAGTGCAGTAGTGCAATCTCGGCTCACTGCCACCTCTGCCTACTGGGTTCAAGCATTCCTTCCACACCAGCCTCCCGAGTAGCTGGGACTACAGGTATGTGCCACCACACCCGGCTAATTTTTGTATTTTTTTGTAGAGATGGGGTTTCACCATGTTGCCCAGGCTGGTCTCGAACTCCTGAGCTCAAGCCATCCACCCACCTTGGCCTCTCAAAATGCTGGGATTACCAGTGCTGTGAGCCGTCACACCAGGCCACCGATTCTTTTATGCTCCCTCTCTCTCCCCTTCTCCATCTCACTCACTTTCATGCCCTTCTGAGACATGGGGCTAATGGACTTTGGCTGTTAGCACCTGTGATGTTGGGCATCAACCTCGCCATGGGCCTCCATAGTTTCCTGTAGCCCCCTTGGTTCCCAAGAATAGTTTTGGAATGGGGCGTGCTGTGATAATGGGGGTTAATGGTAACCTCGGAATCAATTTTCCCTCCCAGAAGAAAATTCTCCCAGCTTAGGTTGCATACACTGTAATAGTGCAAATGGCTCTAGATTTGAAAAATTGGCATGTTGTAGTCCAACAAGGCAATTTTTATATTGTTCCATGCAGCTGTGCGCCTCTGGATGCTATGCTGCCTGTGTCCTAAAGCCACAGGATGGAGAGCATTTTCCAGCCAAAAACAGCTCTGAAGTGTTTTTTTTTTTTTTCTTCTCCCACACCAGCCTGAATTTATTGTTTTGTTCACCTGCCCAAAACCGTTGGAGCTTTGGCCTCTACCTTAGCAGCTGCCAGAGCTGCTGGGCAAGGAGAGATGGTTGTAGCTTTCTGCAAAACCTTACCCCTGCAGGCCTAAGGGCAGAGGGCCTGGGAAAGAGGGTCTCCTGAAGACCGTGGGTCTGTGCACAGGCAGCTCAGAAAGGCTGGAGCAGCTCAGGAACGCAGCTCCCAAGCAGCTTTTCCTGGCTGGTGTCAAAGCTGGTCCTTTCTTGGACTCAATGATGAGAACCCAGAGGAGGAAATGTCTTTGATCATTGTGCAGGTTACCTGATTTTGATGAACTGTGTCTGCTCTGTTTTAAGATGAGAACGATTTTGTCCTGGTTTTATAAACATTAAAATGCAAAACAAGACATCCTAGAATCAAAATATGTGATATATATTTCAAGTCATGAAAGCATAGAATGTGAGAACTGTAAGGCAGTTTATCGATTACTTGGTGAACTGTCCTCGTTGTACAGATGGGGAAATGGAGGTTGCTGAAATTCACACATCTGGTTGGTGGAAAAGAATTTGATCTCACTGAATGGTGCTGAAGGCTTTTTGGGTAATGACTCAAGTGGCCAGGGAAACCAAACCCATTATTCTATTTCTTGGCTTCTGTGGCTGTAGTTGTCTTTTTTCCACTTATTTCCCCTTCATGAGTTGTCTTAATGGGGGGGCCTTATTTGTTGAGTCAAGATTAGAACCAAGTAACGTGTTGAAATGGGATGCGGAACAAGTGCCAAGCTGGTGCCTGGACCTGCTCCCTGGTCTCACTGCAGCTGCTCTCCAATCCAGTTTCCGCAATAGGTCCTGTGTTCTTGGATCTTATTCCCTTACTCGTCAGGATACAGTCCAGGCTCCTTTCTATGGCTCACCACGGGCCTCATGAGATGACTTGTGCCTCTGTTCTTGGCCATCGGCCTCCCTCCCTGTGCCACTGAGTCCTTGCCCCATCTTACCCAATCTTCTTGGCCTACTGACTTTTTCATTTCCTTAAATTCATCTTGCTGTCATTCACCTTTGCACATTCGACTATTCCCTCCTCCTAGAAATCTCTATCTACCCCAACTCGTCCGGTTCATTCCCACCTGCCTTCCCCTGGTTAACTTGGACCCATTGCCTTCTGTCTCAGTGACATACCAGTTCTCTCAGTGAGCCTCAAAGTCTGGATTAGATGCCCTTCCTCTGACCTCCTAAAGCACCCATTACTTTCACTATTCTATGGCCTATCACTCTGTATTGCATCTGCCTATTGACCTGTTTGAATCTCACATTAGAAGATCCTCCAGGAGGGCAGGACTTGTCATGCTCACTGTTTTATTCCAGGCACCCTGCAGACTGCCTGCCTCGTGATAGGCACTCCATAAATAGATGAATGAACTATATAAGGCCTCATGCCTGTAATCCCAGCACTTTGGGAGACCAAGGCAGGTGGATTGCTTGAGCTCAGGAGTTTGAGACCAGCCTAGGCAATATGGTGAAACCTCATCTCCACAAAAAATACGAAAATTAGCCAGGCGTGGTGGTGTGCGCCTCTAGTCCCAGCTACTTGGGGGACTGAGGTGGGAAGATTGCTTGAGCACGGGAGGTTGAGGCTGCAGTGAGCCATGTTTGCACCACTGCAGTCTAACCTGGGTGACAAAGTGAGACCCTGTCTCAAAAAAATAAAAATAAAAATAAATAAACTGTATAAAAGTGATGCCTCTACAAGTAAGAACAGCTGATAGTTATTGAGTGTTTTGGTGTGCCAGAAACTACGCTAAGTACTTTACATGCATCATCTAATTTATATTAGCTCTTGTATTAATTGAATGAGATGAGAGACAAGGGTTCTAATCCTGGCTGTGTCACCAGCCGACTCTGTGACTGTCAACAGTTACCATGGTTTCCTCATCTTTGGAATGAAAGAGAGAGAAGGGGGCAGACAGGACTTCACTCCTCCATTCTTTTTCTGAGGCAAAGAGGGAATCAGGAGTGAGTCTAAGTGGGCCTAGGGGGAATTCACCCTCAGGATTCAGAGAACCAGCAGACATGGCGGGTCAACTTTCTAGTCCCGGAGCAGGAGGAGATGGATCTGGCAGAGGCTGGGAAGGGCAGCGGGTTGCTCTCTCATGCTGTGGTAGAGCTATAAAATAGAGAAGCCCGCTGCTAGCTGAGTCATTAACGCTGGTCTCCTCGCCGTCACCTCGGGCATTGTCTGATTTAAGTGTAATAGCTTGTTTGGTGGATTTTGCCTTCTATAGAAATCCCCCCAAGAGTGAAGTGCTGCATTCAGCCGAGAGAGCACAGGCCTTTGTGCACTGATGGCCTGGCCTCGGCTGAATGTGTTTGGAGTTGGTTATCAAAGGGGAGGATAAATTAGAGCACAGGGCTGAAAAGAGAGGAAGAGGGGTCCCTTTCATGAGCAGGGCTGAGCACTTAGGCAGCTGACTTGGGGCTGGGAAGCCCCAGTGCTGGCCTTCTTGCCTTTTGGCAGGGGTAGTGCTATAGCGCTGCTACAGGCGGGGCTGGCTGATGCTGGCAGAGCCCAAATTCAGAGATCCAACCAGGCCCTTGGTGGGTAAGAGGAGGGGGGCCAGTGACGTTCACGACAGAGTGGCCTCCAGTGCCCAGGGAGCACTGCTGGGGGCTGGCGAACAGATCATTTTCCCTCCCTACCCCTTCCTCCTTTAGCTGTCAGCACAGTTTAGATATTCACACAAATCTTAAGCCCCCTCTGGATTTATTGAAATTCAGTTCTGAAGGTGCTGCAGGCTCCAAGGGGCTTCTCTAGTCTTGTGGACATTATTCAGAGGCTTGGACCTTCCTCTTTACCCAACCTCTGCCTGCTGCCTCCCTCCAGTCCCTCAATGCACACTTAGAAGCTGGTGCTCAGGCCAGTTTTATGAAGTGCACTAATCAGCCATGAATATGGAGCTCCCAAAATAAGAGATCCTGGACAGTCATCCCTCTCTATAGACTTGGCTTCTGGTGTCCAGATTCAGAGGCCAAGCTGGGCACAGCTGTCAGCTGAGTCACAGGCAGGGCTGCCTCAATCATAAATTGCACTGAGTTCCCAGTTTTTCCCTGCAAGAACACATCGCTCTATTTTTCAGTGGGTCTTTTATCCCCTACCAATCTCCCTGGGCCCCTCATTGACAGTTTCTTGCCATCTGGGATCCAGATCAACAAGGGTCATTCTTTCAGGAACCAGAGACCTGCCTTTTTCTTGCCCATTAACATCTAACCCTTAATAACCAAATCTTACATGCACATCATTTTCCAGCTGGAAGGAACTCGAGACACCAAGCTGCAGACCTATTATTAAGACCTGTTTTGAGCTGCAGATGTTTTTAAGAATTGTCTGAAAGTTATGACCCCTCACTCCCAGCAAAACACACATATTCTCATGCATATAAAAATTTACCTGCTTCTTCAGGCGGGTAACATCCTCCAAGTCTATGTACACATTCCACCCTGGTTGCACCTTTGAATTATCTCAGACCTTTTAATAAAATTCTGAGGTCTGGGCCTTATACAAGGATATTCTCATTTAATTTTTTTAGGGTGGGGTTTGGGCATTAGTTAGTTTTTTTTTTTTTTTCCTAAAAAGTTCCAGGTGATTCTAATGCAGCCAGGGTTGAGATCCCTAAAGCAGCCAGGGTTGAGAATCATTGCCCTAGAGGCTCCTAGGACCCCCTCCCCCAGTTAAGAAGCCCAGCTGTGGACAGTCCACGCATAGGAAGGCCTGTGCTGGGACATTGCTAGGAATGGATGAGATACCATGAGCAGATTTACCATCTTGCCCACTGCATTTAAAGTCCTTTCCTTCTTTTCTCCCACCTTGAGGGGTACTTCCTTTGTGCTCCCTTAAAATAATTTAAGCTTACCACAGTGAAAAAGGAGTTTGGTTGCCTTGATGTGCTCCTGTCATTTCAAGGGGCTCAATAAAAATTTAGTTTCGGTATTCGCTCAATGCGACTTCCACAAAGAGGTCTTATGTTGCAAACCAGATTTCTCTTTTCATCTGGTCACCACCAGGGAAATTGTGTATTTGAAACTCAAACAATATTTGGGCAAAAAGAGTTTCTCATTATACGCGGTGGGGAAGGGCAATGGGAGGAAAGTGCAGGGAAATGATTGAGTGACATTTCTATTTGCCGGGTTGACTTCTCCACCAGCGGCAGCCGTGGTATGGGGCTGCTGGAGAACTTCAGCTTCCTGGTGTGGACTGGAAATGCAAGGACCCTGGAAAAAATAATGTGGAGGAGAAAAATGGGATGGGCTAGAAACAGATTTGAAGAGTCAGTGTGACCTCAAGCTGACATTACTGTTGACAATGAGAATAAGATAGACAAAGAGTTTTGTGTTTTGCACAAGTTCTCTTTAGTGGGAGGACTGTTAAGTTCTAGTCTCTCAAGGCTGAAGGGAACGCAGAGGTCATCTGCATCCACTTTCTTTGGTAGGTAAATCCACTCTCTAACGTGCTAACACTGGGCAAGCATTTAAATGGACTCAAACAGAAAACTTTTTTTTTTTTTTTTTTTTTTTGAGACAGAGTCTACCTCTGTCACCCAGGCTGGAGTGCAGTGGCGCAATCTCAGCTCACTGCAACCTCCACCTCCCGGGTTCAAGAGATTCTCCTGCCTCAGCCTCCTGAGTAGCTGGGATTACACCAGGCTAATTTTTTGTATTTTTAGTAGAGATGGAGTTTCACCGTGTTGGCCAGGCTGGTCTCGATCTCCTGACCTCAGGTGATCCACCCACCTTGGTCTCCCAAAGTGCTGGGATTACAGGCATAAGCCACTGCACCTGGCCAGAAAATATTTATTGAACGGCAACAATATCTGGTATTCAGTAAGGCATTAAGGGGACTTCAGAATCTGACAGGACATAATACCTGCCCTTAAGTAACTTACGGTTTCCTGGAGGACTCAAACAGCTAAAACATCCAGGAGACAGTGATAAATGATATGCAGGAGGACACTGAGGGGAAGAACATTCACCTTGATTGAGAGTCCAGCAGGAGCTGGTGCTTTTCCCAAATGACTTCTTTTAATCCTTCCAACAACTCCTGCAAATAAGTACTGTTATCATCACCCCCTTTTCATAGGCAGTGAAACTGATGCTCAGAGTGGTGAATTTGCTCTTTCTTCTTTCATTCTTTCTTTTTTCTTCTTTTTTTTCTTGAGACAGAGTCTCGCACTGTCGCCCAGGCTGGAGTGCAGTGGTGCGATCTCGGCTCACTGGAGATGCAAGCTCCACCTCCCGGATTCACGCAATTCTGCCTCAGCCTCCCAAGTAGCTGGGACTACAGGCGCTCGCCACCACGCCTGGCTGATTTTTATTTTTATTTATTTATTTATTTATTTATTTATTTATTTATTTATTTGTATTTTTAGTAGAGACGGGGTTTCACCGTGTTAGCCAGGATGGTCTTGATCTCCTGATCCCGTGATCCGCCGGCCTCGGCCTCCCAAAGTGCTGGGATTATAGGCGTGAGCCACAGTGCCCGGCCATGAATTTGCTTTTTCAAGGTGACACAGCCAATAATGAGAGTGAGTGTGCTAACCTGGTGTTTCTCAGACCTATGCGCTTGCCACCAGACCATACAGCTCTCCTAAGAGGAGTTCAAAAGGGGCAAAGACAGGCTTTTGGCTGGGGTGGGAGATGAGAAGAGGGGAATGTAGGCATATAGCAGAAGGGTGTCACAGGGAGAAGGAACACAGAACAAAGGCACCAAGGCTGGTAGTGCTTGGGGAAGGAAACATAGCACCTTCAGCTGGAATGCGGGGAGGGCAGAGAGGGTGATACCAAGCAGGAAGAGGAGTTAGAATAGAGATTTGAAGGCGTGGGATTCTAAGGAGCTGGGATTTGTGGTGGTGAGATCCTATAACGTTTTCAGAGAGGAGTGGGTGTAATGTGATCATTACTACTCTTGATTTAAGAAGAAGCGTACAGATTTTGAATCCTGGCTCGATCATTTCCTAGTTATGTAACACTGGGCAAATTATTTACTCTCCTTGTGCCTCAGTTCCCTCATCTGTAAAATGGGAATGATAAATAGTCCTGACTGCATTGAGTTGTGCAGATCAAATAAGTAACACATGAGGAGTGCTTGGACTAATGCCTGGCGTATAGTAAGCTCTTCGTAAATGTTGGGGATAATTTTCTTAAAACTTATTTTATTTATTTATTTATTTATTTATTTATATACAGATGGGGGTCTCACTTTGTTGCCTAGGCTGGAGTGCAGTGGTGTGATTATAGCTCACTGCCACCTTGATTTCTTGGGCTCAAGTGATCCTCCTGCCTCAGCCTCCTGAGTATCTGGGACTACAGGCATGCACCAGCACACCCAGCTAATTGGGTATAATTTTTACCCTTTGGGAATGTAATTCTGATATAGCAGGTAAGAGGGAACAGATGAAGGCCTGGGTGTTAGTTAGGAGCCTACTGTAATAGTCTAGGAAAGAGGGTCAAAGGACTTAACTTAGACTGGAAACAATGGTACCCCTGTAGATGGTACCCCACTACCCCTGGGTGGGGGGCATGAAATCAATGCAACTCTAACTCTGATTGGCAGCTGAGGTGGGTTCAGGAATGGCCCCAGATAACTCAGCTGGGAGAAGAGCAGTGTCAGTCATAGAGCTCAGGGCACTAGGAGAAGCTGCAGGTGAGTGGGGAAGAGAAGTTCAGTTTAAACACGTGTTAAACAAGAATGAAAAGCAACCACAGAGCCTAAAGAGGAGGCCAGAGAATGGCAGCTCAGCCTGGCCCTGGACTTGTTTCTAGCTGGCTGCCCTGCTTCTTTGCCCCTCCTGGGTCCCACGAAGCCCCATCTCCATGCTGCCCCTGACTGCTGTGCCTACACATCCTCTGTGCCCCTTCGTTAGCCCGTGCATGCCCTCTGCAGCTGCTTCCCCTCGTGATCAGGGCATTTGGATCCTGAGTCCCTGTCAAAGTAGGTGGTGTTCCCTGCTGTTCCTTGAGGTGGCTGGCTATAAGGGATGGATGGGCACAATCCCAGGCCTTGTGGACTAAGAGAAGAGAGGGAAGGATTTAGGGGATGGTAGTCAGTGGCAATAGGAAATATGTGTTGTGCCCTGGAAGGAGAAAATGGATGAGTGACCAGCTTTGGGGCTTTCAAGGCCTCCTGTTGCCATAAGAATCCCTTGGTGTGGGACCCAGTGCCCTTCTGCACTCTCTGCCCCTGTCTGATAGTGGGCACGTGGCACTGTGGGTGGGTACCAGCTTGCTGAGATGGCTGCTGGTGAGTAGGGGGACTCAGCCTGGAGCCCCCAGCCCCCATACTGCCTGTTGGTTACACTGTGGCTGCTGCTGCCACCACTGGCATACGTTCAGATGGTTCCCTGAGTTCCACATCAGGGATTCAGACAAAAGGAGCTTGCAACTGAAAGGGTGAGTCTTATAACAAAATTATCAGCCTGCTGTCAACCAGGCGCTCTGCCGCTGCAGAACAGACTTCAGACAGGTTGCAGCATGTCAGGCTGGGCCTGCCTGGGCTTGGCAGGGGGTCCTATGGGCAGAGAGAGTCAATTACCCAGAAAGGTTCCACTTAACTTCCCCCGCTGCTCGCGGACCCTGCCCCAGCCTCCGAAGTCTTGCTGGCCTCTGCCAAAACACTGTCAGCCTGTGCTGGGGTTGGCCACCCGCCAACCCTGTTGTTGGGTATGTCTAGTGCCACCCTTTCTAGGGGGCCAGTGTCCTGCCCTTGTCAGCTCTAGGGCTCCCTGTGCTGGCCCTTGGCCAGTGGATTTTCATTTTTCCCCCTGCAGACTTCACAGGGTCCTTAGGTGGCAGGGACATCAACAAGCTGCCTCATCTATCATATGCACTTGGTGGGTGGCCTTCCCCATCCTGTGACGTAAGCATCCCACATGATCCTAATCCTCCTCTGTCACCTGTCCTAGTACAGTGGGTGGTCACGATTTGGGCTCTGGAGTCAGACAGACAGGGGCTTGAAGCCTGGCCCAGCTGCATGCTACCATGTGGCCGGGCATGTTACTTTAACCTCTTTAAACTTGAGCTTCCTCGTTGGTGAAGTGAGAATAATAATAGTATATATCTCATAGGATTATTTTGAGGATCAAAGAACATAGCGGTTGTTACGTACTGAAGTGCCTGGCACATGAAAAACGCTCAACAAATAGCTTTCCTTCTTCTTCCTCTTCCTCCCCAACTTCCTCCTTCACCCTTCTCCTCCCTCCTCCTTCCCGCCCTTCTCCCATCCTCTTCCTTCTTCCCCTCTTCCTCATTTTTCTTCATTTATAATCCTCACTTATCGGGAAGTTTGCTATTTCAGTTTCTCCTCTCTACTCTAGAGACCTGAATTGGGAGAAAACCTAGTTTCTTGTCCAGGCTTATCAGCTAATTCTCTTCATAAAGAATGTAGTCTACAACTCAAAACATATGCAACTAGGGTATGTTTCCCCTAGCTGGTGAACGCACAGGTTAAGGATCTTGGGTTATTTTAAGTCTTAAGGGCCACTGGTTTTTGTTTAACCACTGAAGTCTCACAGTTCACAAATATTTCCTTACTGTGCACCTCCTCAACCAGCCTAGCCATCTCTCACATGTTTGCTTTTGGTCATAAACACCCAAAAGATGCAGTTTGGACCACATGTGTAATCTCAGCACTTTGGAAAGCTGAGGTGGGAGGAGCGGTTGAGCCCAGGAATTTGGGACCAGCCATCTCTCAAAATAAAAAAAAAAAAAAAATCCAGGTATGGTGGTGCATGCCTATGCCTATAGTCACAGCTACTTGGGAGGCTGAGGTGGGAGGACTGCTTGAGCCCAGGAGTTCAAGGTTACAATGAGCTATGAAGGCACCACTGCACTCCAACCTAGGTGACAGAATGAGACTCTATCTCTAAAAAAAGAAACAAAACACAACAAAAGCAAAGATGCAGTTTAGAGCTCTGAGAGTGAAATGCTATAATAGTATACCAGCTTCAACACATGCTCCGTGGGTGCAAGGCAGAACCGCTGTCATTTCGCCATTAAGTCACTCAACGAGCTTTGACTGAGAGTCAACTATGTACCTGGGAGCTGAGGGTTTAAAGGCAGATAAGACACAACCTCACCCCTCAAAGAGTGAGCAGCCCGCTGGGAAGGTGGGTAAGTACACAAATCACTACACTTGAGTGTACTGTACTCTGTGGACAGCCTAGAATAATGCTGCAGAAGGAGAGGGCTTGGGGGGCCTTGTGGGACTCAGTGGGGAGCCATGTTCTGCAGGTCAAGTAGGATTTAGCCGAGGGAAGCTGGAAATGGAAACCCACACTGTTCGTCCACCTTCTTGGGGAGATGTGGTACCTAAAGTTGGAACAACTGACTGCTTAGCGGACTTTAATCCAGCCACCAGCACTCTTTCCCAATTTAGACTCTTGAAATCTGTGCACAACGCCCTCTGTCTGAGAGACCTGTCCCTGGGGTCCAAGTCAAGGCTGCAGCAGAAGGCTGTCTCTGGGTGCATCTCAGGTGTGGGGCAGGGTCCCCCATCTGTCTCCCTTGCCGTGGAGGTGTGTTGGTGAGGAGCGACTGACGGATTCTGTGAAAAGTGACTGCACCCCAGTACTATACTAATTGTGCTAGACAGAGCTGTTTGAATACCACCAGACAGAATATTACTCAAATTAAAATGAGGCCTTAAATGTCATTATTTGTGTCATTATTAATAGCCCCTAATTGTGTTCTCTAATCATCATAAAATTATGTTAGTATTAATATTCACGTCAAAGCTGCCTAGGGAACTTGGAAGATTAAAAAAAAAGTTATGCCATATGTCAGTTCCCATGAATGTGAAGCAAGTGCTGGTTTTAGTGCGTTGGTTCAGGCTGGAGATGAGAGCATGGCCTGCAGTGGCCAGGGACTGGGGTAGCCCTCGTCTGCTGCTCCCCGAGTGACTGACTCCTGGACTCCTCCACCTGGCAAGACCCTTGAAGGCACCAGTGGGAGCTGTTCTCACAGGACACCCTGCAGGCCTCGGGCCAGCTGCTCTCACTGGTGAGGGGATTAGACAGTGTTTGGTTCCCTGGGATATGGTACTTTCCCTTCTCCTCTTCTCCAACTTTAAGACCTGCTTCTGTCTAGACACCATAATGAAAAGTATGTTGCAATCCTAGCTGGCCTCCCTCTCCAGCTACTGGCAGACTCCACCCCAGTGTGTTTGGGAAACTGCCCAAACTATCCTCTGTTGCTTGGAGAAATGGTGTGAAAGAAATAGGGTTACTTTGGGAGGCCAAGGCAGGCAGATTACTTGAGCCCAGGAGTTTGAGACCAGCCTGGGCAACACAGCGAGAACTCGTCTCTACAAAAAATACAAAAATTAGCCCAGTGTGCACCTGTAGTCCCATCTATTCAGGAGGCTGAGGTGGGAGGATCGCTTGAGCCCAGGAGGTTGGGGTTGCAGTGAGCTGCAATCACGCCACTGCACTTCAGCCTGGGTGACAGGGTGAGACCCTGTCTCAAAAATAAAAACTAAAAAATCAACAAAAATTTTTTTTAAAGAAAAAGAAATATGGTGGAATCTCGCAGAGAAATTTATCATATAATATGGAAAGAACTTTCAGGAAATGTACTTAGAGACCCAGAATTAAAAAATATATACAAGGTGTCCATAAAGTCCAGAAACAGGTGAATCTACCTATGTCTTCAAGGATAGCTTCTTACGATAAGGAATAATAAATAATATTTAATATTTAAAGGATATTTATATTTAATATTCAGATATTTATATTTAATATTTAGATATTTATATTTAAATATTTATATTATGTTTAATATTTAAAGGATAATAAATAATATTATCCTTGTTTCCACCCTTTATGGATGACTTGTACTTTGCCGATGCTAACCTTGCCAGGCCTTCTTTGGGGCAAAACAGTGACCCCCACTATTTAGATGGGGCTCCATTCGGATGCTTGCTTTTCTTATTGGAGATGAGATGAGTGAGAGCCTCAGTTGGGGATGAGCTGAGTTACGCCTCCCCTCACATCACGTGGGACTTTGGTTCTGCATCCCCTCGGATTGACATGGGGTGTACGAGGTGGGGGGTGGGGGTAACAAGGCAGGTGGTGTCGCCAATTAGTGCTTCCCTCCCCTAGGGGATGTGTGAGGCGACTGCCTGGGACCCCCAGAGGCATCAGCCTCCTGCTGACATCACTCAGGGCTCCTCTTCATTGTTTCTCAACATTCCTTTAGGCTGCCTGCTCAGCACCTCAGCCCTCCACTAATGGAGTCCACGTGATCACGATGTGTCAGGCAAATCTGGGGCAACCGCCTCACTCTTCCCAGAGCCCTTGGAATTCTCTGGAACTGAGAATATTCAAATGCCTTTCTTGGTGAAACAGCAGGCTTCCAACCCCCCAAATATTATGACTTGAGTTAAATATAACACAGAGCATGAAAATAACGGCACAACACAGGAGCAGGGGTTCCGGGGAGCGAGCGGCTTGCGTACACACACAGCGTCTGTCACTCTGGGTGTGGCAGGGCGTTTGCAGACCCCACAGACACACAGGCAGAAAACCCACAAAATCACATAGAAGGCTTGGTGCATTCTGGGCTGGCAAGTTGCTACTTCAGCCTGGATGGGCCTTAAATCTGCTGGTTTCTGAATATATACACAGACATTTTTTTTTTTTTTCCTGATCAGATGTGGTGTGGCTTAAAGGGTAGGAGGAGGAGCTCTCTTAACTGTGGTGGAGAAAGCCAGACGCCTGCTTTCTCAGTCATGCAGGGAGGATTGGGTAGGCCTAGGACACTTAAAGGCAGTGTCAGATGTGGCTCGGCCATGCCGATACTTACTTCCAAGCCCAGAGGGCAAACGACGTACCCTTCAGCCCCCAGATTGCCTTTTAAGATAATCTAGAAGAAGCAGCCTTGGCCTGCAGAGGGGAGGGTGGGTGGATCTGTGTTTGGGACCACAAGCCAGGTTCTGCAGTCTCCCGGCTTCCCGTGTAATCGCATGCATAAGTTTGTGGTGAAAACTCAATGGGTCACAGATAAGCAAAAGGTCTTCCGAAAGTCAGACGCTTGAATTCCAAACCCAGTGATTACAGTAATTGTTGGCCTAGGGCTGGATTTGAACCAGTGAACCTAGAATAGCAGAGTTGAATAGGCCTCCTTTCAGAGCCATTCCACCACCAAGTTACCCGGCAACACAGCCACGTGGCTGCTCCTCTGCTCTTCGCTGTGGGCCAAACAGCAGATAGCTCAGGCCATTCTGAAAGAGCAGATATATTGGCGTCTTCCTTGTAATACTAATACCTTATACATGTAGGAGGATTTATAGCTTTCGTAGCATGCTTTTACTTAAGTGGCCTCCTTTGATCTTCATAATGTAAGTGGAGCACATATAATTATCCTCCACTTTACAGATGAGAAAATTGAGTCTCCGGACAGGTATCGGCCAAAGGCTATTGGCTTACAAGTGACAGAAGCAGAGTTGATCCCACACCACCTGATTGCTAGTGCTTCATTCTGGATTGCCCACTCTTAGAAGGTGCACCACTCTATCCCTCCACCGCCACTCAGGGCAGCTTGGAAATCTGGCAGAAGGCTAGCTAGGCCATGAATACTACAAAGGCAGCAGCAATATCACCAAGCTCCCTACCCTTCTTCAAATCTGTTCTTTTTTCCAGCCGTATCTCAGGCGTGCATGAGATGAAGTCCAGAGAAGTGCATGGGAGGTGAGAAGGGAAGGTGGTGAGAAAGATCTTACCCTCTCAGGGTCTCTGCTTTGTTCTCTGTGATTGCTGCCTCAAAGACAAGTCAGCAGAAATATCCCCTGTTCTTCTTGAATCTGAAAACAAAACCATGAAAGTACTTCTCCCTTATCCCTCCCTCTCCAATCACCCAATCTGAGGCACTTTATTTGAGAGGGGGCTTGGGTTGAGGAAGGGGGATTCCTATTTCACTCAGCTGCTGCTGTGAGGGTTTTAGAAACAGGTGACAGTAAGACTGAGGATATCTGTCCTGGAGTCACACCTGGAGCTGTTGATCTTTCTCCTGCTTGAGGAACATAGACATAAAGCTGTTCTTGTGGAATTCACACAAACACTTGATTTCCCCAGAACCCTCTTGCATCCTGAGATGCACTGCCCAGCTTCCCACCTCTGTGCCCCACAAACCTTCCTCTTCCCTGTCATCCGCTCTACAAAGCCCCTGCTAGAAGTTGACAAAGCTGACTGGCTGCTTAATGTGCTACAGGTGTTGTTGCTAGGCAACCACCCCACTCTGCAGCTCAGACTCTGTCAGCCCAAATGAAACCCCTGGTAGCACTTAACCCCGTAACTGCTTAACACAAACACTAATTACGCAGGCCCACCAAACAGCACATTTATAAGCCATAATCAAGGGTCAGGAGGGCGCATTCTCAGCACCTTCATTCCTTCCACCTACACTTCCTACCACTGAGCCGTGGGTCAGGCTGTCACAGGCAGGATTTCGAGGCCTTTTGCCTGTAAGTGCTGGTTCCCTTTTTCCTGGCCATACCAGGTGGACACGGAATTGTAGTGCTGGTCCTCCCTCTGCACTGGACTGGATTCTGCCAAAGTCAACCAAGCGCCTTCAGTTGCTGACTCTCGTCTCCAGGTAAGAGGCTGCAGAGCCTGTTCCTGCATTTTTATTGATGTTTAGGCTAAGCCTCTTGGCCTAAAACCTCATAGTTATAGAAAATTTGTTTCTCTGATGTCTGTATTCGGTTGAGCTGGAGATGACCACCCATTTTTGACAATTCTCCTAACACTTGAGCGTTTTACATTTCTGTGGTTCGGCTCATTTCCCCAGATGGAATAACTCACATTCCTTTAGCTTGACCAGGAATTATAGGAACCTCTAGGCATGTAGATAGATACTTTTGTAGATCAAACTCTAGTAGAATTGATCTGTTCTTGAGTTGGTCTCCCACTTCTAGACTGTGATCACATCACTAACTCATTGTAGGTACTCAACAACTATTGGTGAATGCATGAACACAACCATATTTTAAATTTCCACTTCCTCAACCACAGAGTAAAGTCGACAAAGAAGAGAGAGACCATTAAGTAGCAGAGCAGACTCTCCTATCTCTTCTTGCTTCCTTTTTCTCATGAGATTAAACTGCATAAATCAGATTACAGGAGATCCTGACGAGGCACCAAGTCTTCTTTCTGCAAGTAGTCCTGATTGTAACAGGCAGATCTAGGCCTGCTGGGCCGCAGGTGTGGAGAGTCCCATCTATTCCGGAAAGGCAGCTTCCCCCAGGCAGGCTGGGCACTTTCCCAGGATGCCAGAACACTGGATGGACTTTCAGGGGATCACTACCACCCTCTTTCCCAGCTGGAAAAACCAGTAAACCCTTGTCCTACTGGCAATTGTTTAATTATTCAAGGGTGAAGGAGCAGAGAGATCTTGCTGTTTCTGAGTGTTTGGGCTCATTATTATTTAGCAACAAATATTTCAACCTCAGAACCCCACCTCAAAGTTAGTATCCCGCTCCCTGTGAATGAAATGTGCCCGGTACTGTCCTCCCCTTGTGCACATGTTATTGTTTAACCTTCACCAGGGCTCTCGCATATGGATGTAACCATCTCTGCCCTACATGTGAGAAACAGGTCCAAAGAGGCTAAATAACTCACTCAAGTTTGGACACCTAGTAAGTGGCAAAGCCGGCATCCTGAAGCCTCCTTTTTCCTTCACTATGATACACTGCCTCTCAGGACATTGGAAAACTAGAGCCCAGAGAGGCTGAGTGACTTGCTTGAAATCCTGCTGACAGCGAGTGGTACGACAGAGATTTGAATCAGGACTGATCTGGCTCTAAAGTTCTTATCACGTTTTGTCTTCTATATCACAACACATTTTAGAGTTATTCCTCGTTTCTGTGTTGGATGGTGCCTCCTTAGAGGCGAAATCCGAGTGTCCAGCAGGCAGCCGTGGGTTCTAGGAAGCAGCGTAGACCGTGTCCTGAGCAGACTGTATTCTGAAGTGGCGGGCCTCCTTCCAGCTCTTCTCCACTTCCTTGAAAGGACCACATTGAGGGGGTGAGGAGAGAGAGAAAGAAAAGAAGGAGGAGGAGGAGGAGAAGGAAAAGAAAAGGGAGGGAGAGAAAGAAAGAGACAGACTGAGAGAGAGATAGTAAGGAAGAGAGAGGGAAACACACACACACACACACACACACACACACACACACACACACACACAGAGGGAGAGAGGGAGAGAGAGACTTCTTGTTCTGGCAGCCCCAGTGGCTCCCTGTTTCCCCCTCACATCTTGAGTCAGTAATGCCTTGGCTTTGGGCTAAGCCACTGTTGCCAGCTGGTGGCATTAAGAGTTGGGATTGCCAGCTTGGTCACAGGTGACAGGATTGCAAACATCATCATGGCCCTGGCTCCTTCCCAGCAGACCCAATGGGTCGTAGTAAGCCCCAGTTGGGGAGGTAAATGGAGGTAAAAAGAGATTGTATTTTATGGGTCCAAGTGGGGAGGGGGCTGAAGGGCTCGCCCCATGAGTTTAACACTTTCATGCATGTGGTTTCTCCATAAAGTATTAATAATGTTCCTATAATTGATACTTCAGGGCAATAACCTCTGACAAAACGGCCCTGATTAGCAGATAATTGAGTGTGTTGGATTGTGTCCTGAGAGAGCTGAATGCCAGGCAAGGCCCATTAGCCTATCATAATGACCCCTTTTGTCAGGTATTAGTGTCATTAAGAACCTGCTCTCTGAAATCAGTCCCTTTATTTAACTCTTTTCCCTAATTATATGGATCATTTTACAAATCAAAGCAAATGTTTGCATACAGCCCCCAGTCATGCAATGGACTGAGGTGCTGGAGGAGCAAGCTGGAGATTTCTGAGTGGAGAGTCCTGGGTCAGGAGGACACTCTTTGTCACTGGAAGTTTTCTGGAGGAGGCGGGCCCCTAGAAGTCCAGTCAGGGTTCCACAAGGCTATGGCGCACCCTGTCGGCTCAGGTGCCAGGGTGATGGAACGTCTGGATAGGAGGTGCCTTGCCAAGAGAGCTTGCAGGCCACACATAAGTCAATGCCTAAATTAATCTTGGCAAAACATGTGGCCCCTCGGACCAGCTGCTTAACACAGAGAGCACTAGGATTGAACAGGTTGGTACCAGCCACAGGGCACCTAGAAGATACAGACTCCTGAGCTAATCAACTGGGTTATGCCCAAAGGAGACTCACATCTCTGTCAGGAAGCAGGAGCCTCTGGGAATGGCTAGGGAGGAAAAGTAGGACCAGAATCCCCCGGATCTGGGAAGATATTGCTGCAGTGGACAGGTGTCCATGCTTAGAGCTGCCAGCTAGGTAAGCAGCCAGTGTGCCTGGGACTCTCGGGGACTTACAGCGTGATCAGCCCCCAGGCCACACACATGGAAGCTGACACAACAGGGAGCTCAAGGGACAGAAAGCCGCATTCTGACCTGCTCCCCCGGTCCTTCTCACTCATTAAAAAGTATAGACAGTTTCCCATTTATTTGAATCCAGTCACTGGCTGACACCTTTTCCACCCTCCCCAGCTCCATACAAAGCTTTTTATCCCAGAGCAGGTTCCATGTGGGTGAATCAGAAAGAGGTCTGAGTCTCCAGCATGAATTGCTTAGAGACAAGGGGCTGATAGCTTTTTGGCAGCTAAGAAGGATATATTTTTATATATACCAAAGATGAAGGTGAAAGGATATCACTTGTTACAGGGAAGGCTCAGAGGTTGCTGAGCTGCGGATAATTTACTTATTAGGCAAAGTGATGGGTAAATTTCCCGAGAGGAGCTATGACCTGTTGTGAGGCCTGGGCTGGTGTCTCTGGACCATATCTCCTCCTCTCCTCTCCCGTTTTTGCACAGCAAATGCTCCTTGAGTTTGCTTTCCCTTGTTGTAATCACAGAGGGGCTTGTGCTCTCATGATTTGCGTTGGGCCTGGTGAATTTCCTAGCATTGGCCTTGGGTGGAGAGCTGCCAGCCATGCAGAGAAACTGCTGGGGTTTTTGCCGAGGAAGCAGAATTTTGGTGGTGGAGTGTGATATTCTCCTCTCAGAAATAATACCTTTCATTTAAGGTAAGAGAGGAGATTTGACATCCCATGAAAATATGATTTTAAGCCCTGTTCTGCTTGGGGTAGACTTTTTCTCTGGGGCCAAGTTGCTGAACCAGGGAATGCAAGCCCCTAAACTGACAATGAGGGGTGGTGGTCTGAGGTACACTACCTAAGACTCCTCTGGAAAGGGGGCTAGACATGGGGAAATCCTGCTTTCTTGCTGTAGCTCTCCCCGGGGACCAGTTCTGCTCAAACCCCAAGGAATGCTGCTCCCAGGAAACAAAGAATGTGCACTTCACCTTTCTGAATACTGGGAACACAGTGATACTATGGACGACTAGACAAAAAAGCTAATAAATATTCTATGTTATGCTAATTTCTAAGTAGTAACATAGAATTTTATGTTTATTCAATCAACAAACATTTTATTTTTTCTTTTTTTTGAGACAGGTTTTTGCTCTGTCACCCAGACTGGAGTGCAGCAGCATGATCATGGCTCACTGCAGCCTCAAACTCTCAGGCTCAAGTGATCCTGCCACCTCAGCCTCCCAAGTGGCTGGAACTACAGGCATGCACTACCCTGCCCAGCTATTTTTTTTTTTTTTTCTTTTTGTAGAGGTGAGGTCTGACTATGTTGCTCAGGCTGGTCTTGAAATCCTGAGCTCAAATGATCCTACCACCTTGATTTCCCAAAGTGCTGGGGCTCCAAGTGTGTGCCACCATGCCTGGGCATTTTTTGTTTGTTTGTTTGTTTCTCATAGAGACAGGTCTCACTATGGCTGGTCTTGAAATCCTGGGCTCAAGTGATCCTCCCAGCTCAGCCTCCCAAAGTGCTGGGATTACAGGCAGAAGCCACCACTCCCAGCCTCAACAAACATTTTTTAAACATCTCACTGCCTGGGCCCTGAACCAGGCATTGAGTATAGACAGATGAATGGGACATGGAACCTGCCCCCAAGTAGCTCACAATCTCTTATGTGTATGGTGGTGATGGGGTATACAAGATCCTTAATTCAACCCATTGTATTGAGGCCGTAATAGAAACGTAGGCTGGGTGTTATGGAAATGCACAGGAGGAAATAATTAACTACTTCTGCCTAGGAAAGAAGGGGAAGGAAGGTTTTCCTGCAGATACAATGTTTAAGCTGAGGTTTGAGAATCTGTCAGATGAAAGAACGAAATAAAGCACCGGCACAACAAAGAAAAGCTACAATTTATTAGGGGTTCTAGTATAATAGTCATAGTATCTCATCTTCTAGAGCAATTACTATATGTTAAATGCTTTGCATGACTTACCTCATTTGATCGCCACAGCAACCTTGTAAGATGGGTATTTTTGGTATCCTTATTTTATACTTGAGGAAATAGAAGTTTTGAGGGAATTTATAAAAATTTAATAATCTGCTAGAGTCACACAATTATTAAATGTTGGGCAACCAAGATTTGAACCCAGGGCTGGGCGTGGTGGCTTACGCCTGTAATCTCAAGACTTTGGGAGGATGAGACGGGTGGATCACCTAAGGTCAGGAGTTCGAGACCAGCCTGGCCAACATGGTGAAACCCCGTCTCTACTGAAAATACAAAAGTTAGCTGGGCGTGGTGGCTCATGCCTGTAATCCCAGCACTTTGGGAGGCCAAGGCAGGTGGGTCACTTGAGGTCAGGAGTTCAAGACCAGCCTGGCCAACATGGTGAAACCCTGCCTCTACTAAAAATATAAAAATTAGCCAGGCTTGGTGGCACGCGCCTGTAATCCAAGCTACTTGGGAGGCTGAGGTAGGACAACTGCTTGAACCCAGGAGGCAGAGGTTGCAGTGAGCTGAGATGCCACTGTACTCCAGCCTGGGTGACAGAGCAAGACTCCATCTCAAAAAAATAAATAAATAAATAAAAAAGATTTGAACCCAGACTTCTGAAGCCAGAGGGCAAGCTCTTTTTTCATCCAGTATCCTGCTTCCCTAAGCACTGTACAAATGTTAATTCATTGAATCCTCATAACGACCCAGAGAGACAGTCATCCTTATCTTCATTTTCGGGTGAAAAAATTTGGAATGCTGTATGATGATCTGTGGTATGGAGAGTACACCAGGCAGAGCACGTTTGGGAAACTTTCCAAGGCAACTTGTGCGGTTTCCTGCAGGCCCTCATTCCTACCACCCTGGCTCTTCAGAATAATGATTCTGAGTCTCAAGTTCTTTGTGGGTAAAATGTAGAGTTTGGGAGTGAGAAGCGGAAGGGAGTGAGGTTGGTGGTGGGCAGAATATGGTCCCCCAAGGATGTCCATGTCCTAATCCCCACAACTTATGACTATGTTGAGTTACTTGGCAAAGCGGTTGTAGTGGAAATTAAGGTTGCTCATCAGTTGACCTTGAGATGGTGAGATTATCCTGGTTTGTTTGGATGGGCCCAGTGAAATCATAAGGGTCCTTGTCAGTGGAAGAGAGAGGCAGAAGAGAGAGAACCGGAGAGGAGACAGTGTGAGAAGGCTCAGTCTGATATCGCTGGCTTGGAAGATGGAGGAAGGGGCTGTGAACCAAAGAATACAAGACACTGGGAAGGCAAGGAGATAGATTCCCCTCCAAGCCTCCAGAAAGGAGTGCGGCCCTGCCAGTGAGACTCACTTCAGACTTCTGAACTCCAGAAATCTAAGATAATAAGTTTGTGTTGTTTAAAGCCACTAAGTTTGTGGCAATTGGTTGTAGCAGCAATAGAGTTGGAAAGTAGGATCGGTCAGCTTGCTTGCATACTGGACTAAGGAGGTCAGTTATTAATTAATCATTTTTACAAAATGAATAAAAGAGACCTCCACCCTGCTGAGTCTGTCTGTGACTCAGTGCAGTTCAGCCTTAGGCAATGCTGCCTAGGTCCCCTCAGGAGCCAGGCTCAGTGGAACCATTCTAGGCCATCACATTCTGCACATTCTCTGGAGACCTAGGCAACAAAAGATCTTTGTCATAACCACATGGATTAAAAGTGAGGGGTTGGGGAGATGGTAAGCTAACTCTGTGAGAGGCTGAATCTGCAGATCACTGAAGACGTATTCTAGGGCGAGGGGTTATTTTATCATTGGCTCATTCATTGAACAATTGTTGACTGGCAACCTGTTATATGCCAGACACTGTGTACAGAGGATACAATGGTGAACAAAAATACATTTCACCATAGCTTCCATGGAGCTATGGTTCCATGAGAGTAAGATATTAAAGTCACAAAATAGATGTGTAATTACAAATTGTAGTAAGTGCTATAAAGAAAAAGAGTAGGTTGTGATGAGATAGTACACCAGGAGGACAACATTTACACTGGGGTCTCATGAAAGGTCTCTCCTGGGAGGTAACATTTGGGATGAGACCCATGCATGAGAAGGACTTTGTGGGGTAGAGGATGAAAAAAAGCTCTTTAGGCCAGGTGTGGTGGCTCACACCTGTAATTCCAGCACTGCACAGTGGCTCATGCCTGTAATCCCAGCACTTTGGGAGGCTGAGGTGGGCGGATCACCTGAGGTCAGGAGTTCCAGACCAGCCTGGCCAACATGGCAAAACGCTGCCTCTACTAAAAATACAAAAATACAAAAAAATTAGCCAGGTGTGGTGGCGTGCGCCTGTAAACCCAGCTACTCAGGAGGCTGAGACATGAGGATCATTTGAACCTGGGTGACAGAGGTTGCAGTGAGCTGAGATCACGCCACTACACTCCAGCCTGGGTGACAGAGTGAGATTCCATCTCAAAAAAAAAAAAAAAAAAAAAAAAAAGGAGCACTCTAAGGAATGAGAGCAGGAGAGCAGCAGCATATTTGAAGGCTTGGTCTGGTAAGAGTGTGGCAAATTCAAGGAACTCAGAGAAGGGCTGTGAGGCAGGCAAGTAGTGCAGGAAGGGACAAATAGCATAGGATGTTGTTGGGGAAATAGGTGGGGACTTAATTGGGGGGGCTTTATAGGTCCCTTCAAGGACTTTGAACCTAACCCTGAGCAAGATGGATACCACTGAGGCGGGAAGGAGTGGCATGATCCATAATCTGATTTGTACTTTACAAAGATTAGGTTGGTTGCAGTGTGGAGAATGTTCTAGAAGGGCAGCAGAAAAGAAATAGGGAGAGCGGGGAGGAAGCTATTGCAGTAGGCAACAGGTGGTGGCAGTTTAGACAAGAGTGACAGTGCTGGTGATAACTGGGTGAATTTAACATTATTTTGAAGATAGGCTCATCCAGACTTGGTTACAGGTTGAATATGGGAAGTAAAGGGAGGAGGCAGATTTTTGGCAGAAATGACTAAATATATGGAGATATCACTTATTGAAATGAGATAGGTTAGGGCAGGAGAGAAATTATGATGAGGGAGAACTCTAAGAGTTTTGTTTTGAATATGTAAATTTAACAAATTTTTTATATACCTTTTAAAGATGTCAAGTAAGCACATAGGCAAGATTGGTAGTTATAAATGAAGCTGAGGTCTGGGCTAAATATATAAAATAGTGAAGTTTCATGATATAAATAGTAAAGGTATGGAAAATAAGATGAGGGCCTAAGACTGAGTCTGGAGAATCTCCAGCATTTATAGACAGTTTCTCAGAAGAAGACGTATATGTGGCCAAAAGCATATGGAAAACGTTCACTCTCACTAATCATTAGGGAAATGCAAGTTAAAACTGCAGTGGTTGTTATTAAAAGGAAAAAAACGAAAGATGCTGGTGAATTTGTACTTAAAAGGGAACGCTTTTACACTGCTGGTGGGGATGGAAATTCGTTCAGCAGCTGTGGAAAGCAGTTTGGAGATTTCTCAAAGAACTTAAAATAGAATTAGCATTTGACCCAGCAACCCCATTACTGGATATATACCCACAGGAATAGAAATCGTTCTACCATAAACACACGCACGAGTATGTTCATCACGGCACTTTTTACAATAGTGAAGACATGGAATCAACCTAGATGCCCATCAGGAATGGACTGGATGAAGAAAATATGGTACATATACACCACGGAATACTACACAGCCATAAAAAAGAATGAAATTATGTCCTTTGCTGTAACATGATAGAGCTGGAAGCCATTATCTTAAGTAAATTAATGCAGGAACAGAAAACCAAATACCACATGTTCTCACTTATAAGTGGGAGCTAAACATTGAGTACACATGAACACAAGAAAACAGTAGACACTGGAGCCTCCTTGAGGGTGGAGGATGGGAAAAGGGTAAAGACTGAAGAACTCCCTGTAGGGTATTATGCTGATTACCTACCTGAATGACAAAATTATCTGTACATCAAACTCCCATGACATGAAATTTACCCATGTCACACACCTGCACATGTACCCCTTGAACCTAAAAGGTGGAAAGAAAAAAAGTGTTTAGTATTGTGAGCCAGGAATGGTGGCTCACGTCTGTAATTCCAGATACTCAGGAGGATGAGGTGGGAGGATCGCCTGAGCTCACAAGTTTGAGACCAGCCTGGGCAACATAATGAAATCTTGTCTCTAAAAAAATAAAAATAAAAAGATAAAGTTTAGTACTGCAGATACAATATCTCAGCAAGTATTCCATTTGCTTCCCAATATTTCCCATCCCTCTTGCATTTAGGTAAGGCCATGGGACTAGTCCTAGTCAAAGAAATGTGAGTGGAAATCACACTGAAAAACCCATATGTAATGTTCCAGTTTCTCCTCTCTCTCTCTCTCTCTCTCTCTCTCTCTCTCTCTCTCTCTCCCTATCTATCCTTTCTGCAGCTACTAGTTGTTGGGGCCTCCATTACCTGGGTCCCTGGGTGACTTTGTGGAGCAGAATCCTTGAAGATATATCCTGGACATAAAACATGAGGTAGAAATAGACTCTTGTCCAGCTACTGAGATCTTGAGGTTGTTTGCTATTGCAACCCATTCTATTCTATTCTAATACAAGTAAAGAGACAGCGAAATGTGGCATTGAACAGCACAGACTCAGGACCAAAACTGTCTGTTCAAATCTTGTCTTTTGCAGTTACTAAGTAAGCTGAGCAAAGTTTTTCTGTGTCTTAGTTTTCTTTTCTAGCAAAATGGGGAAAATAGTAACATCTGTGTCATAGGATTGTTTTGAGGATTAAAGCAGTTAGAAATATAAAGTGCATAGACTTGTACAAATAGTAAAGAGTTAGTATGGTTTGCTCAAGGAAAGGGAGGCTGCAAAAAGCACAGCAAGAGAGGAGAAAACTGGGAGACAGTGACATCATAGGAACAGAAAGACGAGAGTGCTTCAAAAAAGGAGGGAGGGGTTAACTGGTCAAACACTATTGAAGAGTTGAGTAGGATGAAGGCACTAGAGAGTGCCCATGACATTTAGTAACCTGGGAGTCACTGGTGGTCTTGGCAAAAGCAGTTTCAGTGGTGTGTGTGTGTGTGTGTGTGTGTGTGTGTGTGTGTGTGTGTGTCATGGTGGGGGACAGCTGTGGAAGACACAATGATGTGGGTTAAAGTAAGAAAATGGAGAAAGCATCTGTATACAAGGTTGTTGGGCAGCTTGGTGGGGAAGATAGTAAATACAGAGATAGAGCGGTTGTTAGAGGTCGGTGTGGGGTTAAGGAAGGTTTCCATTTTAAGATGGGGGATTCTAGAGCATATCTAAATAATGAAGAGAAAGTTCAAGTAGGGAGGGGAAGTTGAAAATTTTAGAATGGGAGGGCGTAAACAATGCAACAAACCCCTGAAGTGTTTTGAGATCTGGAACACAGAAGGACCAGCCTCTGCCTCCACTGGGATAGGAGGAAGGAGAGGGAGGGAAGATGGGTGTGGGTTTAGAGAAGTTGATGGGTTTGGAGGCAGGAAAATGAGGAAAGGCTCTTTTCTAAAGAATGGAACTGAAGTGAATGGGAAAGCCTTGTTCCCACAGTGATTAGATGGCAGATGTTAGGCTCCCAGTGAGGAAAAGTGGGGGTGCAGTCCTCAGGAGTGGGGCTGCACAAGAGCCTGCTGCCCACGTTGGGTGAGCATCCATTTGGAGGTTCAGCCACAGAGCTGGATCTGAACCCTATCCATGAACTCCACCCAGCATCCTCTCATCTCTAGGAAGATCTAGGACATGGTTCTCTAGTAGGACAGAGTTCAGCCAAGGACCCTTCAGTGGTATTTGGACTTCAGTTTATATTTTTAAACAGGTTTCCTACCTCTGCTCCACATAAACTCTCCTTTCCAGACAAACTATTCTGTTCAGTATGTTGCGAGCTTTTACCAGCTGTTTCTGACCAGACCCCTACCTCTAGGGATTTTACACTCTGGAGTGTCTTCTGCATCAATCTCCTTTCAGCTAAATCCAGATCATCCTTCTAGGTGAAACTCAAGCCCCAGGACTTTGAAGTCCCTCCATCCCGTCACCCCACATGACCTCACCCTTCTCTGTTTCTACAGCATTTGGCGAGTACCTCCTCCTGTTGGGAATAACACGTTCGTATCATTACATCCAGGGCCACTGTGTTGTGCTCCATGTGAATGTACTCCCTGGAGTTGTGCAGTTCACACTTGCATAGCTCCTGACGTGCCCTGAATGGCATCTCCTCAAAAAAGCAGAGATTTCTTCCAGTGAGGGCAGGAATTTTGATGTGCACATGTTTGGGTCTTCTGTGATGCCTCATTTGTAATAGGTCCTCACTAAATATCGGTTGATAGATTTGCTGTGGTCAGTGTGAGAAAAGCTCAAAGAAGAGGATGCCATGGCTCCACCTGGATTTGTTCTCTAACTGGCAGGATTTTCCTTAAGCTCTGAGCCTAGATTATAACATCTTCAAAATTGAGAGACAAGGAATTCCATTCACACCTTACCCCCACCTGACATGGCAGAGGAGTGGGCCAGAAAAGGATTCCTGCCGACAGGCTCTATGGTGACCTTTGGCAGGAAGGTCTTAGATGATGGGAGATGTTATCAGTGCAAATAAACTCCTTGTGTGTTGACCAGGGCTTGCTAATTGCAGCAAACGATGATGAAATTGCTGGGCTTGGGCAGACGTTCCGAAGCAGAAGAAGCGTATTTGTTCAAGATGTGGGTCTCCTTGGCTGTCAGGCTGAAATCTTCACCTCTGCTGTTTCCCATCCTGGATGCTCCCAGGAGCACTGTGTGGGTGTGCAGTTTAAGATAACACAGAGTGTCTCAGGTTTGTTTGGCTTTGAATGCAGTGCCCTGCAGGTAGGTGGTGGGTGTGTCTACTCGGAGCTTGAGTGGGACCCAGAGGCACCTCCAGTAGACTATGTAGAGGCAAGTGAGCTGGGGAAAGCTGTCCAATGCTTCTACAGCTCAGCCCTTACCTTCAGGGACCCTCAAGGTCACCCAATGCAAGCTGCCTTTAGGAGTCAGGCCAATGCTGGGGACAAAACCAAGTCAGGCAAGAATCTGAATACCAATTAAGAGACATGGTGCTGTCACAGCCCTCCTTTGCTTCCATTTCTGCTCCTGCCATTGCCTCCCTCCCTGACCTTCAGTATCTCCAGCCATTTTTCACCAGTGGGGGAATCCAATGAAAAGAGAAACAGGGGCCGGGCACATTGGCTCCTGCCTGTAATCCCAGTGCTTTGGGAAGCCAAGGCAGGGGGATTGCTTGAGGCCAGGAGTTTGAGACCAGCCTGGGTAACATAGTGAGACCTTGTCTCTACAAAAAATAAAATACAATGTAAAAGAAGAGAGAAAGGCATTGTGCTAGCAAGAAAAGAGGTCCTCTGTGGTGAAGAGAAAGAAGAAAGTACAGAGTAGATGTCCAGTGACTGCTGAAATGGACTGAAGAAGGCACAAGGGGCCAGCTTCAACAAGAGTGGGCTGGTTCGTTCCTTTAACACATGGGCTGCTTCCCAGAAGGAATTCCTTAAGAAAGGTGCAAAGGGAATTGCTGAGTGGTAGCCAAAAAACCACCTTGTCAGTTTTTTTCAAAGAGAATTTTATTCCAATTGAGACCCCACTTACAGCTAGAAGGGCCAGCTCTGGCAGGTGTCCCTCCCCGGCCCTTCCCTCGCTGATGGCTTCATAGCCTGCCTCCCCATGTGGCTTCCTTCTTGTCCTGTGTGCTCCTGGCTCCCCTGTGCCCCAGCAGGTCAACAGGCTGTCTCTTACATTTTTGTCTGTTTCAGCTAACAGGTCTCGGACAGGCAGGCAGGAGTGGCTCGGCAGGGTCTTTCTCTTCCCAGGAAGACCGCTGCGTTTATTGTGAGGCTATCTCTGTCCTCCTTGGAGGCTCCTGAGTGTACAAATCAGACTCTAGGTCCAGGGACAGTGTGCTTGCACCCTAGGGTGTGGCTGACACGGAAACTGCTCAGATTTGGGCTGAAGAAGAAAGCACTTTTAGAATCACAGGTGGGAATTGCTTACATCTCTGTCCTTCTCAATCCCTTACTTATTCCAAAGGAACAGATAATGCTGAACTCATCTTTTCTAAGAAGGTGGCCCTGGTGAACTAGCTCCCTGAGTCTGAGAATCAGAGTCCATCTGAAGCTTGGAATTCAATTGCTCCAACAATGGGGTTCCTTGGGGTAGGCTGGGGGAATTCTCTGGCGATTCATAGCTCGTGCTTTTCCCTGATTCTCCATCCCTGCCATGGGAGCCTGAAATATGTTTTGACAATGGACGTTCTTTGTGTTCTGACTGTAGAGGGTGATTTGTGGGTACCTTGACTTCACCTCTGTTATTGGCAGCCCAAATAAGGAAGCCGACAGCAGCGGAGACATGAGGGAGAAGGAGGGGAGGGGGTGTGCTAAGGCGAGGCCGGGGGTCTCTGTTTTCTCCATTCCTTCCACAAATGACCTCACTCACTATGGAAAAGGGTTAACTGATATCGAGTCATAACATGCAAAGGGAGAAAGAGCCCAATCCATACCTCTCCGGAGCCCCTGGAGGCAGTGGATTGCTGGGGGTAGGGTGGAAGGCAGCAGCGAGGGAGGATGGGAGAGTACTTAGAAAATGATCGGGTTTAAGAAGTGGCTCTGGAGCATCTGTGCTTTTGTTAACCATGGAACACGCGCATCTAATCTCAATTAACTTCTGCCACCATCTCCAATCTTGGCTTTTCTGTTCATGCCAGTGATGAGACCTTAGCTGCAGGCGACGAGGCGGGAGAGACCTCACATTACCTGGGTGGAGAGAACCAGATGCGCTCACCCTGCTGGGGCATTGATGGTGGCAGAGAAGAGACCGAAGCAGCAGTTGGGTGATTTCCCCCAAGGTCTTGCCCCTGCCTCCAGCTCTTCCAGTCCAAACTTACCTGAGGAACTGTGGTGAATCTTTTTGGTCTTTACCCCTGGGCCTCATAAAGGGACTCTGCTAACATCTCTGTAAGTGGGACAAACACTCCATGAATGCACCAGAAAGCCATGATACAATTGAGTCTTGATGTGCTACCTGTGAAGTCCAATGGATAAGCTTGGGTGATGCCCAAGAGCTATTTCTTTGGGCCTCAGTTTCTTCTGCTAACCAAAGAAAAAATTTAGGTGATCGACAACTGCACTGTCCAACATTGTAACCACTAGCGACATGTGACTATTTGAATTTAATTTTAATTAAATTTGTTAAAAAATTTGGCTCCTCAGTCACAGTAGCTGATATTTCAAATGCTCACTAGCTACATGTGTGGCCCGTGGCTACTATATCAGACAGGTTAGATATCAGACATTTTCATCACTATAAAAAGTTTTGGGGGTGGATATGGTGGCTCATGCCTGTAATCCCAGCACTTTGGGAGGCTGAGTCAGGAGGATTGGGCTTGAGGTTAGGGGTTCAAGACCAGCCTGGTCAATATAGTAAGACCCTGTCTCTAAAAACAAGTAAGTAAGTAAATAAATAAATAGATAAATAAATAAAGTTTTGTTAGCACCCATCTATAAGGTCATTTGCAGTTCTGCATTGCGTTATTCTGTAATTGTCCATTATTAAGTATTTCGTAGAATTAGTTCCTTTGCCCCCTTAAGCTTCCTCCTCCCATCAGTTCCTATCATCTGCTGCCACATACATGGCAAGGCATACAGAACACACACACATGCACATCGCTCTCTTCCATCAGGGCAATGTTGAGAAATCTGATAGCCTGGCTTAAGAACAGCTGAGAAGTGATAGCTGCATTCCCATCTTGATTGCAGCATTATTCACAGTAGCCAAGCAGCCAAGAGGAAACAGCCTAAGTATCCACTGACAGATGAGTGGGTAAAGAAAATGCAGCATATGTACCCAATGGAATACTATTCAGCCTTAAAAAAAGAAGGAAATCCTGCCATTTGCAACAACATGGGTGAATCTGGAGGATGTTATGCTAAGTGAAATACCCCAGACACAAGAAGGTAAATATCACATGATCTCATTATATATGGGACATAAAAGCTGAACTCAGAAGCACAGAGTAGAAGGGTAGCTACCAGGGGCCGAGGGATGAAGGAAATGAGGAATTGTTGACCAAAGGGTCCAAACTTTCAGTTATAAAATTAATAAGTTCTGGAGAGCTAATGGACAGCATAGTGATTTTAGTTAATAATAATGTATTATATACTTGAAATATACTTTGATATGGGAGAAGATCTTAAGCGTTCTCACCACACATACACACACATACACACAAATGTAACTGTCAAATGGCAGGTATATTAATTAGCTTGATTGTAGGAATCATTTCACACTGTATATGTATATCAAAACGTCACATTGTACACCTTAAACATACATGATTTTTATTTGTCAATCACACGTTCATAAAGCTGGGGGAAAAAAAAGAACTCAGAGTGGCTAATTGGGTGCTGCTCCGGACTTGTTAAATGTTACAGACTTTACTTAATGTACTTATTCATGGCCCAAACATTTCCTGAGTGCCTGCAGCTCATCAGGGATTGTCCTGAGTGGGAGTGGAGTGTGGAGTTTGGAGAAGATCCTTTATTACATATAATTCTTCTTGCAGTAGAGGAGGCACCACCACTATGAGCATCAACAATGCTCTCAGTGTCCACTTGCTTGTAATTTTGTGCAAAGAGAGCTGGGCAGAAGTAGCTTCACCCTCCGGGGGCTTGCATCGTGCAAAGAACTCTCTTATGTTATAGACACTTGATATAAACAAGAGGGAGACCGTGAAGAGTTCATGATTTTTTAGTGCAACAAATACTCTATTTGAAGCATGTACAGTTATATTATGGGGGCAGATGAGAGAGTCCTAGCTCCCCTCTGAGCCTCAGTTTCCCCATGTGAAATGAAGGGGTGGAGCCTGTCCATCTCCAAGGCTTCCTTGCTAAGATTCTGCCATCCAGGAGTCTAGACATCTAAATGCTCTTTAGAGGAAAAGACTTACTATGTGCGAATTTCAGGTGACACAGGTTTTTCTCTATTTCCCAGTAGCGCTGCCCTTTCCTTCTTTTAAATCCTGAGGAGGCCTAGAGGCGCCTCCCTTTCCCTGTGCCTCCCACTCTCATTCCCCTCCGTTCTTTCAGGTTGCACAGCCCCAGCCTAGTTCTTGTCATATTTCCTACTGGATCGGGTGTTTAATTAAAATCATAATTAAAATTGATCTCCTCATTAGCATGCATCTGCTCTGCCTCTCTCATCCTTGTGTTCCATTATCCACTGAAGATGTCAGGATTGACAGGTGAGAGCCAGACCCCAGGCCAGCCCTGCTGGATGGGGCTGGCCGATGACAACATCTGGACAAAGAAGACTTTGGTGGAGAAGCTGCATTTGCAGTTGAGCAACAAACAATTAGCGCCAGACAGGCTCTCTGGGGAGAGGTCAGGCTGTGTGGTAGCCTGCGGGCAGCTGGCTGAATCTGGGGGTCCTGCAGGAAGTATCCTCCCACCCAGCCCTGGGTGCTGCATGCACACTCAGAGGAGCACACACAGTACACACCTGTACACCCTCAGGTGATCTGTGACAAGCCAACAAACTCCTTGCCCAGGAGAGTCTGGAATGGCAAGAGGAGAGAGCCTCTGATTTCCCTGCGATGAAACTGCATTGTGTCCTCAAGGAGCCTCCAGCAGGGCTGTGTTTGACACCATCATGATTGCCCTTCAAGGGGCGCCAGTGAGAGTAAGCTGGACCTACTGGCACCATCCTCCCCAGCTTGAGGAGATGTGCAGAGAGGTGCAGGGGTGCCAGGCTTGAAAGTGCAGGGCAGAGAGATGCGCTGATGGCTGCTTGCACAGCCTCTCCTACCCATGGAAAGGGGAGGGGGCCCAGGAGGAGACAACCACAGGGATGTGAACTGGTGTACCTTTCAGAGTACAGGAATGTAAGTTCCCTGAGAGTGAGGGATTAAAAAGAAATTTTCTCTTTAATTGTGGTAAAAAACATATAACATAAAATTTATTTATTTATTTATTTATTTATTGAGATGGAGTCTGTCACCCAGGCTGGAGTGCAGTGACATGATCTTGGCTCACTGCAACCTCCACCTCCTGGGTTCAAGTGATTCTCCTGCCTCAGCCTCTGGATTAGCTGGGACTACAGGTGTGTACCACCACGCCCAGCTAGTTTTTGTATTTTTTGTAGAGAAGGGGTTTCCCCATGTTGGCCAGGCTGGTCTCAAACTCCTGACCTCGGGTGATCCACCCTCCTCGGCCTCCCAGAGTGCTGGGATTGCAGGCATGAGCCACGATGCCCAGCCTATAACATAAAATATAAACTTACCATCTTAACCACTTCTAAGTACAGTGTTCACTGGCGTTAAATATATTCACATTGTTGTGCAACCAATCTCCAGAACTTTTTTATCTTGTAAAACTGAAACTCTGTACCCATTAAATAACTCCCCTCCTCCTCCCCACAGCTGTACGTAACCACTCTGCTACTGTCTGTCTCTGAATTTGACTACTCTTGGCACTTCATGTAAGTGGAATCACACAGTATATGCCTTTTGGTGACTGGCTTATTTCACTTAGCATAATGTCCTTAAGGTTCATTGATGTAGTGGCATGTGTCAGAGTTTCCTTTTAAAGACTGCATAATATTCCACTGTGCATATATACTACATTCTCTTTAGACACTCTTCTGCCGATGGACAGTTGGGTTGCTTCTATGTCTTGCTATCATGAGTAATGCTGCTATGAACATGGACATGCAATCTCTCTTCAAGATCTGGCATTCAATTCTTCTGTATGTATGCAGAAGTAGGATTACTGAGACATATGGCAATCTATTTTCAATTTTTTAAAGAACCAACACCATTTCCATAGCAACTGTGTCCATTTTCATTTCCACCAGCAGGGCACAAGTGTTATACTTTTCCAATTTCTCTACATCCTCACCAACACTTGTTGTTGTTTTCTTTCCCTTTCTCTCTCTCTCTCTCTGGCTTATTTCACTTACCATAATGTTCTTAAGGTTCATCCATGTTGTAGCTTGTGTCAGAATCTCCTTTCTAAAACCTCATCCAGGCCTTAAGTTCAAACCCAGGCTGAGAGAGTACCTTGGAGAGGGGAAGGCAAACACTGAATGTTGGGCCCTGGGTTTGGATTTTCTCCCACTAGGGAGGGTGTCTGAGAGAGTTAGAGCGGGGTAGAGAAAAATAAAAACTGCTGAGAACTAACTCGGCTGCAGAAGGAGCCATGGAAATTCTCTCTCTCTTTTCCTCCATCTCGTGACCATCCTCTAATGGGTGTAAGGTGATGTCTCGCTGCAGTTTTGATTTGTATTTTCCTGATGATTAGTGATATCGAACATGTTTTCCACTTGCTCCACCATTTTTTTTTTTGAAAATCCTATGCAAAGTTTTAAAAATTAGAAATGTCGGTCAAATTGACCTCATATCTAAGGGAGTTTCGACCAAGGAGATATCCCATGGTGGAGGGAATTTAGGTTTGGGGATTAGATCTCAATTCGTATCCCACAGTTGTGCCAATTAGGGGCTATGTGGCATTGGGCAAATTGCCTCTCAAGCCTCAGTTTGCAAATATATAAAATAAAAATAATAATGTCTACTGAATAAGGCAGTCCCAGGGAAGAAATGAGGTAAAGACCCTATGATGAATTATTCTTTTTCTTGTTCATCTTCCTTGTTGCACTGAAGCTGGTGCTATCATCCTGCAACTGACAAGAACACCAGGACTTACTTTGTCCCTTATGTTAAGCACATGATATCCACTAAGCACCTTTTCTATGTAAGACACTGCACCCAGGAGTGAGGAAACTCAAGAGATACGTAAGACATGGATCTACACCAGGAGCAGGCCTGGGATTGCCAGGTGAATGCAAGGCCAGAGCCAGGAGGGGACACCTGTATCTGGAGCCACCCAGCTGGCTTCTCAGGAAGACTAAGGCTTGGATAGGCCAAGAGAGTACCCTGGAGTGGGAAGGGCAGACCTTGAATGTGAGGCCGCTGGGTGTGGATTTCCTCCCACCCAGGGAGGGTGACTGAGAGAGTTTCAGCAGGGCAGAGAAAAATAAAAACTGGTGAAAACTAATTTGGCTGCAGAAGGGGCCATGGAAATTATCTGAGGAAGCAAGGCCCCTCTCTGGGAGGAACTTCTTTCTCTGGGCTACTTAAATTCCTTCTGCTGGAATTGAAGTTTGTTTTCTCTTCTGCAGTCTTTTGGGGAAGGAGAGAAATGCTAATTACCCTCCTCTATTACCCTTCATTGATTTATGGGAGGGGAGCTCTGCCATCCTCTGGTCTTCCTCCCTCTCCCAGTGTGCTTCCCCCTGGTTGTACTAACAAGGGCTTAACTAGAGTTGAATAAGCGCCAGGGCAGCTTAGCTTACAGTACCTCTCCGAAGTTCCTCCTCCCTCTCCTTCTCTTCTCCTCTCCCCTCTCTTCCTCCACCCCCTCTACCCCCACCAGTGTCTGTCCTTGGGGGCTCAGGGCAGAGGCCACCCTCCTGGGGGAGATGATCCCCTAGAACTGCCCAGGTGGGCTCACCTCTGCTCCTCCCCGGGAGCAGCCAGCAAGCAGCCAGGGAGCCCTGGGAAGCCAGGTCAAATGCAGAGGATGTAGGAGCAGGAGCCAGGGGGAGGCAGGGTGTCCACCAGGGAGGTGATTAGCTCTGCAGTGCCTCTAATAATAATCTGTGAGGCTAACAAACAGCGCAGAGGAGGAGACAAGTGCAGCCCCTGTGCTGGCTGTCTCTGTCTTTGTTAAGGTTAGAGGAGGAGGGAGACTGTGTTAATTGCAGACTTATCATGATTACCTCCAGCTCTCAGCCCGAGAGCCACAAGAGGCAAAGCCATGGATTAGTGTGGAGATTGGAGGGGCTGAGAGCTGAGGGGGTAGTGTTCCCTCTGGGCCCTGGGGACCCAACTTGTGAGAAAACCCTGAAATTAAAAAACTCAGTTCATCCATTGATCAGTATTGACGGGGTGCGATGTGTTCTGTAGAACATTCAAAGCAGTTCTGAATTTCATTTTTTAAGATATGAGATATAAGCCAAAAAAGATGAGTCTCCATCTATCCCATCACAGAACCTCCCAAGGCACACACACGCCCTCTCCCACACACACTCACACGCACACACACTTGGTTCTGAGCCCTCCTGTGTTAGACACTCTATAAATATCCATCACATTGAATTAAAATGGAAACTGGACCTAGAGAGAAGGGGTGTGGCTGTTCTCACTCTGGCTTTCCTAGTTCTTTTGCTGCTCCATCCCGATCCTGTAGCTGCCTGCAAAGGAGAACACAGAGGTGAGATTAGAAGGCCCTCAGCCAGGGTTTGAGGAGGCCTCTGGGAGTCAGCTGACTCACCACGGGGGCAGCAGCAAAGGCAAAATCAGGGCCAGGCTGGGAGAGCTTGGACAGGACACCAAACCCAGTCTTAAAGCAAATGCAGAGTGTGACTGAGAGAGTTTGAGCAGAGCAGAGCAAAATGAAAACCAGTGAGAACTAACTCAGCTGCAGAAGGAGCCATGGAAATTATCCGAGGAAGCAAAGCCCCCTCACTGGGAGGAACCTCTTTCTCTTGGCTAATTAAATTCCCAAGCTTTGGAAGCCTGGCCAGAGCAAGCGCCCTGGTTAACATCACGTAGGGCACACCCAGACCATGCCTGAGTAGGGGGATGAGGTGTGGGCATCTAGGCTTACTGAAGGCTAAAACAGCAATTTTTTTTTTTTTTTGAGATGGAGTCTCGCTCTGTCGCCCAGGCTGGAGTATAGTGGCACGATCTCTATTCACTGCAACCTCCGCCTCCTGGGTTCAAGCAATTCTTCTGCCTCAGCCTCCAGAGTAGCTAGGATTACAGGCACCCACCACCATGCTCAGCTAATTTTTGTATTTTTAGTAGAGACGTGGTTTTACCATGTTGTCCAGGCTGGTCTCGGACTCCTGACCTCAAGTATCTGCCTGCCTTGGCCTCCCAAAGTGCTGGGATAACAGGCGTAAGCCACCGTGCCTGGCCTATGACAGCAAATCTTAAAAATGCAGTTCTCTGAGGCTAGCCTCTGAAAGAATATGAGCAAATTTTACCCCCTTAGATTATAAGTTAAAGACCTCAAAGGGGCTTGTGGAAATAAGAAACTTTGTGGAGGATGCTGGAAAGAAGGTGGCTGGAATTTCTCCCTCGTGGGTGGGTTTGTCTCAGGCAGAGATCTCTCAGTTAGCCAGTCAACTGTCTCTTCCATCTGGGCAGTGCATGGGGACAGCGGCCCAGGCTGGTTAGCCAGGGACTACACATGGGGCTTGGACCTGCCCTATCCTCTGCAGCTGCTTCAAATTTTCTTTCATCTGCTCTCTCCCTGGTCTCCCCTCCCCTCACTTCTATAGACCTCATTGTCGCTTGCAGTGGCCTGAAACCCCACCCCTTCCCTAGGCTCCCAAACTTGACACCCCCTAAGATCTGATCTATGGCAGCAGGACTGGTGGTGGATCCATGAAATAATCATGATAATAATAATGAATAAATGAATTACCATCTATTACATTCTTAATATATGCCAGGGCCCTGAGCTAAGTGTTTTATAATGCAGTATTCCATGTAATCCTTTTAACAGTCTTGTGAAAGATCATTTAATCATTTTATAAGACCTGATTTATAAATGAGGAAACTGAGGCCCAACAGCTTGCCTAAGGTCAGTCAGATACCAAGCTTGTTAAGCCGGGATTCAAATTCCGAAGTGCATGCTTTCTCTCCTATGGAGAGGACTGGGGAGCAGGGAGGTCAAATTCCTTGACCCATCATTTCTCCTGCTTGTCAAAAGGGCTCAGAGTGCCCAGCCTGTATCCATCGTGGCCCTCACCCCCTCCTCTAGGCCCTGTCTCTAGCCTGAGATGGCCAGAAGCCTGGGTCCTTCACCTCAGTGGGAAGTGCTTCACCTCAGTGGATACCCAAGACCCACCATTCGCACTTGTCTGTGGTTTGTGTGTTTCTTTGTTTTGTAGTTTCATTATGAAACTAATGAAAAGTGACATCAGAGGAAGTAGTCGCTTTAATATCTTATTTGTTTCTCCATGGTGTGCAGAAAAAAAGAAAAGTTAACCTCGGAAAGTATTTTCCTTTTTTCTTAGAATGTATTTATTGTTAAATGTCAGATTCAGGAGGTACATGTGCAGGTTTGTTACATGGGTATATTGCATGGTGCTCAGGTTTAAGCTTCTAATGATCCCATCACCCAAATAGTGAACACAGTACCCAAAAGGTAGTTTTTCAACCCTTACTCCCCTCCACCTCTCCCCTGTTTTGGAATCCTCAATGTTTATTTTTCCCTTCTTTGTATTCATGTGTACACAATGTTTAGCTCCCAGTTACAAGAGAGAACATGTGGTATCTGGTTTTCTGTTTCTATGTTAATTCACTTCGGAGAGTGACCTCCAGCTGCATCCATGTTGCTGCAAAGGATCTAATTTCCTTCTTTTTAATAGCTGTGTAGTATTCCATGGTGTAGATGTACCACATTTTCTTTATCCAATCCATTGTTAACGGGCAACTGGGTTGATTCCACATCTTTCCTATTGTGAATGTGCTGCCATGAATATACAAGCGCAGGTGTCTTTTTGGCAGAACGATTCCTATTTATTTGGGTATATACCCAGTAATTTCTATTCCTTTGGTTATAGACCCAGTTCGCTTGCTAGGTGAAATGGTAATTCTATTTTTAGTTCTTTGAGAGATCTCCAAACTGCTTTCCACAGGGGCTGAGCTAATTTGCATCCCCACCAACAGTGTATACTCGTTCCCTTTTCAGAAAGTATTTTCAAGTTTGTCAGACTGGGGACACTGTGTTCTTTTCTACAATTGGCCCCCGAAGTGAAAAGCCCCTAGTAGAAGTTTCTCTGGGCAGTTCAGTCTCAGGAAGTCCCTCTCCCATGGCTCCATGCCCCTTCCCCTGGGCATGGTGTCCCTTTGCTTTTCTTGTCTTTCCCAGACTCTTCGTCTGCCAGCCCTACCCTGAGCTCCGAAGTCACAGTCAGTTGGGGCTGGTGAAGGTGGGGAGGAGCCTCCAGCACTGGCCATCCTCCTGGCAGGGGCGCTTTCCCACAGCACCCTTCTATTCTGTATGGCTTGGCTTTTGCAGTGACACGTTGAAGACCATCATTGCTGTTTATTGAACACTTGGTGCTCTTCTGAGTGTCTCACTGCACAGATTCATTTAATCCTCACAAGAATCTGGTAGCATGTTCATGGTTCGCATTTTACTGACAAGAAAATGGAGGCATAGCAAGATGGAGTCACTCATCCAGGCCCACAGCCTGCAAGTGTTGGAGACAGGATGTGAGCTTCAGCAGTCTTGAGTGCCCAAGAGTACTCTTCCTTTCTGGTACTGAATGCCGGGGACATTTAGTAGTGATTTTTTTTTTTTTTTTTTTTTTTTGGCAGGCTGGCCTAGGAAACTTTCTGCTGTGAATAACACAGCTCTACATGCCAAGTTCCAAGCAGCTGACGTATTAATGAGCATAGCTGTGGCCTGCCTGCTCTTTTGTGTCCCCCTCAGAACTTGAACAAAAGACATGCTCCATGGGTGTTGGGTGGGTGGTTGATTGATTGAATTTTTTACCCACAGGAAGCTCCACTGGCTTCCACAGCTTCTGAGGTTGGAGAAAGGAAGGAGGGAGGGAGGCGTGGTGGTCTATGTGAACAGGTTCCTCTCCATCGGCAGCTTAGTCCTGGGGTGCATGCTGTGCCTCCTTCTTGGGTAGATTTTTGGGGCAGACGCTATGGATTCCTGTGAAGTTGGTGAAGCAGATCCACACTGAACTCCCTTTCAACCTGGTGGACCCCTCATTCTTTTCTTTCAGCCTGAGGACCTGGCAGCCTCTGAAAGCACGTCTGCAGAACATGCTGAATAGGCCAGTGCCCACGGGAAGATAGTCCTTAGGGCTAGCTAGCTGCTGTACTCACTTTCCTAGGATGGCTGTGGGTTGGAGTTCATGGGTCTCCCAGGCTTCTTAGAGACAGAAAGAGCAAACCAGAGAAAGCTTGACTCCAGTGCCCAACCTAGGAGGAGGTCAGGCAGTATAGAGAGACACACAGGTTAGCTGACAGACATTTCAGATCTACCTCAGGCTCAAGATGCCACACCTGCTGTTACTTGTCCAGGGAGTCAGCCCTCGAGATGCCCCCTGTGGGGAGACCTCAGAGGGTGGGGAGACCAGAGGGAAGAACGGGAGGAGGGGGAAGAAGATGTCATGTACTGAACTGAGAACACTCAGGGAAATAAAGGATCTATTTTTTTCAATTTGTTCTCAGCAAACATTTGTCATTTAATTTCTTCCTAATTACACAATTACGTAATTATGTAGTATTAGTAAAATAAAGCCTAAAGACGTTTGAGTAAAGAATTACTTAAGTAAATAATGTCTGACTGAAGTAATTATTTCCAGGGTTTTCTTTTTTAAAGGAGAATGGGATAGAATTAGTTCAGGCATTGTTGCAGGGCTGCATGGGGGTTTGGGGTGCCGCACAGCTGGGGGCAGCTACGAGGCTCCGTTGCCCACTGGGGTCCAGCTTCTTGGCAGCTTCCTTTCTCTGTGGCTGAGGCTCTGATGGCAAGTTCCAACCCTGCTATTGGCTAGGTGGCTTGGGAACTGACTTCTCCTTTGAGTCTCACTTGGCCCTTCAGAGAGGGAATTCCTGGCTCCAGTGGGTGGGGAGGACTGGGGTGGTCGAAGGAGACTTTGGGCAGAAGTAAGTCCTCAGTGACTAAGGGCTGTGCCTCAGCCACACCAAGTTTACCAAGAGGCAGCTATGGGTGAGCCCACCACATGCAGTGATAAAGAGTTCACCCACCAGCTGTACCAGCAAGTGCCTCGGTGGTAATGTGGTGGCAGTGATGCGTTGGATGGGAGGGTAGACCTCGGGCTGCAACACTAGCTGGAGACCTTATGTGGGCAGATCCCCGGGGTCAGGCTGTGGTCGACCCTGGGTGTTTCCATCCTGGCCTGGGGTTGTAGAGGTGCAGGTTTCTCCAGGGTTGGCACTCAGTTCCCCTAATACCTGAGTGCATGGGGGTGGCAGCCTGAGCCCAACCGAGTTCTCTAGCAGACTTGGATCTGGCAGTGTGCTAGAGGGCTGGCCAGGCCTGAGGTTAAGGGGACACTTGGCTGGGGCTGGTGTGGATGCTGCCATATGGCCTCCTCAGTGCCCTGCCCAGCCTGCACTTCCTAAGCCCAGAGGTGCGCTCTCAGGCATAACAGCCCTCTTTCCCTGCAAGGCAGAGCTTAATGACGAGCTGACCCAGCAGCTTCTTATAGAAGGGGATTCCTGGGAAGCCAGGCTGACCTCTGCCTGCTAAATCATTCCCCATTCCCCTCTTCCACAGGGCTTGATAATCTTTCATAAGAGATTCATTTGTTCCTTTGATGTGGAAGGGTTTGCACTCTCTGAGACTCTCCTATTACAATGCAAGTAGCCCTGGAGACGGTAAACCCTTAAGACTGATCAGCTCTTTCCTTAGGACAGTAGAACCAATCTATTCTTGCCCTGGGGCTGCTCTTGCATTTCTTGAGGACTCGTGTTCCCTGCTTAGTCTCTGGGAATCCAAGGGTTCAAGGCCTGGGCCCTCAGTAGTCATAGTGATGGTGGGCATTGAGCAGCATTGCTCATCATGCTCCTCTGCCAGCTCTAAGTCTCTGAGAGCTTGGAGGAGAAAGAGGTGCTGGAGATCAACAGGAAAATGAAACAGGCAGGTTGTTCGGCCTGCTCACTGAGGCTGTGGCTTTGGGCCCTTACTGGTGGCTCACTGAGCCCAGCATCCCTTGGGAACACCAAGGAGGCTCCTGAAAGTCCCCAGAGCCACAGGAGAGCATTGAAAAGGAAGGCTGATTTGGTCAAAGATCAACTTTTCCTGGGTTATATATTCTTCACTGAGTAGCAGGAGTTTGGCAACATTCCATAAAGTTGAAGATACATTTTTCTGCAAACCAGCAACTCCACTCTTAGACATTGCTCTTAGGCATAGAAGAGCTCTCATATAAATGCATAAGAGACACACACCAAAGGCATCATGGCTGTGTTGTTTGTGATAACCGAAAAAAAAAAAGAGAGAGACATACAAAAAGATAAAAGGAAGCAACCTAAATTTTCATTATCAGGAGAGTGGATAAAAAATAAATAAGTTGGGGCATATTCATTTAATGAAATTCTTATTTTTATTTATCTTTATTTTTTTTTTTTGAGACAGAGTCTCGCTCTGTCACCCAAGCTGGAGTGCAGTGGCACAATCTCAGCTCACTGCAACCTTTGCCTCCCAGGTTCAAGCAATTCTCTTGCCTCAGCTACCAAGTAGCTGGGACTACAGGCATGAGCCACCAAGCCTGGCTAATTTTTGTATTTTTAGTAGAGACAGGGTTTCACCATGTTGACGAGGCTGGTCTTGAGCTCCTCACCTGAAGTGATCTGCCTGCCTCGGCCTCCCAAAGTGCCAGGATTACAGGCGTGAGCCACTGTGCCCAGCCTCATTCAATGAAAGTATTTATAGTAATAAAAATGAATGCAGTTGAGCTATGCATATCAACATGGATGAATCCTACAAACACACTGTGGAGCTAAAAAAGCAAGTGGCAGAAGAATATATACGCCATGATACCACTTATAAAAGTTGTAAATGATGCAAAACCATATTATATACCATTTATGAATAATACACAGCAATATAAACACCAAATTCAAGGTGGTCAAATTCAAGAGAGTGGGAATAGTGGGTAGGGGATATGGTTTGGAGAAAGGGGATGTAGTGCATGGGCATTTAACTTTATTGGTGATGTTTTATTTATGCTAGGAGGTAGACACAGAGTATCATATTATTCTTTAAAATTTTTGAATATTTGAAAATGTTTCATAAGAAACAAAAATATAAAGTTCCAAAGAATGACAACTGAGGACCTTGCCCACTTTCCCCAGAAATGTCAGAATGTGTTGTGTGTGTGTGTGTGTCTGTGTGTGTGTGTGTGTGTCTGTGTGTGTGTGTGTATCTGAGATGGCAGAGGTGGGAAATGACAGTTGGGGTAAGGGGCCATGGAGAAAATCTCATATAGACAGGCCACACTTGGCTCCTAGGAAGTTTTCTAGGTTGCATACTTATTCAGTAAAGTTTCCTCTCTTCACATAATGTTTGCCTACGTATGAAGCTAAATATTCATTGAGTAAATTAGCCAGTTCAAATCTGTGGTACAAAAAGACAATTCCTTCTAATTACAGGGATGCCAGTTAAAAGATGCCACACTGTGGGATCCTGTAGTCCCAGCTACTCGGGAGGCTGAGGCAGGAGAATTGCTTGAACCTGGAAGTCAGAGGTTACAGTGAGCCAAGATGGCACCATTGCACTCCAGCCTGGGTGACAGAGCAAGACTCCAACTCACAAAAAAAAAAAAAAAAAAAGAAAAGAAAAAAAAAGCCACACTAGGCTGCCATTCACTGCCAAGAGAGCCTTAATAAAATTCTAGCTATGATTCAGATTCAAAAAGGTAAAAAAAAAAAGAAAAAAGACACTGTTATTTTTGATAATTAAATATTTACCAGAGCTGAGAAAATAAGTCATACTTATGTTTCAAGTATACCAAAAGCTCTTTTTAAAAAGTCCCAATAAAGAAATTGTTGCTCTCACAGCTTTGCTGCCAGGGATTTTCTGGGCTAACATCAGTATCATGGCCAACTTTCCTGGAGCATCTGCAGCCTGGCAGTGACCAGTTCTGACTTCACATGCAGGCAGTGCTTAGGCATCCATTCCTTCTAGAGACATTATTTAGTTTATAGCTACTTTCCTGCCTGGTACTTTAAAATAGTTCCACTGTATGTGATATGGTTTGGTTGTGTCCCCAACCAAATCTCATCTTGAATTCCCATGTGTTGTGGGAGGGACCCGGTGGAAGGTAACTGAATCATGGGGGCAAGTATTTCCCATGCTGTTGTCGTGATAGTGAATAAGTCTCATGAGATCTGATGGTTTTAAAAAGAGGAGTTCCCCTGCACAAGCTCTCTCTCTCTTTGCCTCCTGCCATCCATGTAAGACATGACTTGCTCTTCCTTGCCTTTTGCCATGATTGTGAAGCTTCCCCAGCCACGTGGAACTGTAAGTCCAATTAAAACTTTTTCTTTTGTAGATTACCCAGTCTTGGGTATGTCTTTATCAGCAGTGTGAAAACGAACTAATACAGTATGTTTTCTCCTCTGTCCAATTCAATTCTAAGTATCATGATAACAGAGCTGTCTTTTATAGGGAGTGGAGATGGATGGGAGAAGAGATAGATCATCTTTAATCCAGTCCTCTCTGTCAAAGGAAAGCTCAATGACTGCTGAATTAATATGTTAGTTGGAGTGGTATAAATTGCACCCTGACTTGAGATCCAGCTCTGATACTCCCCAACGAAGACTTTGAATGAATTACTTACACTCTCTCGGTCTCAGTTTTGCTTCTGCAAAATAGGGATGATCCATAACTACCCTATAGGCTTCTTGTGAAGATCCAAGGGGGTCATAACTGCAAAAATTGATTTTATATTGTAATTTGCTAAACAATTGAAAACCGTTATACAAATATGAAATGTCATTATTGATTACAATGACATGTGCAGGAATGGTAAAATTAATGTAATTTGCCCCTACTCCTTCTTACAGTAGACATATAGGCATTGTCTACTCATCTCTTTGCATCTAGGATCTGTTACGCCTCCCTCTGCATGCAGTGGTCAGCATTGGAAACATCCTGTGTCCCCTCTCTTCCTGGCCTTTCATGGGACATGCTTCCAGGACTACAGCTGTTTGGTCCAGGGATAGTACTGCATCTGAGCTAGGCCAGTCTAAGAACTTTTCTGGAATTTTAAAAACAAAAATTGAGGAAGTCAGTCAGATTCCTCTTTGGTTAAAAATGCTATAGAATAAGAAATTATGAAATATCCTAACTGTAGTCCATGACTTGAATTTTACTATATTCAGTAGTACTGTACTATTCTCTGCCCCACTCAATCACACCACAAGAAAACAAAACTAAACAGAAAGCAGTGAGTTGAACACAATAGACATGGATGTTGCTCTTATGTAAACGTCTAGAGATACAACTTGCAGGGCCAGGCAGAGAGCTCCATGGGTCAGGATCCTAACTTTCTCCCTCTCCATCCTCAGTGCAAATTTCCAGCTCCAGTCCACTCATGTTTTAATAAAGATGCAAGAACTTCAATGATCTATTTGCATTCCAAGCTGTTGAAGGCACAAAAGGAAGTAAATGTGCATGTCCCTCCTTCTGAGAAGGCCTAACCCTCTGCTTACATCTCATTGGTTAGAACCTAATCACATGGTCATGCCTAGCTGCAAAGAAAGCTGGGAAATGTAGCTTTATAGCTGGAAACCATTGCTCACTCCCCTGAGTAAAACGGATCTTGTCACTAAGGAGAAAAGGACGATGCATGTTGGATTAGGCTACTAGTAATCTCTGCTATGTGAAGTAGGTCTGCTACATGGAAGAAGCTGGTCTGTTGCAGCATTTTTACATTTCCCACTTCGGTTATTCAATTTTAGTTCTGATTATAGGAAATATTCAGGATCCTCTTAATAAATTCCTTCTTGGCCAGGTGCGGTGGCTCACACTTGTAATCCTAGCACTTTGGGAGGCTGAGGTGGGAGGACTGCTGAGTCCAAGAGTTCAAAACCAACAGAAGCAACATAGCAAGACCTTGTTTCCAGTACAGAAAAAAATAAAATAAATAAATACATGAATAAATTAATTCCTTCTTTTTTTCCTTTCATTAAAAAAGCATAAGCCGGGTGTGGTAATGCATGCCTGTAATCCCAGCTACCCAGCTACTCAGGAGGTTGGGGCAGGTGGATCGCTTGAACCTGGGAGGTGAAGGCTGCAGGGCACTCCAGCCTGGGTGACAGAGTGAGACCCTGTCTCAAAAAATAAAAGAGTATAAGTTACTTACCACGAAAAGTTGTCCTGATATTACTTTCCTCTAAGACCCTTTAACAGCTCCCTGCAACACTTGCCTTGGGAAATGGAGGTATTTACTGGCCTCCAGCAATCTTTTCCAGAGTCCTTAATCCACTCACAGAGTCACATTAGAAACAGATAGGAAAGAACCCTAACAGGCCAACCAGTAACTTTAATGACAGCATGGGCTCCTGTGTGAGTTCATTTGCCACCATGCTGCAACGCTTTACTCTCTTGCCCTTTAAGATACTCTGCTGCATCTCTAGGTCCTAAATCCAAGCCTCCCTAGCTTTGTCTTTGGCTCTGGGTCCAGAACATTGCAGAGAACTTGGAATTGGTTTCTGCTTTGTTGTTTCTTCCAGTGTTGTCTGAAAGCATTGTCCTTTCCTTTACTAAGAAGTGCTGGGAGAGGACTTGTGCTCCAGTGACTCAAGCTGTAAAGCTACTTCCTTTCCTCCTGCCTGGCAGGACATTAGGGGATATTTCTAAGTCATGAGATGGTCTGCCTGGGTAGTGCCAGGGATCAGCTCACCCTCTAAATTTGGTAAAGAGCTAGGTGGAAATAAGGGTAGAGGCTTTCTTTTGGAGCTTCTCTGGAGAGTTTCCTATACCACAGTCCTGGTGATTTGTAGCTTGAGAACTCAGTCAACCCTGAGAGAACCTGGAGGTGAGTTTTTGGGAGGAGGGCCAGGCATACTGAGTATTATTTTTTTTTTGGCAAATCCAGTGTCTTAATCTATTCAGGTTGCTGTAACAAAAACATAGACTGGGTAGCTTTTAAACAACAGAAATTTGTTTTTTTTATAGTTCTGGAAGCTGGAACATCCAAGATCAAGGTGCTGGCAGATTCAGTGTCTGAGGAGGGCTGCTTCTGGGTTCACAGACAGCTGCCTTCTCTCTGTCCTCATAGAGTGGACAGGGAGAGTGAGCTCTCCAGGGCCTCTGTTAGAAGGGCACTAATCCCACTCATCAGGGCACTGACCTCATGACTTAATCACCCCCCAAAGCCCCCATCTCCTAATACCATCACATTGGGGGTTAGAATTTCAGCATATAAATTTTTGGGGCACACAAACGTTCAGTTTGAAGTACCCAGTAGCTGCATAGAAATAGAGCCCACCCCCAACCCCATCCCAGAGAGGCTGGAGGTGGAGCTCAGAGCTGATCATGGGAGATTTGCAAGGGCAGGTCATTGTGGTTAGTCGACGGACATTTGAGAACACATTTCATGCTGAGTCTGTGGGTAAAAAAATACTTCCCTATGAGCTGATTTTAGTGCTGCAATGGACCTCATCTCTGTGAGTCAAAAGGTCATCCTCCACAGCCATCATGTGACTGCAAATCAGAGAAAAGTGGAAACAACGGGCCTCCAGAAGTAATTTTATACACCTCCTGCCTCTATTGCATTAAATCCAATAGACTGATAGCTAATGATTATTGAGCACTCATTATCTGCAAATACCATGCTAAGAGAATTATCTTATGCATTCCTCCCAACAACCTTCTGAGCTTGTTTTCAGTTTAGCAGGCAGGAAAACTGAGGCCCAGAATCACTCATCAGGTTGACAGAGGTGGATGCCAGTTCAGCCTTAGCTGGATTCCCAAGCCAAGCCTCCTGCCCACCATGGACTGCAGCCTTCTGCAATGTGCTTAAGAGTGCCTTAAGCACCTGAGCACAGGGTGCCTCAAACTGTTGGTTTCTAGATGCCCCTGGCAGGACCATCTCAATCTGGACATTGCCATGAGCAGCTCTAGGGAGCTGTTTCCTGCCTCCCTTGCTAATAAGTCCCAGTGTCCCATCACCCAAGCCAATAGAGTGATCCACTAGCACTACAATGCAGGCTCATTTACATTTTACATAGTCTAGTGGGCATATTAAAAAATTAAAAGAAACAGGTATCCCTGTAACACAGGCTGTCTACATAAATAATCACATTACAATGGTACTTCAGTGCATAGAAAAAAATCATTCAAACAGAATCAATTCATTGATACTGATATTGCCAGTGATGTGTTTTTAATACTAGAAATGACACATGTTCCCCAACACATGTACTATAGCATAGCAATAACATTTTATGGGATGTGATGGTTAAAGTGAAATGTGGTTCTATCAAAACAATAAAGCTGTGTTGAATACAAAAATAGTTTACACCGCTTTCAATTTTTTTTTTTTTTTTTTTTGAGACAGTCTCGCTCTGTCACCCAGGCTGGTGTGCAGTGGCACGATCTCAGCTCACTGCAAGCTCCGCCTCCTGGGTTCACGCCATTCTTCTGCCTCAGCCTCCCGAGTAGCTGGGACTACAGGCACCCGCCACCACGCCCAGCTAATTTTTTTTGTATTTTTTAGTAGAGACGGGGTTTCACCGTGTTAGCCAGGATGGTATCTATCTCCTGACCTTGTGATCCTCCCGCCTCCACCTCCCAAAGTGCTGGGATTACAGGCGTGAGCCACCGTGCCCGGCCACTGCTTTCAATTTTTAATTTAAATTAAATAAAATTAAAATTTCACTTTCTCAGTAGTGCTAGGCACATTTCAAGTGCTCAGTAGCCGCCTGTGGCTTGTGGCTACTATGTCAGACGGTGCAGGTTGAGCATCTACCCAAAATTCATCATGATGGAAATGCACTTTCTGTGTCCTGAACAAAGAGAAGAGAAGTCAGACTGGAGGAGAGGGTCTGTGCAGAGGCGAGGTGGAGAAAGAGGCTGGGATGGTGTGAGGGGCTCATAGGAGAGGGAAAGCACTGTTGATTTTCGAAACGGAAAACCGTATGACGAGAATGGCGCTTTGAGAAGATTCGTCTGGATGCATCGAGCAAAGTGGGTGGTAGGGACACAGATTAGAAGCAGGAAGACCAAATGCATGGGGATGGGAGATGATGAGGCCCTGAACAACAGTGAGGGTGGCCAGAAAATGAAAAAAAAAGAAGTACCTGAGAAAGATGATGAAGAGTTACTATGACGAGTCAGTGAATGAATAAGGGGAACAAGAAATGGGGAAGAGGTGAAGATGACCCTGAGGTTTTAAGCCTCAGACAACGGAAAATGGTAACACCACTGATAGAAACAGGGAAGTCACGGGCAGACATGCTGGGGCTGGGCGGGGTGGGGTGGGGGCGGGGGAGGAGATGTAGGATCAGTTTTGTTTTGAACAGGCTGATTTTGTGGTAATCTCTTCCACGGTTTCGCCTCATTTTTTTTTTTTCTCTCCTTCCTGACTTTTCGTCCTCTCTCTTTCTCGCCCCCTCCTCCCCTCTTTCCTCTTTTCATTTTCCCCTTTCTTTCCTGCCCCCTTCTTCTCTTGATTGATCACTTACTTATCATGCACTAGAGACAAATAAGTTTAATGGGCATTTCCCAGGCCTGAGGAAGAACCATTGAGAGGGGTCGGGTGCACGTCTTTGTCAAAGACAACAAAATAAATAAAACGTCCCTTTTTGCTGTTCCTGGCGTAACTGTTGGAATCTGGCCTGGTATGGGGAGTGGAGGTGGCAGATGAAAGGAGAACAAAAACAGTTCATGAGTATTGACTGCATGTGTCAGGCACGGTTCTAAACATTTGTGACCAGCATCTTACTCAAGGGCATTAATTCCCATTTAGCAGGTGAGGAAAGTAAGGCAGGGGCGTGATGAAGTGCCTCACCTAAGGGAACACAGCTGCTAGGTAGTGGGGCGGGATTTTACTTGCCCAGCGTTTCTGAGTATCCGCCCTGAGCTAGGTAAAAGTGGCGGTCACCTTCCCTTCTTGAGGGGTACCTCACTTCTCCAGATCTTTCTGAAAGGCAGGCTCTTCGAAGCCCCTGGGAGGGTTTTCCTTCCACAGGTGGGCTTAGTGACCCAGCAGGGCCTGGAGCTTATGTGGGAAGCAAAAGACCTCTTTCCTCCTCCCAGTAGAAGGGAAGGCAAAATAGGAAACACACTCCTCGAGTATCTTTCCTCATTGTTAATCAGGTGACTGCTCCCAGGGATCTGTTTGCTGTAAATGCTGTGTGTTGATGGTGTTGTTCTAATATAGTCACCCACGTGCAAGTACATCCCAGTAAAAAAAAAAAAAAAAAAAAAAAAAAGGCCCTTAAGTGAAATAGGAGATGGGGGGAGGCGATGGAGGGAAGAGGAGATGGGAAATATTGTACTGCTCCTGTACAACAGCTCAAGGGATTTACTCTAGGCTGTCAGCGCCAAGTGAATATTGCTTATTCATGTGCAATCTAATCTTCCCCTCTGCCCAGAGGCTGAGGGCAGCAGGGGTGACCTGGTTGCAGAGGGACAAGGAGAAGATGGGGTCGGAGGGGGGTGGGCTTTCCTATGAGTGCGTGCTCAGGAGGGCTAGTGTTGGAAGAAATTGTTACTTGAATGGCTAGGATGGGTGCAGGGGGCAATGGTGGGGAGGGGGTACATAGGGGATGAAGATGGACTGGTGATCAGACACAGGACCCCTTGGTGGGCTGAGGAAGTGGCGAGGGTTGTGTGGCTCAAACATCTGGGGGATGGGAATTCCAGGAACCCCTCCAGCGTGCTCCCTTGGGAGGATGGTTGAGCCGCAGATTGATGCACACGCCCAGGCAGAGAATGTCTTAATAACCCACTCGGTGGGTGATGGATTATCAGAGGAGGAGCGGCGGAGCTCCGGCTTGGCCACCCCGAAGCTCCGACTCGATAACGTGATAATTCACTCAGGGGCACGGGGAAGAAGATTTCCCAACTGCGGCTAACCAATGTTGAAGACCTGAAAACAGCCACTTGGGACTGCTTTTATGTTCAGCTGTCGGCTTAGAAGCAAATGTCTAAGAGAACCTGGACACAGATCAAACGAATGTGCCGGGAACCGTATGCACTGCACACATCTGCTATTACGTCCCGCTGAGGGCCTGCGTGCCCAGCCTGCTCTCCTCCAGTCATACAGGAGGGGGGAATCGGGAAAGAGGAAGATCCCTCGGAAACACCTGATAGGGCCCATGCTGCAGCTGGCCTGGGTTTGTGGAGCAACTCTTGCACAGAAACATCATGGAGTGGTGGACCGTCACCTCTGTAGGGCACAGTGATTGAGTGGGAAAGAAGACCAAATGGCCCTTTCTTTGACCTAGTGGAGGCCAAAGGGCTGGTGGCCAGAGGCCTGCTCTTCCCACAAGGGACTGGTCGTGGAGAGCCTGGGCTGGAGGAGAGCCCTGTCTTCCATGGGGGAGGGAAGGGCTCCCTAGAGCCATCAGGTGAATGGAAAGAAGACATCTTCCCTGGCAATCTGTCTGTTTTTCTTTTTCTCCACCTTCTACCAAAGGAATAACCTGCAGTATTTTTGTTTAAATCAAAAGCTGAGTTGGCTTGGGGGCTGGAAGCCTGTTGTTATTCTAACCATGGAAAGAGGTACGCTGCCACCTTCTTCAGAACAGAAGGTGTAATAAGAATAATAGAAACACCAGCAGAGATCATTATTGAATGTCTGCCATGTGCCATCACAGCCACACTTGATCCTCAACAGCCTTGGGCACCGGCATACTCCTCCCCCAACCTTAGAAACACTCATAAATACATTCCCCAGGATCAAAGAGTCTGGGAACTGCTACTGAAAATAAGCCCAGGTAGTTTCTGAGCAGGTGTGTGCTACTTTGGATTGGCTCTAGATGAATTATTAATTTACTAATACCTTTATTGGCTGGCTTATAGCAGGTGGGGATGAGAAACAGTAAAGCAACTGTACAGGTGAGAGGACATGCGTGACCATGAGGTTCAATACTGCAGCAAAGCCACGGAGGTCATCCACAGTAAGCTGTCCTCATGGAGATATTGCAGGCTGGCAAAAATACACAAGGAAGGTAAATAATATTAGACTCATTTTACCTAGGAAGAAACTGAAATTGAGAGAGGTGGAACAATTTTCCCAGAGTTACACAGCAAGTAAGTTCCAGAAGCAGGATTTGAACCCATGTCTGTTTGGTACCAAAACTACACATCCCAGCTCAGAGAAAGGCATTTGCAACACCATCCTGAATACAAGGGAGACATTCAGTCCATCAGAATCCACACTTTCTGATAAAGATTGCACTGGGGATGAATCACAATAGGGAATTGTTCTATTGCTTCTAATATAAAGTGTCTTTATAGTACTGGAAGGTCATTTCCTAAACCAATTGCTCTATTTTTTTTTTTTTGACTAAGAGTCACAGTTACAGTCTCTAAGAGACACAGGGGCTCTTGGAGGTGATGTAGTTCAAGCCCTTCTTTTTACAGAAGGAAAAGAGGGCCAGAAAGAGGGACCAGGATGCTCAAGATTACATGGTGAGTGTACACAGCTAATGCATGGTTGAGTCCAGAGTTCAGAAATTTGGACTCTTAGGCCCAAGCTCTTTCCACTGATCCCTGAACTTTCTTGCATCTTTGCGTTCTTCCTGTCATGAATGGCATGTGGAAATCCACCCTAACCTCTCTTAGTATAAAGAAGAAACTTTCATGACACAGTTTGCTACTCTCTCACTACTTATTCCCCTCTTGCCACTCAACTAATTAGACAGATGGCTTGGTACCAGTACAATCTACCTTGAGTCAAGGAAGGGGGCACACATTTTAAACATTCTTGGGCTATAAAAATATTAGCATTAGTTTTTAAAAAGACATCTTCAAGACGTACATAAAACTATTCATGTTGAGTAGCCCTTGTCTGAAATGCTTGGGATCAGAAGTGTTTTGGATTTCATTTTTTTTTATTTGGTGATGTTTGATTAAACATACTCATTCAGCATCTCTAATCCAAAAATCTGAAATCTCAAATGTGCCAATGAGCATTTCCTTTGAGCATCATGTTGGCACTTAAATAGTTTTGGATTTTGGATTTTCAGATTAGAGATACTCAACCTATAGTAATTAAGACAGTGCTATGTAGGTGAAATGCCCACAAACATGCCAATCAAATGTAGTACAGTCTAGAAACAAGCCCACACACATTCAGTAGCCTCATTTATGATAAAGATGACTCTGCAATGTTGTGAGGAAAGGATGACTTTTTCAATAATTTTTGGAACATAATAGAAGGATGTCTTCATGACCCAGGGTATATACAGCTTCTTTCAACAGGATGTAACAAGCCCAACCATAAGGGAAAATTTGATTAATTGAACTACATTAAAATTAACAACTTCAATTAATTAAAAAACATAATTAAGCAAAAAGAGAAGTTTACGGAGTATGAGAAGACACTTGTAAAGTATATCTATCAAAGGACTCATATCCACAATGTAAGAAAAAGGCAAATAATCCTATAGAAAAATGGGCCAGAAGACTTGAGCTGGCCTTTCTCAAAAGATCTCCAAGTGATCAATAAACATATGAAGAGGTGCTCAAGCTTTTTGGTGATCAGGAGTTTGTGAGTTAAAACCACAGTGAAAAATCACTGTTTTTTCTTTCTTTCTTTTTTTTTTTTAACAGCATGGCTAAAATAAGAAAAAGACAGACAATATCAAGTATTGATGAGGATGTGAACAACCAGAACTCTCAAATGCTAGGGAGGAGTGTAAATTGGAGCAAACATTCTGGAATACAGTTTGGTAGTATTGAAACAGTACTAATACGGAACCTACATATATCTTATTAGCCGGCAATTCTACTCTTAAGTTTAGAGCCAAAAGAAAAGCATACACACGTGTACCAAATGACACACAAAAGAATATTCAGAGCAGCATTTTAGTAAAAGCTAAATACTGGAAACAACCCAAATGTTCATGAACAATGAAGTAGATAAATAAATTGCGTCTATCCACGCACTGGGATAATATATAGAAGTAAGAATGAGTGAGCAATAACCAGGCTGCAATGCAGATTAATCTCACAAATATAATGGCAAGTGAAAAAAAAACATGTGACAGAGAACATACTGAATCCATTTATATAGAAGTCGTAAACAAGTACAGCTAGCTAATCCATAGTGTTGGAAGTCAGGATGGTGATCATCCTCAAAGGGATATGGTAAGTGGGAAGGGGTGGAAGGGGACCTATTGAGGGCTGGGTGCAAACTTTCTATTTCTTGGTCTGGTTTCTGGTACATGGATGTATACATCTGGTGAAATTCATTGACTTGTACACCTATGTTAAATTTCAAGAACACGTGTCTTCAATTTTTTTTTCTCTTGCAAAATGGAAGTGAGGAGAATTGAGAGTAACATCTGTTTATACCTACTTCAGGGCTGTCAACGTGCTAGATATTTATTATACAGATGGTAACTCATATAATCCTCTCAGTCATCCCATGGCATAGGTGTTAGGTCCTCTACTTTACAGAAGAGGAAACTGACACTCAGAAAGGGTAATTGTTCAAGTCCATGCCCTTAGCAAGTGCTGGAACCAGATCTAACCTAAGATCCTAATCCAGGTTTGTCTGGGTCCAGAGCTCATCCTTTTTCTTTCATATCCTGTTGTTTTCAAGGAAAGAGCACTAGCTTTAGAGTCAGAAAATCTCATTTTGAATCCTAGTGCTGCCATTCACACCATACGATCTTAGGCAAATCACGTAATTTGGTGTGTTCTTATTCTCATTTTTCCGGGGAATTTTTGTGCGGTGGGGAGTGGATGGTACCAGGAAAGGGATCTGGCAGTGTGCATAAAGCATGTAACAGAGCCTGCGCTCAGCAAGTGCGCAGTACTTTTTGGTTCATCCAAACCCTACTAGGCATGTGTGCCCTTCCTAGCAGGGGTGTGGAGTTCGAAGCAGAATTCACCATGCCCCTCTCCCTGGTGTTGCCATTCTAGTAAAATCAGATGAGCATGAACATCAAGGGCAACATTGGTGGGAAAAAGAGCACTGTTCAGCCTGAGGGTGTGTGTGAAAGTGGGCAAGAGGTCTTGCTTTGGAGTTGAGGGAGCTTAGGGGCCAATGCAATACAGATGAATTGCAAGTTTGTTGTTTTAACACCAGCTGGCACAGCTGAGTCCATTTTCTCCCCTTGGGTCATCTCCTGGATAGAAGAGGGTAGGAATGTGGAGAAAAGAATGTCCAAAGCCTGTTAGAATCAGTTTCTTAAAGACAGCAGGTTCTGCAACATTTTTTCATGACAGAACTGAGCTAAACTTTTTTTTTTTTTTAGTCCTCTAAGAATTGTCAGGAAAGTGGATGGAAGGTAAATAGCATCTGTATTTGTTCGGCCGGTTGTCACCTGTCCCTAAGTCTCCTTATGTCTGCTGAGGAATTGAGAACTCCTTGAGGGTGTGGGGAGGGCTGGGGCCCTCTAGATATACCCTTCAGGGCAGGACATACAGATGGCATTTTATGTGAACTTATGGCCATGGTCATGTTCTGTACGTGAGGCACATGGAAAAATAGGTGCTAGTTACTTGCCTGGCTAAGGTTGGAAGAGTTATTCTTTTGTGTCCATGGCTAAAAGACCTTCTTCTCTTTTAAAGGTGCAAAGATCGGCACCATGGGCTGCTAGGGGAAAGCAAGCATTTTAGGAGAGAATGGGGAGCAGTGAGCAGGAGCCAAGGCCCCCCTTTGCCAGCCCCCATCCCACCCCTCCTCTTCACTGAAGTCTTCATTTCTCTGTTCTAAATTGCACACATTGATCTGCTGTGTACGATGTTGCAAAGCAAGTTGGCAGGAGTACTGGAGTGTATCAGGTCTACTAGGGAATAAATATACTTGGGTTTTTAGTTTAAATGAGTGGAGAGTTGGGGAGTGGCTTGACAGCCATGGGGAGCCCAAGCGTTGGTTTCCCATCAAACAAACCCCTTTGTAGGTTGGAGCTGTCAGTCAATGCCAGCTCCTGGGTCCCTGCCCCTGGGGACAGGCATCCCCGCCCATGCTGCTGGCCTGCCACTTCGGAGAAGAGGCGAGGGTGGCTAGGTTGCGGGGAGGAGAGTCTTGAACACCAGTCTACCCTCTGCCCATTCAAGGCCTTGTCACTAAGGTAGGAGCCTTTCTAAGGGGAAGGAGAGAGGCCAGGTCCTCTGGGGACAGACCCTGGCCCGAGGCTCTGGGCTTTTCACAGCTGAGTGACCTGGATACAGCCTGTATCCGATGCTTCCTTTTCTGATATTAATATCTTGATTAATTCCAGACCAATTGTTCTTTTTTAAAAAAATTTCCTAGCCTTTGGAAACCACCTACTCTTCTCTGAGAATGACTTTGATTGAAGTTTGAAGTTTCAAGGTTCAGCTGTTTTCAAGTTAGTCGTTATTAGAAAATGTAGCAATTTCCCCCTAGTAAAGAAAGAAAAGGTCCTTCCTCCCTCCGGTCTTTCCCTCCTCCCCTCCCCCATCCCCGTCTCCCCGTCTCCTGGTGTGTCGTAACTTTAAAAAGGCCTGCAAGATATAGTTATTTATTCTTCTCCATCCTTCCCTCAACTCGATTTTGGGCTGAGGCCAAAACTTGGGGGAAACAAAGAAGCAGCCATCCGAACAGTCTCCTTCAAAGCTCAGTGTTTGCGCTCGATCATGCTGCCTTCCTGATGCTGTAGTCTGAGGGTCGGCGGGAGTAGGGGATGATGAGATGGGGGGGCACGGGGCATGCTCAGCACCCGCCAGTGCATGGGCCGTCCTCAGCCCGTGCCGGCACTGAGTGGTTATGAAAGACCCTCTTGTTCTGGGAGGCAGTCAGTCCGGAGGGAGCCTCCTCGGAAGGTAATTGCCTACTCCCAGGGTTGGCCTTGCTGAAATTTATAGCTCCGCTCAATAAAGCCATTGTGCGGCTCCTTAGGAAGCCATGGGGGTGGATTATTGCTTGGGAGCCAGGAGACATGGAACCCATGCAGGGCCGGGGTCCCCTGCTGGGGCACGTACAGGCTGAGAGGTTGGTGTCCCCACCCCTCCCTCATCCTCCAGGCTGTACCTCTATTCAGAAGGAGGCTGCCGGTACCTTAGTGCCCTCTGGAACGCTGAGCGGCTTGGCCCCGGATCTTGCTCCTGCTCCAGATGAGATGGGGAGGCCCTGGGAGGGAGGTCTTGCTTGGAAAGGATGGACGTAAGGGGCTGGTTCCCAAAAGAGAGCAGGAGCTCTTTCTGCCAGACCAGCTGTACTTCATTAATGAGTCAAGCCAGAGGTCTAACCAATCCGTTGCTACTGGGACTTTCGTTTTTCTCCCCTGGTTTATTTTATTGCTATTCTGAGAGGTAAACATACACATACACCTCAACAACTCCAAGGCATAAAAAAAAAAAAAAAAAAAAAAAAAAGATTGGTTTCAGAAAGCTGGGGAGGTCAGAGCAAATGCCCAAAGCCTAACCTGGAATTTCCCTGGGGGGGCGGATTAAAAGCAGTTGAGCCCCAAGCAGGGATCACCCTGGGTCACCTGACTGACCCCTCGCCTTCAGCCCCCCTCAACTCGGCTGCAGTCTTCTTAGGAGAGCGGACCTGAGTTCAGGAGGCTATGCCTGGAACAAGCAGCTGAGAGGCAGAGCAGGCCTGTGCTACGAGAGGCTGGATGATGGGCCCAGGACAGCCCAAGGATTGAATGCAGAGGCAATGGGAAGAGGGGCAGGTAGAGAGGACCTTGGTGACTCGCAGCAGCGGAAATTCAAGTTTAGGTGGAGGGTGGGATGAAGGACACAGTCCCAGCTCCATGCATTGGCCAGGCAGGGTTGTGAGGTCTCTGCTCAAAGGGGTCCTTGGGATGGGTGTGGGAAGAAGCCTGCAGGTGGGCCCAACCAGTTCAGAGACACTCTGGGAGGCCCAGGCCTGGCAGGAACTCAACCCTTCTTAGGTCTTGCCATTATCAGCACTTATTTGTCCCTTGCCTCAACGAGGCTCAAATTAATCACTCCTGCCTCAAAATTAAAAAGGAAAAACTATAAACAGTCCCACTGATTCATGAGTTCTTTTCAGAGCGGCTGGGCTGCAGCAGCTGCCCAAGGGGAAGTCGCAAGGCATCCCAGCTGGGAGTTCAGGCAGAAGTGGCCTGTGCGTGTAAACACCTTGTCCTGTGGCCGATTTTGGTATTGTAAGGGGTATATTTGTTAAATTCCAGTCGATATTCAAGGGGCCCTGTGTTTACTCCATTAGGAAACCAGATAGAGCTAATCAATGCTAGAAGGACTCTAGTTAACTCCTAAGGGAAGGCAAATACAAACAGTGGCATTCAAATCGATGTAAAATTCCCCCCGCTGCACTTGGGTAGGTGGCCGCCAACAGGCCAGTGCAGCAAGCCTGGGCTGACAGCTGGAGCCAGGCTCCTTCCTGGGGCTCAAGATTGGATAAAAGGCCTCCTGGAAGTCAGGGCTCTGCTGGATTCTGAGGCTGGCTCAGGTTGCATAGTACCTGTAGGCCTTGCGCAAATCAGCTGGCCTCCCTGACCCTCAGTCTCTTCATCAGAAGGGTAACCACTCATGTTGAAATGAAATGAAAAGTTCATAGAGGGCTTTCATTATCTTGCCTGATATTCACCGCCCTTTGAGATGGGCATCATCATCATTATTTCCATTTCACAGGAAAGGAAAATGAAGCTCAGAGACCTTAAACAATGGAACTGAAGCCACACAGCAGATAAACAGCTGCATCTAATTCCATGTCCTCTGACTCCAAGCCACACATGCTTTTCCCTAGGCCATACCATTCCTTGAAGGACTTTTGCATGGCATTAGTGCATATCATCTATCCAACACCCAGAGGTTGTTATTACTATTACTACCATTTCACCAATGAAAAAGTAAAGTCCGAAGTTCAGAGATGCAAGGGTCCAAGGTCCTGTAGATTATGCAAGTTCTGAGCGTCAGCACCCTGCTTGATCACACCATATCGCATCTGTCAAGGGAGGGATTTGGAAGAGCTGCTATCTGGTGTCTTTTCTAAGTCAAACATACTGCAATGCTTTAATTTTCTTTCCTAACCTCACCTTATAGGATTTCTTCCTTTTGTACCACTACAGTCACAAATCAAAGTCAAGTGGCTCTACATGAGAGAGCAGGGAAACATGGAGAGAATGAGCCCAGTTTGGTGCTGAGAGAGTGGCTCTCTCAGCTGCCCCGCACCTGCCCTCCCTGGCTCAGGAATATTCCTCTCTGGTCTTGGGGACAATTCTTCAGAGGCAGCCACTCCTACAACTGTTCTTCTTAGTTTATCTACAGAGATCATCCACAGAGCTCAGCTATCAGCTACCTGGGATCCTGGTTGGATACCAGATCCAGGGCTATATGACCTTTATAGCTCCCCAAGCCCAGGGTTGTGCATTTTACCAGTAGCCAAAGATGGCTCCGTAGGGTGAATTCACTGTCGAGTTAAACTCTGCTTGACTATTATTGTGGACATTACTGAGTTTGTGTCTCCTTTTGTGGGGTGCTGGTTAGTTCGGCCCAAGCCTCAGGGGAGATCTTCCAAGGATTTACTTGAGATTTCTCCCTCTCCTTTGAAAAGGGAATGGCCAGTATTGCCCTTCCTCCTCAAAATTACTTCTAAGTGTTCATTTTTGTACTCTGCATGGTGAGCCTGGAAGAATTAGCGAGGGCTCCCCGGTTATCACAGATAGTCGTTTCTTACTTTGATGGGTTGTTTTATATAAAGTTTGCAGATAGTGTCCACCCATAGTATCTCATGTAACACTCAAAATCAGCATGGGGTACATGGTTACTTCTGTTTTTGTCCTATATATAAAGAAACTGGGACCTAGAGAGTCCAAGGGATTTGTCTAAGGTCATGCATTGAAAGGGGGCAGAGCAAAATTAGAACTCAGACTCCCCAACTCCATCCAGACCTGTCTTCACATATGCAGAGATGTTCTTCAAGCTGTCCTGCTTTGAAATATTGTAAAGGTAGAATGCAGTTCTTCTGGGGACTGTGGTGTCCTGGTGGTCCACTTCCACCTTATAACAGAAGCAGCTATGGCTTAAGACGTGAGATTTTAGGGTCTCTCTATTCCTAGAACGTAGGACAATGCTGCTCACATAGTAGGCCCCCATAAATGTTTGATGTGTAAATGAGCGAATGAATAATTGAATGAGTAGACCTCAGCTTTCTCGATTCCTAGTCAGATTTGCCTCACACTACACCACTCTGCTTCCTGCACTTTCATTGATCTGAAAAATCTAAAATCAGTTTTCAGACCTTAAAAAAAAATAAAAAGCCAATGGACCTTTTGCTGAGTGGAAATGCAAGAAGCAGGTTTAGGAGGTGGGAAGAGGAAAGAGATTTTCTACGTGGAAGAAATTGAGGCAGGGACATGTTTGCACTGCAATTGAAGGACACCCAGCCCAAGGAGCTGTCCTTGATGGCGTCCCTGACTCCTGATCTCTGGGCAGGGGAGGCGAGAGCCAATCCCATCCCTTCTGCTGTTGGACACGTAGGACTTTGGCCTCCAGCCAGAACCCATGCTTCAGAACAGAGGAGGACCACTAAGCAGGAAATGTGGCCGCTTCATTCACAACCTCTTCTGAGTTTCATTTGTGACAAACCACTCTTCATAAACCTCAGAACTGCCCATCGTCACTGGGGTGAGGGACGCAATGCTGCTGAGAGGGAAAAACAATTAGAAATACAATTAGTGTTATAAAAGCTGGTCATAAATATTGGAGTTCTCTCTCTGGAGAGGAGGGACAAGATGACAGCTCACAATTCCTTGTATTGACAAAAGAGGAAACAGTCCATGAAACTGGTCATTTGCCTGGGTATTTTTATCTATCAGATCCCAGAGTAGGAACAAGGGAAGCATGAATGATTGGATTAGCTGCCCAGCCTTTATGTGCTTTTGCAGCATCAGCAATATGCAATTACTGCAACCCACACACAGACGTGGCATGCACACATACACAACACACACACACACACACCACACACCAGCGTAGGAGGAGACCGTCACATGCAGTTAGGCAGAGACGACTACGGGGTCGGACACTCCCATCCTACAACAGACAGGGATGAACTCACCAAGTTCAGATGTAGAGAAAAATGAGTATCCTTCCCTCCGAGTTGTTTCTCCTCATTCCTGGAGGAGAATGACAGAGCCAAAGGCATCCTATAATACCCCTTCTCTCTCTCAAGGGCCTGAACCCCTTGTGATGCCCTTTGAGTTGGTATAGTTTGTGCCTTGGCCTTTCCTTCCAAGAGTCCATTTGGTTGTTCCTTGGGTGGTCTTGGCTCTACTACATGCTCGATGTGGCAAGGCCTGTTCATTTGGCAGCCCCAAACTCTCCAGTGTTTAGCTTCTCTGTTTCCACTTTCTGCAACTCCAGGGCACCTTTAGGCCCCCTGGTGGGGCTGCTGGGGGTTGAGTAGGGCAGGGGGTGAGTATGAGGACTGCAAGTTCCCCGTAGTATTTAGGACAGAGGCCCCCCTCTGCAGGCATGTGCAACCACCTGGCACCTATGCCCACCAGCAGGAAGCAGAGCTCCCCTTGCTGGGGGCACTGTGCCAGCATGGCAGATGGGCATGTGTGTCAGCTGCCAAGGGATCTCCAATAGGATCCAAATAGGTCTGCATTTTTGGAGGGCAGGACATTCTCTCCTTTTGCTCCTCTTCTTACATACAGGACCAGCTGATGAAAAACCATCTATCTCATATTGCCTTGGTTCCTCTGTGCATCTGATTCCACTTGACCTCATTATTGGCCTCTCAACTTTTTCCTTAGTGGGGAGGATGAAAAGATAGATAGAATGCATATACCCTTCTTCCACTATTCGCATATACCTACATATGTTCTGAGGATGTGCACCTCTGTACAGAGAAGCATGGAATCCTGAAATCTGCCAGCTGAGGCATTTCTTTCTCTCTCCTGACAAATGATCATGCAGTTTCAGGTTGATTACTGGAAAGTGGTGGGAAGCCCACTGCCTCATGGGCAGTTCCTCCTTTGTTGGCTAATAGTTGTTGGACAATTTTATTCCATAATACAAAATTTGCATCCAGATTAATTCCAGCTTTGCCCTGGAGCAACTGAGAACAAATCTGCCTTCTCTTCCCATATGACAGCTCTTCAAATATTTTAAACCAATGTTCACATCCCTGAAGAGTCTTTTCTTCTCCAGGCTAAGTATTTCCTGTCCCATCAATTCCTACACACTTTGAGTGACAAAGAATCCAGATTACCTGTCAGGATTGTATAGTGGATTTTTGAAATAACAGGTGCTGAATTCAGATAGACCTGAGTTCTAATCACCCTCATGCACAGGGGTTGACTGAATGGAGACTTGCTGGTCATGGTCATAGCTGTCATCAATTACAATTCAATTACCTGGATTGCATTAAACAGCATTTACTGAACTATTGCTAAGTGGTAAGGAACCTATTCTTATTAAAAATGAGTATTATTTATGTTTTGGAAATTAAAAAGCAGGCACATAGAGGTAGCCTAGCTTCCTTTGGGTCATGCAGCTAGTCTATGACAAAGCAAGGAAAAGTGGCGGCTTTTGAACCTGTGGCTTTTGTTTCCAAGTCAAGCACGCTTCCATGACCAGCACAGTTGCTACACTGGAGACTGAGCGGGGAATTGGAAATGCATATGGTGTGCATATGTAACTATAGACTTGTACAGCAAAAAGTTGAAGGCTAGCCAACACCTGTCAACACAATTATTCCAAGAGTAGGGGAGAAAGTGGGCCAGGAGGGATGGAAGGGAACTTCACTCTTTAATCTCTATAGTCTTGAATTGTTTGAATGTTTTTAAGAACGCAATATATTCAACTAATTCTCATGTATTTAAAACACACATAAGAGGCTTATCACTCAGACTGTACCTTCAAGTTGGTTAAAATCCAGTGGGTGAGTGGGTGAGCCAGAGTTACTCAAGAACAAAGAGAAGTCCCCATTGTGAGAGACAGTATAGTCTGGTGGCCAAAATAATGGACTTTGGAGCTCCAGAGTCCGGATTCCAGTCACAGCTTTATCTCTTCCTAAGGCTATAATGTGTATAATGTAGACAAGTTAACTGATCTCTTTATTCCTCCATTTCTTCATTTATAAAATGTAGATAATAATTTTTAGTATGTATCATATAGGTTATTTCTGTCAAGAATAAAGAACTCCTTCCATTTTAAAAACTGAGGTATAATTTACATACATTACTATTAACTCTTTCTATTGTACAGTTTATGAGTTTTGACGAATGCATAAAGTAATGTAACCACTACCACAGCGAAGATATAGAAAAATTTCATCAATCTCCTAAATCCCCTTGGGTCCCTTTGCTTTCAGCTACTCTGCCACCCTCAGTCCCTGGAAACCATGAATCTGTTTTCTGTTTCTATAGCTTGCCTTTCCCAGAATATCTTATAAATGTAATATATATAGCCTTTTGAGTCTGGCTTTTTTCACTTCGCATAATAAATCTGAGATTTATCCATGTTGTTGTATATGTCAGTAGTTCATTTCTTTTTATTGCTCAGTAGGATTCCACTTATGATGTACTACAGTTTGTGTACTCATTCACTAGATGAAGGACATGGGGCTTGTTTCCAGTTTTTGGTGATTATGGATAAAGTTTCTGTAAGCATTCACATACAGGTTTCATGTGAACATAAGTTTATTTTACATGGTAAATACTGCAATTGCTATGTCACATGACAAGTATGTATTTAGCTTTATAAGAAACTGCCAGACTGTTTTCCAAAATGGCTGTATCATTTTGCATTCTCACCAGTAATGATAGACAGTTCCAGTTGTCCCATATTCTCCCAGGACTTGGTATTGTTATTTATTAATTAATTTATTTATTTTTAATTTTAGCCATATAAATAGATATGCAGTGTATCTCATTATAGTTTTAATTTGTATTTTTTTCTTAAAAAATTTTAAAAATAGAGACAGGGTCTCACCATGTTTCCCAGGCTGGTTTCAAACTCCTGGGCTCAAGTTTTCCTCCCGCCTCAGCCTCCCAAAGTATCAGAATGACAGACATGAGCCACCATGCCCAAACTTAATTTGTATTTCTTTAATAAATAAATAAATAATGTTGAACATCTTTTCATGTTATTGTTTGCTATTTGTGTATCTTTGGTGAAATATTCATTGCTTATTTTTTTTTAATGTGTTGGGTTTTTTCTTATTGTTGAGTTTGAAAGTTGTTGATGTATTCTAGATTTCAGTCCTTTTTCATATATGTGTTTTGGAAATATTTTCTCCAACATTGTGACTTATTTATTAATTCTTTCAAGAGTGTCTTTTAAAGAGAAGATTTTAGAGTTGATAAAATTCTCTATACCATGGATCATAGTTTTGGTGTCATATCTAAGAGATACTTACCTAATCTAAGGTCACAAAAGTTTTCTGTTATGTTTTCTTCCAAAAGTTTTATAGTTTTAGGTTTTATGTTCAGGACTATGTTTCATTTTGGGTTGCATTGTATATATGGTGTGAGGTAAGGGTAGAGACCTCTGATGCCACAGCTGCTGCTGGGCTTCCTGGATCCTCCCATCTTCCCCTTGGCCATGCTGTTCATATTTTTAAAGACGTTTTATGTAATGCCTATGTTAATATTTACATTCCTGCCTAACTAGCTGGCTTCTGCTGCCCTGGGCATTTCTTTGACTCGAGTAGGATGGAGTTGCAGTCTTTCCAGGTTACTCAGTAGCTATTTCCTACTCATAGCATCAAAGCATGCCAAGAGCTGAAAGTTGCTTTGTGTGCAGACCTTGAAGTATAGACTCAGCAAAGGCTCCAGATGTTAACATTTCTACCCAAGATACCTGCTATGATTTGGATATTTGTCTCTTCCATACATCATGTTGAAATTTGACCTCCATTGTTGGAGGTGGGAACTGGTGGTAGGTGTTTGGGTCATGGGGGCGGATCCCTCATGAATAGCGCCATGGTTGGAGGTGAATGAGTTCTCTCACCATGTGATCTCTTTGCGCATGCTGGCTTCTCTTCCACTTTCTGCAGTGAGTTGAAGTAACCCGATGTCCTTACCAGATGCAGATGCCAAGTCTTGAACTTAAGCCACCAGAATTGTGAGCCAATAAATCTCTTTTCTTTATAAACTGCCCAGGCTCAGATATTCTATTAGAAGAGCACAAAGTGGACTAAAACAGTACTCAAACAAGACTTAGATGCCTAAGCTTGGGCCAGAAGAAAATAGAATTATTAGAGTCTTTAACTTGAAAAGGTCCCTGGAAAATTTCTTTGTCCCTATTCCTTTGCCACTGTGGTCAGGATCTCACACAAATTGTCCCAGATAGAAGAGCCCCCAAAAGATTGGTTCCTTGGTTATTGACTCAAGTGTCAATCTGGATTTAGGTATTTTGGTATTGGTATTTAGGCATATGGTATTTATGAACAGGTAGTTAGTCGGTGGGCAGAGGCAGGCTGTGGGATCAGGAAGAAACCAGAGATAGGATGGAGAGAATGGGAAATTGGAAATCCAAGCACCTAAGCTCTCTCACACTCCAAGCATTCTAAACGTGAAGGTGCTGCTCTGGGGCAGACACAACAGGGATCCTGGTATGTTTCCTTGGCTAAATTACTACGTGCCCTCAGCCTGCTGTTCCTTTCTGTGAAATGGGGGAACTAGTAACCACCATCACTGCCACCATCTCCACCACCACCACAACCAACCTTTATCAGTGTTTTCTATCTGTCAGGCTCTTCCTGCACATTTTCTCATCCAATACTAACAATAACCTGAGGGAAATGTTATCATGTCCATTTTACAGATGAGGAAGTAAAGGCTCAGTGAGGTTAAGAAATGTGCCCAAAGTCATAAATCCCCTAACGTCCCCCTGAAAGGATGAAACCATACAAGAGAAAGTCCTACCCACCACTCCTCCATTTTATAGATGATCAGTACGTACTAACATAAGCATAAAGCTCAGGCTTCCTAACAGGAAATACAATGATTTAGATTAATGGAATACAGCAAAGACCACTGACTTTCAGGGAGTTAGGGATACTGGATTCTCAACCCAGAACTTGCTCTAAATCATCCAGAAACTTGAACTTGTCTTGTCTAGGACTTCATTTCTCCCTTGTTAAAATAAAGGCTCAGCTGAGAGGATTTCTCAGATTCTTCCAGGTGCTCACCTTCTGTGATTTTATTATTCTTATTTTTTTTGTCTGTGCCTTCAGATTCACAAAGAGATGTTAAATTTGATTAGAAGTTACCAGAGATGGACTCCATTGGTGTTAAGAGAAGAGTGAGAAGATGCAGCTTAGTTTACATTGGAAGGGGCAGGATGCAGATCAGAATGATTTTTCCACTTGCTTCTGTTTCTCTGTATCTCACACATCTTTCAAGACTCTTTGTCTGGGGGGCCTTCCAGTACCAGCTTGGTAAATGGACTTCTTTGTAAATATAATCTCTGTGTGCAGCACAGTTTGAGCTGCATTAATTAATTCATTAATGTACTTACTTATACCTGCCTTGTGCCAAAGTGGTGTTATGGTGGCTTACACAGATATGTGAAACACAATGCCATAACACATATTAGAAGGAAATGGGAAAGGAAAATAGAAGAACAAAGGAAGGAATGTCACAGGGGATCATGAATGAGGCCAATCCAGGGATGCAGAACTTGAAGCCCCTAAACACCTACTAATGGCAGGCTCTGATTCAGAATCTAAAGTTTCTGACAGCCAATCTGAACAAGGTAGCCCAGTCAGTCTCACAATTTACAGTAGTTTACAGTACCTGTAATATGAGAGAAAAAAAGGAAAGAAAGGAAGAGGGAAGAGAGAGAGAAAAGAAGAAGGGGGAGGAGGAGGAAGAGGAGGAAGGGGAGAAGGAGGGAAGGAAGGAGGGAAGGAAGGAGGGAAGGAAGGAGGGAAGGAAGGAGGGAAGGAAGGAAGGAAAGGAAGAAAGGAAGGAGGGAAGGAAGGAAAGAAAGAGCCCAACTATTCCTGATGCTGAACCAGAAAGAGCTTTTCCTGGAGTCCTTCCTAGGAACTCTGTGTTATGTGATGAACAGCATCCTCACCACCCTCACAGTAGGCTGGCTCCTCATTCCTTGAGGCTGCTCCCTGTAGCATCATCCTTCAACACAGGCCAAACTTCAGCTCAGAAAAGCAGCTCCACAGGGGACCAGAGGGATATGGTCCAATAGACAGCTGTCTGCTGACCTGGCTAAACCCTGGGGCCGTTGTTAATATTTCTAGAGGGATGGATGTACTGCATCCCCTTCAGGCAATCTTTCATATAGTTTGTCTCTCTCAGCTGGGTTATTGATGGACACTGCATGGCAGTGAGTTCGAGACTGTATTCCCTGCCAAATAACTGAAGTGCAGCCATTGGGTTGCCAATTAAAGACAGACCCATATGCCTTACAAACACAGAAACAGTTGAAATCCATCAACACTGTAGTAGGGTTGTCATTCTCTTATGAAAATTGATGAGCCTAACTAGGACCTACACCTGATGAGAGGGCCACCTCCTTGGCTCTGAGCTGAGCTGGAAGAGTTTGCGGGGTGTTTGATTGGCCTGCCAAGCCCCCAAGCCATGAGTGTCTGTCCTACAGGGTGGAGTGATTGCTCTGGGAATGGAGAACCTTGAATCTTGCCATTTCTACAGTGAGAGGTTTTGTCTATAGGATCTCCAAGTTCCCCACCAGCGTGAACATTGCTAATTCTAGAAGGAAACTACTCCATGGGAGGAGGGCTGTTAAACACTAGAAAAGTCTGCCATTGGAATGGTAAAATTGCCTGCCTCAGAGTTGTAGAGATCCATGCTGTCTGGGGGAAATTGGAACAAATCTGCCTGGAGGCAGAGGGCTGGCCTGTGGGCTCTGGAATGCTTACCATGATGTGCTTGGTGGAGAGTATGTAGCTGGTTTATCTATCTGTGTCTAAGTGTGCGTGGCCTGGCAACAGTTGTCTGTGCTCACTTGGGTCCACACCTCCCTCTTCGTGTGAAGACGTGTGTATACACGAGTCCATCATTATTTTACCCCTCCCCAGTAGCAGCCGTGGCACTGAGAGCCATGGCTCTTTGCTGGGAAATGTATTATACAGCACAGTACTCCCCTCATAAAAATACAATAAACGGCCCTGCAAGTGGTCAGCAAAGTGATGACTCCAACCCAGTGGTGTTCTTGGAGGGGCCTCTTTGGAAGCAAAGCTGGGAAGATGGAACCGAAATCTTTGGGGTAATTAGGTTTCTGGCGTGCAGAAACTTCTTAAACCATTGGGAGTCAGAAAGGACCTGGTCTTGAAATCATACATCAGGCCAGGCTGAGTATGCTCAGTAAGTAAGTATGCTCAATGAGTATGAGCCCCCAGTAAGGAGAGAGTTGGCCATGCGGCAGCGCCTCTTTATATTTCTGCATCGCAGCTCCCCCTCCATGGAGACCCACCCTGACCCACATAAGAGCACAGTTGTTACTTAGGAGGCACAGGGAGGCTGAGCTAGGGAGCTGATCTTCATGCCTTAGGGGCCGGACCCTGCAAGCTTAATAGATGGTCTTTTGTCTGGAGGGTGCATGGGTGAGGGGTTCATGGAGTAGAAGGATGGCTGGGATAACTGAACAAAAATTTCTTTCACCTTGTGGGTCCTTGTCAAGGACCTAAAGGAAAACTTTGAACCCACATCTTTCTAATTCTCAAACCACCCCTTCCTCCGACTCCGCCAGAGATGGGGCCTTGTGAGAGGGTGAAAGATTGGCAGGAGTGGGGAGTGTAACTCATAAGAGGGGCAAGAGTGGGCTGACCTCACTCCCAGCCTTCAGCCTTCCCTGCTTCCTCTTAGATGGAGAAGGAAGTGGGGCCCTCCTGGGTTCTTGTGGGTTCCCGAGAGTCCCGGCTCCCACCTCCTTGCTTTTCCCTTGAGGGCTCAGTGGGAGGCCCCAGCTAAAAGGCTGATTCCTGCCAGGGCTGCCAGCAAGCTGGGCCAGGTAGCAGTTAAGGAGAATAAAAGCAATCAGGGAATTCTGGGGCTGCAGTGGCACGCAGACCTTCAGGGCATTTAGGGAAAGTAGATTAAGAAATCTTTTTCCAGATAAGAGGGCCCTGTAAAGAGGCCAAAGAAAGGGAAATACACCCCCCTTTGATCACAAGGGATTGTAATTACTCAGATATTGATTGGGATAATGAGTTTGCCAAAACTCTAGAGAAGGAGAGATATTCCTGCAGGTATTTTGCTTTTGCAGAATTTGCTGAGCTCTCCTGTGAAGTCAAAGTCAATTTGGAGGCCTAGGCCTGGCCCTGAAGCCCAGAAAATGGGAGTTGGAGGCCTTTTCCTCCTGGCAGGAGTTCATTGCAGGCCCAGGCTCACCACCCTCCCTCCAGGGGTTGTTACCACTATCATTATTAGCCTGATCATTGCCATTATTGATAACCCTTGGGGCCTAATGGGGTTGAGTATGCAGTGAGGAGAACTGAAGTCAGCCTCCAGAAGAGCGTAAGGCCCTCAGCCTGGATTCCAGAATCTTCCTCAGTAGTTTCCTTACCTCTCTTCTAGAAGCCCTCTCTTTCAAATTTCCTCTGTACCATACCCCCAACTTGTGCATGTGTGCATACATGCACGCACACACACATGCGTACACCCATGTGTATATACCCTAACTACCTTCCAGCCACCCTGATCTTCCCACAATTCTCACACATGCCCACCTGTCACACACAGTTGTGGAATTAGAGCTTTGGCTTTAGGGTCAGACAGACCTGAGTTCAAATCCTGCTCTGCCACTTAATAGCCCTGCAATCCTGAGCAAACCACTTCACCTTTCTCAGCCTCAGAGTCATTTGCAGAATGGGAATAATATTAGCACCTACCTCATCTCGCATAGTTGTTGAGAGGATTAGATGAGGTGATATAAAACATTTTGCTCAGTGCCTGCCTTATAAGAAGTGCCTCATTTAAGTATTAGCTATTGTTTTTGTTATTCTACAGCCTTCCTCTGAGATTTTGCATGAATCATTGCTTCTGCAAAGTTTTCTCTCATCGTAGCTGTGAACCAAGGCTCTTGTCAATCTTTCAGGCCTAGCCACGATCTCAACTCTGTCCCTTCCAGAATCTTCTCCTTTTGCTCCCAGTTGTCTGTATCTCTTATAGCTCTTAATCACAGTTTGCTTTGAGTTCTGATTTTGAACTTGAGGAGGACAGGGATTTTATCCTCCTCTTTTTATCTTCCTTACTCCAATTCCAGAGTTTAGCACTCTACACACCTTTATATACAGTAAGTGTGTGCTATATTTTAGATTTTTTGTAATAATAGATATCATTTACTGAGCAATTATTATGTGCCTTTCTTTTTATATACATTATCACATTTAATCCTTATAACAATCCTATCATGTAATTATCTACATGAAGCAATTATTCATAAAAAAATGATTTCTTTTTTATAGATGTGGGAATTAAGACTCTGGAGAGATAAAATCATTTACTGGTCACATAGCTGATGAGTGGATGAGCTTTGTTCCAAACACAGGACTATCCGTTTCCAAAGACTGTATATTACCTGCAACTAGGCTAAATCCAGCACATCTTTCATTGGTCATATCCTAACCCCCAGGTAGGCTGCACACTCAGCAACTTCCAGCTCTTAGCATGCTTTGGTTCTATGAATGGGAAATAGCTACTGAGTAGCTTGGAAAGATTGCAACTCCATCCTGCTTGAGTCAAGAAATGCCCAGGGCAGCAGAGGCCAGCCTGGTTTAGCAGGGATGTAAATATTAGCACAGGCATTATGTGAAAGGTCTTTAAAGGATATAAACAGCCTGGCCAAGGGGGAAGATGGAGGGTCCAAGGAGTCCAGCAGCAGCCATAGAGTCAGAGACACTTTGAAGAATATGGCGTGATGAAGTGCCAGGAAGACTTGCCTGTCAATGAAAGACTCTCTAATACATCTCAGCTGACAAAAAGCAGGGGAGAAGGTCAGTTCCAATAGAAAAAAATGCTGGTGAGGAACTGAGATTGAGGAGATAGCAGAAACTTGCCGTTAGCGTTCCAGAAGTCTGGAAAGACAAGAGTGAAGGGATACATGAAAATAAATGATTGATAATACTACTACTAATAATATTGATTGATAATGTGATTGCTAGGTGCCCAGCACCATGCAGTGTAAGAAGGTGAGTAGCTGTATAGCCATAACACCATAGACATGATTATTTCAGAACCCAAGTTCACTCCTTTTTAATATTTCTTGACTGTTGATACTTAAGGGGACTCCCAACCTCATCTGATTCTTTCAACAAGCGTTTGTCTCATGTCTACTCTGTGTATGCTGCTAGGATGTGCCCTGGGGAGATGGATGAAACTTGTGCTCTAACCTGGAGGAACTCTCAGTCTACTGGTGGACAAGGAGCATACATACCTACAATGGAGTGGGATGTTTGTTATTAGAGAAGTTGGTCACTATTAGTGTACAAGTGTTCTGGGAAATGGGAGGAAGATTTCAGAGAAGAGGTGGTATCTGAGTGGAGAATACTTTTAAGAATGGAAGGAGTCGGGTGGAGAGTGAGGGGAGTGCATTGTGAGCGAAGGCGACAGTTTCATAAAAGCTTGAGGCTGTGAGAATATATGGTATGTTCAAAATGGCTAAACGGGGACCCCTGCATGTCTAGGGTTGGGATATGTGAGAAGCTGCAGTAGGTGGAACCTGAAAGATATGGTGGGATAAGATAGTGAAAAATACTTCAAAGACATTGTTAAATCAATCATCATGTTTATTTATTGAGCATCTACTCTGTGCCAAGTATGGAATCTGGCACTGGGACTGCAATGACAAGTAAACCAGAGTTGGTCTCTGCTTCACCTGTAGGATGACCACATGTTCCAGTCTCCTTTTTGTCCTGGAATAATTATTAATAACATCTCCTTTTACTTTCAAAAGTGTTCCCATTTACACTTTAAGTTATATGATCATGCTACCTCAAAATTTCAGAAAGACAAACATTAATCAAACAATCACCCAATATATAACTTCAAATTGTACTGGATGTTATGAAAGAAAGATGCAGAGGGCTATTACAGCAAGCATTGGAAAGCAGCTTCATTCTCCAAAGGAATTTATACTTCTCTGCAGGCAAAACAGAGACAGAAGGTTTTTAAGTTGGAGATCAGATCTTAGTTTTAGAAGTCATGGCATTTTTGTGCTTGTTGAAGATTTCTCTCTCTCTCCTCTCCCTCTCTTTCTCTTTTTTTTTTTTTCAGAGTCTCTCTCTGTCACCTAGGCTGGAGTGCAGTGGCGTGATCTTGTCTCACTGCAGCCACCACCTCCTGGGCTCAAATAATCCTCCCCTCTCAGCCTCCCGAGTAGCTGGGACTACAGGTTCCTGCCACCATGTCCAGCTAATTTTTGTATTTTTTTTTATAGAGATGGGGTTTTGCATGTTGCCCAGGCTAGTCTCAAATTTCTGGGCTCAAGTGATTTGCCCACCTTGGCCTCCCAAAGTGCTGGGATTACGGGCATGAACCACTGTGCCTGGCTCCTCTCTCTTTCTTTTTAATGTCTCCTAGTTATTATCAATAAGAATTGGAAAAAATCCAATTTTCCTTGTATAGCCTTTCACAGTGTAGATATACTTTTTCTCATCAGAGTTGCAGAGTGAAAAGTTCAAAGCAAATATGTCAGCCAAAGCTCACTTTCTGTTCTAGCTCTGCCTAGAGCAGGCTGCCTGACCCTGGACAAGTTACTTCTCCTGAGCCTTGGTTTTCTCATCTTTTATTTTTATTTTTATTTATTTTTTAGAGATAGGGTCTCACTTTTTCACCCAGGCTAAAGTGCAGCAGTGGGATCATAGCTCACTGCAGCGTCGAACTCTTGGGCTCAAGCGATCCTCCTACTTCAGCATCCTGAGTCCCTGGGATTACAGGTGCGAGCCACCACTCCTAGTTCAGGTTTTCTCATCTTTAGGAAGGGAGTGGTCATTCCCACCTGCAGGGGTGGCTGTGAGGGCTGGAAATATGGTGAGTAAAGTGACTAGTACAGTGCTGGCCACGTGGTAGGCACTCAAGAAACAGCACCTACTTTTGTTAGGTTTTCTGAGCTTGTGATTGTCTCAGAATGAGTGCTATGACTGGTGGAGAAATGCATTTGACAGAAGACACACCACTGTCTACAACAGGGGAGAGAGTGGAGGTCAGTGGGCAAGGAAGGGAAGGGAAAGGGCTGCAAGTGTTTCCGCCACTAGAAGGAAATTGGGTTGGAAAACAAACACCTGCCCTTTTTAGTTGGACTCTACATGGCCCTTAAGAACCAGAACCTACAGACCTGGTGCGCTAAGCAGAGTAAGAAAGAGGCATCTAATGGTGTACGCACCAAAAATCCAGACTGCCCTGCATAACCAGGACCTCCTGGGAACGTCTGGGAAAATCAGACAGTGAGGCTCCATCTTGCTTTTGTCTTCTCTTCCTCATTCCTCGGGCTTGTATATAACTCCCTCTGTGGGCAGAGGAAGGCCCCTGATAGAGGGATGCAGGCAGACATTGCACTCAGTGAGCCTGAGAAGATGGGGATAGAGAGGGCTGCGTGGGGTTGGTGGGAGGAGGAACCAGGACCCTCCACCCAGTGGTTATTTTGGAGCTAGAAGTGCTGTGACCACTTCCGTCCAGGTCTGGCTTGTGTCCTGACTGGGAGACCAGGCTGCTGGAGTCTGCATCTCATTTTCTTTCTGATTTGCCTCTGGTGTTGTTCTGCTGTGTGTTGGTTTTCGAGGGCTGCCATAACAAAGGGCCACATCCTGGATGGCGGTTTGTTTTTCTCACTGCTCTGGAGGCTAGAACTCCAAGATCAAGGTGTTGTGAGGATTGTTTCTTCTGATGCCTCTCTCCTTGGCTTGTAGATGACCACACCCTCCCTGAGTCTTCACATGGTCTTTTCTCCATGCATTCTTCTCTGTGTCCTAATCTCCTCCTTTTATAAATGCCCATCATAATGGATTAGGGCCCACTCTAATGACCTCGTGTCACCTTTATTACCTCTGTAAAGACCCTGTCTCCAAATACAGTCAAATACTGAGGTACGAGGTGTTAGGCCTTCAACATATGAATTTTGCGGGGATGCAATTTCGTTCATAACAGACAGCTGGGCAAGTTGCATCTTTGGTCGTCTTCCCTCAAGAGAGGAAAAGTGGCTTGGTTGGCCTACTGAGCCTCTTTCCTTGGAGAGGAGTTGAATCAGGAGGCTGAAACAGCGCAAATCCCTCTCTAAACCCTCTTGGCTTTACCCAGAGCCAATGGGTAATCCACTGCCTGCTCTGGGGTTCCTGGATGCTTCCTCTTGCCTCCTCAAGCCTGCTTTTCAGATCTGGGATCTGCTTTGTTTCTGGTGGAGAAATAGGTGTCTACTCTGAAATTACCTCTCCTCGGGACTGTTCAAATGTATTTGTCTTGTCTTTTGCAGACATTCCTTTAACAGAAAAGAGCTCTCAGCCCCGAAAGATCCCATGCAGAGGGCTCACCTACTGCAGGATAGGAGAGCCAAGGAAGTTGCCACTCTTTTTCCATTCACCCCTTCCTTCCTCTGCAGGGGAAGGCAGGAGACCACACCTGTGTTTGTGATATCACAGACACGCTGAGATCCACAAATGTGTCATTAGCCCACCAGGTTGGCACAGAACGGCTGCATCTGAAGGTGATTTAACACAGGTAGAACCCTACTTACAGATGGGCAGGTTTCCAAAGATTTGCTTGTAGCTTAGTTATTATGAATCAGGAGTGTTTTCCTCTCATAGAAAAAGTGTTAAATGCAGGGGGAGGTTTTCAGGGAACTCCTCAAAAATCTATTTAACTCACACATAATTAAAATACGAAATACGATCATTTCTGTCCCCAACACCCAAATTTCATATATGCCATTGTTCCAGAGGGAAAATATATTGTGAGTTCCAACTGTATCTATCAGGACTAGTGCTTCTCGCTCATCAGTGTAGCTCACCTGACAGTAGCTTCATGGAAAGGTGTTTCTGGGAGGGAAAGAAGGATGATATTGGGCCAGATCCTTGTGGACACCAGTAAAACAATATGTAAAGGGTGTAAAATATTCACTTTTTTTGTTGTTGTTGGTTTTTTTTTGTTTTTTGTTTTTTGTTTTTTTTTGAGATGGAGTCTCGCTCTGTCTTCCAGGCTGGAGTGCGGTGGCATGATCTCAGCTCACTGCAAGCTCCGCCTCCCGGGTTCACGCCATTCTCCTGCCTCAGCCTCCTGAGTAGCTGGGACTACAGGCACCTGCTACCAGCCTGGCTAATTTTTTTTTGTATTTTTAGTAGAGACGGGGTTTCACCATGTTAGCCAGCATGGTATCGATCTCCTGACCTTGTGATCTGCCCGCCTCGGCCTCCCAAAGTGCTGGGATTACAGGCGTGAGCCACTGTGCCTGGCCAAAATATTCACATTTTTAAAAGCGGGACCATATAGTTGATTATATTTAGGTCTCATGGTAATAAGAATACCATGAGATCCTTAAGGAGATACCATAATGCAAGGATACCATAATGCAAGGATAAGCATTATGATCTTCATTCTAGAGAAATGGAGAGTGAGGCTCAGAGATGTCAAGAGACATTTCAGGCTTACACAGCAGAGACAGTTGCTGCTCTCAGAATGCAATGCATCTCGCATCTGCATCTGACCTCTTGGTCAACCTCTCTTCAGCTTGGCTGTGGTAGGGAATACAATTTCTGGGTGTTAATGTGTCCGGCAATCCCGGCTAGTCTGTCTGGCAGGAGGCAGAAGCCCATTCTTCTCTAGGAATGACTATGACCTTGGGAAGGGCTAGGACAGGGCAATTCATGCTGCTGCCGTGTGAGGGCTGGGCAGAGGTTTGGAGATGATGGCAGCCTGTGCAGACTGCAGAATTTTTAGGATAAATGGTGATTTTCCTTCTTGGTGATTTCCCAAGGCCACTGAGGCCTGACAATTCTGGCAGGGAAACCAAATTTAAATGAGTCCCTTTTCATGTCTGCCTGAGGGGTAGACATTAGTCAGAGAGCTAACAACCTTCCCTGACTGTTTCCTGTGTTCTGAACATGGTATATGGGGGTTGTGAAGAAACACAGTCATTGTTCCAAAGATATTTTATACCTGGACAAAATAAAACAATCAAAGAACCAAATACACACAGGAAATGTAGAACAAGTTAGGGTAGATTCCTCCACCCTGTGAAGTGAACTGCAGAGGGCACCTGTGGGCATCATCAGTTAGGGGCGGGCTCACTCAGAAAAGGCTTCTGACTCGGCTCTGAAAAGTGCTATAGAATGTAAGAATTGGAAAGGTGTTTCGATTTTTAGTTCAACCCCTGTATTTTCTTTCAGATCAGAAAACTGAGGCTCAGGGAAGTTAGTGACTGGCCTATGGGTTTTTCTTTTTTCTTTTTCTTTTGAGACAGGGTTTCACTCTGTCATCCAGGTTACAGTGCAGTGGTTCAATCTAGGCTTACTGCAATTTCCACCTCCTGGGCTCAAGTGATCCTCTCACCTCAGCCCCCTAAGTAGCCGGGACCACAGGTATGCACCATGATGCCTGGCTAATTTTTTTTTTTTTTTTTTTGAGATGGAGTTTCATTCTTGTTGCCCAGGCTGGGGTGCAGTGGCATGATCTTGGCTCGCCGCAACCTCTGCCTCCCGGGTTCAAGTGATTCTCTTGCCTCAGCCTCCCAGGTAGTTGGGATTACAGGCACTGGACACTATGCCCAGATTTTTGTGTGTGTGTGTGTATTTTTAGTAGAGACAGGGTTTCTCCATATTGGTCAGGCTGGTATCAAACTCCCAACCTCAGGTGATCTGCCTGCCTTGGCCTCCCAAAGTGCTGGGATTACAGGCGTGAGGCACTGTGGCCGGCCTGCTAATTTTTTTTTTATTTTGTAGACACGGGAGCTTCCTATGTTGCCCAGGCTGGTTTCAAACTCCTGGGCTCAAGCAATCTGCCCCCATCGGCCTCCCAAAGTGCTGGGATTATAGGCTTGAGCCACTGTGCCCAGGCCTGGCCTAAGGTTTTAAGCTAGTGAATGAGAAAGAGAGGATGAGAATTCAGGTTTCCTCGCTCTCTGTCTAATTGCTCATAATTACATTGGAAGGGGATGGGGAAAAGAACAAATTGAAAAAGATGTCAGAGGAAGGGAGTGGAGAGAGTGGATTTTATAGACAGGAGCCCATGTGGAGGAGAGGCAAGAAATTGGGTAAATAAGGGTGTGGGAACCAGGTGGCCAGAGGCCTTGAAGGTTGAGTCGATAAAATTTTTGTGTTTTTCCTGATTGGCAATAAGGGACAGAGGGATAGATAGACACCCATGCTAACTCCCAGGGGCATCTTCTGCTGACATTGTTTGTATAATAAAAACGGTTATTCTGCAAATAGCCCATTTTAAATCAGATGCCCAGACTTTTGGCTTGTTGAATTCACCCAGTATGGTAATCTGGGCCAGAAATTTTGACTTCTTTGCTCTACACTGAAATATAATGTATAAAATCCCAGACCTTGTGGACTCTTCCAGTCAAGCCTCTTGTTTCTTAGTCTGACCAGTGATAAGGACCTTTGCTGCACCGAATTGAATTCCCATTGGCCAGATCTCAGGCCTGCCTTCCCTTTCCCCACATATCTTGAGTAGGACCCCATAGGGCTCCTTAAAGAAGCAGCCTTGTGTGTGGATGCTGGATAGGGACAGAAAGGAAGTGAGAGGGCAAGGAGCCTGCTGGGGAGGCCATGAGGATACACGGCTTGCAGCTGATTCTCTGCTTGCTGCCATTGGTTTGTTGGTATTGCAGAAACATGGCTCCAGCACCAGGGGAGAATGTAAGGGTCAAGAACTGCAAATTGTAAACCACAGTGAAGTGAGATGAATCAATCTGCAGTGACCTAAGAGACAGGAGAAAAGCCTGCTAACAGGAGGCTTAGAAAAGGCTCCTGGATGTGCCTGGCTGCAGGAGACCATGGCCAGCCCAGCTCTGTCCCCTTAGACAACCAGGCTTGGTCAGGTTTGATCACAGGGTTGTCAGGGAGCAGACCAGGCCAACTGGGACCAGATAGTATCTTCCCTGCAGTGCCTTAAGAGGTCAGGGTTGAAGATGGTTCTTTGGAGCAAGCCAGCTTTTCTATTGTGGTCACAGACCCTGGAGAGGAAAGCAACACTTTTGTTTACATGGTTGTCATTCTTTTCTGATTTGTAGTACGTATTTGTTAAAGAAAATATAGAAAACCTACAGGAGAAAGGAGGATATTATCCACAATCATACCACCAAAGGTAATCACTGTTAATATTTTAGGGAATTTCCTTCCAATCTTTTTTTTTCTTTTTTATCTTAAAATAAAATTCAAGTCATATTATATTTGCATTTTTATAGTTTCTTTTTTCATTTAATATTATATGATGAGCCTATTCCTGTCCCTTTCGTATTATTCTACAATATCTTTTTTTAATAGTTTCACAGTATTCAATTTTGTGGATTTATATACATTTAGTTAATCTTTATAACTGGATATTTAGATTTCCTGCAAATTTGCACCATTGTAAACATTACTGCAATGAACATCTTTGTATTACAATAATCTTTGACCACAATTTCTGATTGTTTCCTTAGGAGACACTTTCCTAGAAGTGGAATCACTGTTTCGAAGGCTCTTGTTATATGCTGGTTAATTGTCCCCCTCAACTCCCCCCACCTGAAGTGTCACATCAATTTACAATCTCATTAATCAGTGGCTATGACAGTGCCATCTCACTGCACCTTTGCCAGCACTGTGAATTATTATATTCTTTTAAGTGGAAGGTTGCCTTTTCAGAGTCATGCTCAGCTGACTGATAGCATAAGCTTTGAACATAGCAGCTAATTTCTTTGTGTTTATTAGCAGAGCTTAGCAGATCTACATGTGGGAGTGCTAGAAAACTTGGGGAGGAAAGAAGGCTGTATCTAATCCACAGGCAGCCATGTGTACAGAGAGGGAGAGAGGAGACCTGTGTATGAGGTGGTACTTGATTCATCCTTCTCCAAAACTCAAAGTGTATGAAGCTGCCAGGCAAAACCCCTCCTCCAAAAGCTCTTGCCCAGAAATGCTTCCTGGCTGATCAGGAAATGAGAGAACAAAGCAAGCCTACACAAAGACGGGCTTAGTAGTCTGGAAGGCCAGTGATGTGCAAAGTCCCTGATGCTAAGCAGAAATGAAAACGCTAATGGTGAGACACCCAAAGAAAATGTATTCCATATGCACAGGCCGGCCGGCTGCAAAGGAATACAAATGCAGTTAGGGATTAGCCGGCAGGAGCAAGAGCAGCCCGGATAACTTGGGAATTGCTTTCCAGCTTGCTTAGGCCAGTTGTAGCTAAAGGTACTTGGGGCGCTGAATTTGACCTTTTTTTCTGACTCTGGCATCAGAGAAACTTATCAGTATTGCAGCCCATTTTAAATAATCACAAAGCCCCAATTTATTGGACAAGCCCTGTAGAGTTTTGGGTGCCTACTCTGCACCCAGCACCCATGCTAGTGCTTTTATGCAACATATATACACCCCAGAAAAATTCGGCGAAGTGGTAGTCATTATCCCCATTTCTTAGATGAGAAAATTGATGCACAGTGAGATTAAGTAACTTGCACAATTCATCAAAATGATGGAGACTGGATCTCAAATCAGACCTGTCTGGCCTCACTCTCTGTGTTCTTTCCCCCACCATGCCTTTGTAGGGCCTGATTTTGAGCTGCTGTATTATAAGTGCTCCCCAGCCCTTCTGAGTCTGCCTGCCCTGGCTGATACAAGGCAACAGGCTTCTTATTCTGTCCTTCACATTCTGCTGTGCAAGTGGAGACGTAGCAGAGATAAGAATGAGGCCTCCTTAGGGTGGAAAGTGGCCAACAGGTCTTGACATGTACTTCTTTGTGGCTAGTGAGCCAAGTCCTTGAGGGCAAGACATTCTGAGAGTGCCCTGGTCATGGTCGGGGGAGTGGTGATCTAACCTATGTTTTCCCTGCTATGGAAGCGGCAGGCACAGAATTCCTGGAAGATAGGCCCTCAAAGAAATGGCTCCAGTGTCCATGCAGATGGTTGCAACTTTTTGGTCATCAGACTCTAGGCCATGGCTGGAAGAAATGCTTTTCCTATCTCTGACTTCTCTTGAGACCTCTGTCTTGTCTTGCAAGAGAATTTCATGGGAGAATTTCATGGATGTCAGGAAGTAGAAGGGATGTAGAAGGAAAGAGGAAGTATGACTCCTAAGGAATCTCCAGGACACCTAGGAAATTGGCTAGTGCCCAGACAACCCCTAACTTCCCTTCTCATTAGGGCCTCCTCAAACTGCCCCAAATTTTCCCACTGCAACACACATTGTGCTGACCAAGGAGAATCTTAGTGCTGACTTGCTGTTTTGCTGGAAAAGCACTGGACAGACAAGAATAGGACTTTTTTTTCTATTAAAAAAAAAAAAAGACAAAAACCAAAGCACAAAGCTTTTAAGTTAAGTGCTGGGGATTTGATGGCTCAGAGCAAAATGGGGAATGGCTATTGTCTAACTGAGAAAACCCAGGGTTCTCTAGCCTGGGGTGGGATCAGTCCGTGGGTAGAAGGTGACCCATCCATGGTTTTGCTCAAATCCGGATACAGTCTCTGTACCCAGATTCTGAGGCTCCAGGATGTGGCACACCTAGAGGATACTAATGTTAGTACCATTTACTGAGTCCTGTGTGTGAGCCACAGGTGTTACGTGCTAGGTATGTCATCCTATTTAATTCTCTGGACATTGCCCTGGGGCATCATGCCCATTTTGCAGGAGGGGACATCGATGTTTAGAGAGGTGTGGTATTTGCTCACGATCACATATGTGGTCGGGGCAGAGATGGGATTCAAACCTGGAAACCCACAACCAGAGTCCATGCTCACAACACGATCCTCTATGATTCTGCTTTCCAGGGACCAAGGGTTAATTAAAAAATATTACATATTTTTTCCTTGGTCCTTGAGTATTGCAAATAAATACCCATGATAAGGCCTTTGGGAGAAGTTTCCAAGTCAATTCAATACAATTAAAAAGGATCAATAGGACCCAACCCATCCGTTGGGTTTCTAGTGTGTCCTTGAGTGGGACAGGTAGTCAAAAGCATGGCACTGCTGTGTCTGCTCTCCATCCCTGCCGAAACCACTCTTTGTTCTTGATGAATAAACAGCCTCGAAAGGGGTTACTCCAAATGGGTACGGTGTCCTCCCTCCCTAACCCCATGGCCTAACTGTGAGTATGTTTCAGAGGAAAATCCTTGTTTGGCTGAAGTAGGAGGAATCATAAAAACACAATGGGCTTTAGAAATGTAAATATCTGCACAGTGAGATGGATGAGGATGATGGATAGATGCCAGAGGAAGCCTGAATGTGAGAATCTGGCAGACAGAGATGGATGTGAGGAAACACAGGGAGTGAGAGGAAAGCAAAAGGCAAGAAGCCACATGCATGGGTGGAGATGGCAGCTCAGGAGTGGCCGGAGCCTGTAAAGCCGCAGGGGCTGGGCTCAGCGAACGCAAAGGGAAGGGAGAGGCAAGGCCGACAAGATTCTGTGGCAGGGATAAAGGGAGTGTGGCCCCTTGGGCGAGATGCACCCAACACAGACAGAAGCTTGCGAGCATGCCCAAGGCTTCCCAGAGAGGAGTAGGTGGGACTCATACTAGATATAGAGTGGCAATTCTCACAGTGTAGCTTCTAGACCGGCAGGATCAGCACAACCTGAGAACTCATTAGAAATGCACATTTTCAGGCCCCGCCCCAGATCTGGTGAATCAGAAACTCTGGGGCCCGGTCCGACATTCTGCGTTTTGGCAAGCCCTTCAGTTGACTTTGATGCGTGCTAAAGTTTGAGAGCATCCCGTATGGAGGAATGGGGAGAATGAAGAGGGCGAGATCAAGGAGGTGTAGAAGTCTAGAGTTTAGGGTATGTGTCTGACGGAAAAAAGGCAAAGAGCCATTTCATTCTAGTCAAAAAAGTGGGCAATACATGGGAAATGCGGAGGGCCCCCAGAGGAGGGCTAGATAATGTGAGGAGCTACGCTTGATCATTGCTGAGACAAGATGGGATGTGCAGGAAGAGAGAACAGACTAGCAGAAGGTTCGTGAGCCAACCTGGGGACAACACAGCCTAGTGAAGGGCACGTGATTGTGATGGTGTCGGAGTGCTAACAGGCCTCCCCCAACAGTGCACCTCAGGTTTCCATCGACCTGTAGAAGAGCACTGGTGTGTTCAAGAGACCCTAAAGAGGGGTGCTGCAGAGAATTGAGGTTCCCATGGACTTGGAGGAGTAGCCTCTGCTCCCAATTCCTTGTCGTCCTGGCAGAAATTCAACCAAGGGCTAACATGCCCAGAGAGCCTTTTGTTTGAATGTTGCCTTTTTCCCCTTCCCTCACAGAAGCTCTGAGCTCCCTCCCCTAGGTGACAAGCACTTACAAGGCAGGGTCTGGGTCACCACTGTACAGAGTGTGCAGGCTGTGCCCCATGCACAGGGCGATGTGCCATTAGGCACTGAGTTCAGGGTTCATGTTGTGTTGACAAGAGCGGGAGAAGAAGCCTGCTCAGGGGAGGTGGGTGGGCCACACGACCTCAGCCTTCCAGCTCTCTGTTTCTACAAAACCAGTTGATGAATGTCTCTCCCATCTTCATCAATCTATTTTTCTTATTGTTATTTTCTTTCTTTGTGCGTTCCTCTTATTGGAAAGAAATGGGTGGACTGACAGCTGAAGCCGCTTCTCTCTGAACCTTGACATTTTGGTTGCCTTGCTTAAGGCTGATGCCCAGACAGCCTGCACAGACAGGGCTCCCCAGACATCCCAACCGCCAGTCCTCAGCAGCAGAAGGGCCCAGGCTCCGGGCACCTCACTAGTACTCACTTATTACTACAAAAACCTTGTAATGGCCCAGGGAAACTTTTGCCTGGGTAAATAACCATTACTGACCTTATAATTTTGAAAATGTTCATTTTGGGCCTTTTTAATGTAGGTTCAAATCTGCTCTGGAGATTGCACTTTAAGAAAAGGCACTCTTGTGTAATTTTCCATTTGAATTAGCTGGTAGACCACCTGGAGGCCTCTTAAGAACCACACCTAGAGACCCACTGGGTTAGCAGACAGCCTGGGTGGAGGGCAATGGCCACCGCTCCTGTTAATAGATCAGAAGGAACAGGCTAATGAATTTGAGAGGGATTTGTTTTTTTAAACCCAACACCCAGTTGAAAGCAATATCCATTAGTATAGTGCACTGAACACTGCCGTGAACTCTTATGTTGATTGGAAGAGACAAGTCATAAATTTCTCCTATTAAAGTTCTTGACTCACAATATCAGGTGAGACAAATGACTTAAAAATAATATGTGCAAATGTCATCAGAATACAGATGACCTGGGTTCTGGCCACAGCAGGGGATGCGAGTCTGATGTCCTGGACAAAGCAGAGTCCATTAAATGTTTGGGGTGGGCTACATGGCACCATATGTTCAATAGGAATATTTTCTTTTCAATCAAAGGGAGGTACTCCAGTGACGTCTGTAGGGATTGTATTTCCTCAATAAGGCAGTTTTGAGATGAAGATGAAAGCACTGATTTAGGAAACCCGAGGATACCCTCAGCAGAGAGTTCTGGTTCTCATGTGCTCTGAGTTGGGATCACTTGCAGAAAGGCTTCAGCCGGGCACACCCCAGGAGGAAGGCAGTGAGCGCAGCCTGGACGCCAGATGGGTTCCAGCCTTCCGCATTGCTTTAAGTCCCACCTTCTCCGTCTTTCCGGATCAGCACTTGAGAGGTGTTGCTTCCTTTTACCCCAACCATACCCTGTCCTCACATGAAATCCCAGTGCTCTCTCCTTCCCACTCATTCTCCAGTCAACCTACGATGCACTTACCCCCAGGGTGGGAACCAAATTAACCACAGAAACCTATTATTTGTGTATTTGTATAAATGAATGTTTATTGCAGAATAGCTTCTGCATATTCTTCCTGCCAGCATGGACTTTATTTTCTAATGGAAATTCTTGCATCTGTGTTTCTTGATTTGGTCTGCTCTTGGCTCTATCCCACTCCTGCCCCGGCATCTTAGTCATCCACAGTCTCTAGTGGCTCAGGCAGGGGCATTACCCAATCTGTAATTGAGTGAGGGTACATGAGCATTCTTAGGACTCCCTTTAGAAGAAAGGAATGAGCACAACTTCTAGGGATTTGGGGCCCAGGCTGGAGAAAATCCTATCTTTGATGAGGTTCAAGGTTTTATTTCTAAGCACCACAGCTGCCCAGGAAAGACATCTGGCTCTGGCAACTGACCTCGTAGAGAACTGGGCCTGGCTATCTGCATTTCAAGCTTGATTCCAGAACTCCCCCATCATGCTACCCCATGATACCCTATAGAGTGCAGAGCCAAGTCTGCCTTGGGGGAGACGCATCACAGTTATGCATCAGTACTATTTTATATGAAATCATGCCAGGGTTTACAGTCACCCAAGCTTGCTACAGGTGCCACAGTGCCCGGAGGATTAGGCAAGGGGTCTGCATTAATCCCCAACCAATCTTAGTGGAGACAGAGCCTGACTTGGATCCTGACATGAGAGGACACATCCCTGCCTCCCTTTTGCCCTGACCCGCTGAAGCCTCGTGCAGGAAAATGGAGAATCTAGAAAGCATCTAGTCTTGGGAGGTGCTGTGAGATCATTTCTCTCTCTTTCTTCCCTCTCCAGCCCCTCCCCACTTTTTTATTTTTTATTAACAAGGATGAAAGTAAATGTGAACTCGAAACAATAAGGCATGGAAAATCACAGAAATAACTTAATTAAGTTTTTAAAGATTTCCATGCTTGAATAAATTAGCCTTCCTGCAAATGTCACAACATTCAGAAAAAAAAATTGTAATCAATGGAGCACAATGCTTCCCCGCTCTTTATTTAAACGAAAGCTCCATTGGTGCATTTCCTTTTACCCCTGCTCCTCCCCTGCAGCTGCTGCTCCCTGGCCCCCCTCAGCTTCAGGCAAGGGCACCAGACTCTCACATCAGCATATTCTGCTGCTGTTCTGAAAGGTGGAAGGATTGCAGGTGGGGGCAGGCGATGGGAGGGCCACGCAGGGAGGTTTCTCTTGGCCAGAGTGAGAGTATGCGTGGTCCTGGCGCTCCTTTGAAAGGTAGCAGAATCTGATCTCTCTATGGGGCTTGGGTTCTCTTAGGCCTCAGCCAAAGCTGGGAGTGAGGGAGATCTTTCCTTCAGCACCAGGATGAGAGTTTGATGACGAGTCAGACCCAACTCTGCAGGGCGAGGGATAGGGGCCATTTCCCGCCACCCTCTCCAGTGCCTTTCTCCCTTTTCAGGCATTTCCCCATCACCAGGGCTGGGAAGATTACAGGAAAGCAGGCAGGAGAAAGAGAAAGATGGAGGGGAAAAAGGAGGACCCAGGTTCCCCGGGGCAGCAGTCCTGCCTTCGGCCACATGGACAGATTTTCATCGCCATCGAGACGCAGGGCAGATTGCTCGGCTAATGAGTACATGTCACTGCGCTGCTGCTGCTGCTGACTTGAGTAGTGAGTGATGTCATGCTGGCTGCCCAGCCCTGCTATAATGCAACTGTCAGGGCCCCGTGGGGAAAACTTGGGGAGAAATACGAGAAGTCTAAAAAGCAGCAAAAGGCCCAGTCAAGTGAAGGGAAATGGAATTACAGTCATGCTGAAAGCAGGCACACTGGAGAATTAAAACACTTTGTTTTGGAACCAGAGTGTACTCAACCTGGGTTATTAAATTATTTATTGTTTGCATCACCAGTAATGGGCGAGAGTAATGGGGGGAGCAATCAGCCAGGGCAGAGATGATTTTAATTATCTGGTACATTTGGGGCCGCCCCTGCGTAGAGCCTGGTGCCCCTCGAGCACGGAGCCAAGTGACGTGGAAATGGGATGTTCAGGGCTTAATCAGATTCATCAGATCCATTCACTGAACTAACCCTGAAATGGGCTGTGTGATGATCCTTCAGACTTAACATGGGGAATGTCAGCCTGTTTCCCAAGGACACCCCATGACCCAAAATGGTTCTGCTTTTATGACATTGCATGTTGATGGGTAGCCATCCCACGTGCCCCCAGTGACACACATCCTGCCGGCACCACTGGGTGTGAAGTGAGGATGGCGAAGGGCCTAAGAGGAAGTGAGATGGGGTCTAGGAAATCGAAGCAGCCCCTGGGTAATCCATCCGGGCTCCTATTTCGCTTTTGGCAGTCTGGGAGTTTGGAAAGGCAGGATAGTGATGTCAATGCGGCACTATTTCTTTTTCTTTTTCTTTTTCTTTTTAAATTTTTTTTCTTTTTTTCTTTTTTCTTTTTGAGATGGAATCTCGCTCTGTTGCCGAGGCTGGAGTGCAGTGGCATGATCTTGGCTCACTGCAATCTCCGCCTCCCAGGTTCAAGGGATTCTTCTGCCTTAGCCTCCCAAGTAGCTGGGACTACAGAAGCGCACCACGATGCCCAGCTAATTTTTGTATTTTTAATAGAGACGGGGTTTCGCCATGTTGGCCAAGCTGGTCTTGAACTCCTGACCTCAGGTGATCCACCCGTCTTGGCCTCCCAAAGTGTTGGGTTTACAGGCGTGAGCCACTGCATCCATTCGATGCAGCATGATTTCTATGTGCCATGTACCAGGCACTGTGATAAGCATTTTACATATATTCTTTTATTTGATCTTCATAGGACCCTCCTCAAGAGAGTAACTATGCATCATGGTTTGTTCCTTCTGATTTGTGCCTGTTGCTTCAGAGTAATTATTGAGGGCACCTTCCTCTCACTCTCAGAGTCCCTGTTTAGACCATAAATTGTTATGCCCATTTTGTGGGTGAGAAACTGAGGCTTAGAGATTTGCCTAAGCCCTCTAGCTGTAAGTGACAGGCTTTACACTGGCTCTGTCTGGCTCCAGAGCCTGAATTCTTACATGTTTTACTACTATGGCTGTGCTGCTTTAGAGATGGAGAACAGAGGAGGCAGGGACATGAAATTGCTGTGGTTTTTGTCTTTCCTCTGATAGGCGGCAAAATCTAATCTCTCTTTGAGGACTGTGGGATTCCTAGTTCAAAAGTCAGGGGCAGCCAGTTTGAGGAAGCAGAAGGTGCCTGTTGACTGACAGGTTAACAAGATGGTGTAAGAAGAACAGCTACCCTCCTAAGCCAAACCCCCAGGGTAGGCTTGTTCTCGTTCCAAGGGGCCTGGAGAGCCAAGGCTAGGACTAAAGGCAGCTCTTTCCCACGAGGTGACCTAAATCTTCACCTCCCTCTTCTTCTTCTTTTTTTTTTTTTTTTAATTTCAGTAGGGTTTTGGGAAACAGGTGGTGTTTGGTTACATGGATAAGTTCTTTAGTGGGGATTTCTGTGATGCTTCCATCACCCAGGAAGTGCACACTGTACCCAGTGTGTAGTCTTTTATCCTTCACCTTCCTCGCTCTTTTTTTTTTTTTTTTTTTTTTTTGAGATAGAGTCTCACTCAGTCGCCCAGCCTGGAGTGCAGTGGCGCAATCTTGGCTCACTGCAAGCTCCACCTCCCGGGTTCACGCCATTCTCCTGCCTCAGCCTCCCGAGTAGCTGGGACTACAGGCGCCTGCCACCATGCCCGGCTAATTTTTTGTATTTTTAGTAGAGATGGGGTTTCACTGTGTTAGCCAGGATGGTCTTGATCTCCTGACCTCGTGATCCGCCTGCCTCGGCCCCCCAAGTGCTGGGATTACAGGTGTGAGCCATCATGCCCGGCCCTTCCTTGCTCTTCTTAAGGTCCAGTTATCTGGGCAAAGGGCCAGGAATCTGAGCCTCTGCTCCAGTCCTTCGCCTCTGGCCTGAAGCCATGAGAAATGACAATAAGAAAACCACCCTCAAGTTGGCTTGATTCCCTGCCCATGACATACAAAGGCGCATCCAGTTTGCAGAGAAAAGGCTGGGTTAACCAGGCTGCTGTTGGTCAAGTGGCTGTAAGTGGTGCCTGAGGAATCCATATTGCTGTTATTAACTTGCAAACTGTTGATGTAAAGGGTTGGGGTGGAATACTTTGCTTCTGTAATTAGAACTGGTTTCCTTTTCCTGCAAATTTGGGGACTCTCCTGTTATTAATGACCTTTTTGGATCCATGCCCAGGATTTAGAGATATTGTCTTTGGATCTAGGTAATGAGGTCGCTACTGATCCTGAACAAATGGGAGAAGTTATTTAATAATTACTCTGCACTGTCTGTCGGTGACCTTTCATTTGTCGAGATGAGAGGCATCTGTTTATCATCACCCCTATGTGGAAGATTTTGATTTTCCGGGATTAGTTCTCCTGGATTGAATCCATTTTGCTTTCTGCCTTTTTAGAAAAGTTTGCCATTTAAAGGTACCACATGCTGTAGCATATGAGGGAGCTGCACCTGAAGTGATATGAGTGGAAACCATCTTAGACAGGCTGGAAACACAAGTTCTTCTTAATCTGGGGTGCACAATCAACTTCTAGAGCTGACAGACTTGTATGCTGCTGAGGCAAGTCAGTGGCTTCTCAGTGGTTTCTGGCGGCAAGACTCAAGATTTGAAGTTTGAGAGGAAATAAGCCTCAAACTTTGAGAGGAGGTAGGAAGAGATTAGGCTTTTTCTCTTTTCTGCACTTAACAGTGAGATGGATAGATGGCCCAGTGTGCTCAGTGGCTCTCAGCTGGGGAGAACACGGATGCCATAATTGGGCAGACACTGTGGTGGACAAAACAGAGCCAAAGCTCAGAGAGGCTCTCTGAGCGCCCCCAAAGAGACGTTCCTCCCATACCAGGTCTTGAAGGGCTTCTGGAGGGCTTGGTAGAGACAACCTGGGAAAGACGATGACAGCGACTGAAGGCTTAGGATGAAAACCAGATTAATTTGACTTGCACAGAGAATCATGTGCTGCCAAGTGTGAGTGGTGTCTTACAGAGCCTGAGCCTATTACTTTACCTAACTTTGTCTTCCTTTTAAAAATATCCCTGCTAAATGGCCGTTGAGCCACTGCTTGCATTTCTCCTATGGAGAACTCACCACTTCTCAATTCCCTCTGGTCTCCACTCCATTTCCAGCAATTCTCATAAAATTCCTTTTTCTAAAATATTGAGATTTTAAAAATCTGTTATTTTGACTTTAGCCCATTGACCTTTGCTCTTATGTTGGGGCATTAATTGGCATTTGTCTTCTTCCTTAGGACAGTCCTTCAGGCTTTGGAGCAGGGTTGTCATGCCACCCTATGTCTTCTGGTGAAACATTCCAGTTCTCTATGTTTTCCATGAGCCATGCTTCCAAGTTCTTTCACCCCCCTGGCCACACTCCTTAAAATCAGTCGTGTTTTGTGGTTCTCTGAATATGAGAATTGCAAACAATACTCAAGTCTGGTTTGTCCCTCACATACTAGAACAGGTTTATCTTCTCCTTTCATCCAGACAATACGGTTTTATTAATGCAATCTAAGTAAGGGAATTTTTTGAAAAGGGAAGGGGGGAAGCACGGTTGGTAGAAGACCTTCAAATCTCTTCTGAAGAATTAGGTGGAAGAAGCCCTACGGAAAGACAACATTCCACAAGGCTGGCGAGACTTTCACAGGGAGGGAGCGGGCTGCAGGTAGTCCTGCCCTCTCCCCATTCCCACAGCCCTTTGGAGCCCTTTCTTCTTCTTGGATAAACAGGGAAACCAGAGCTGGGATTGGGCAGGAGGAGAAAAGCAGAGAGCAGCTTGGAGTTAGAAGACACAGGGCAACAATGATTTGAGAGTCCCTGCATTTCTCACACTGACCCCAGAACCAGGCAATTTCTCAGGGGAGAAGGCCCTGTGCTCCTAGAATGAGTGAGTGCCCTGTGTTACACCCCCTGAATGGTCTGCACCTCCACTTTGATAACATGCATCACATGTGTAACAAATGTTCAGCTTTGAACTTCCTCACTAGGTTGTGAGGGCACAGTCCCTACTTATCTGTTTAATGATCCTTAATCCACAGTGTCAAATACAATGTAGGCACTCAACAAAAATGTGCTGGATAAATGAACAAAGAACAAATCAACGAATCTCCAGGAGTGCTTGCTCCAAGGTTTCTGTTGATGGGTTCTATCCATCAGTCCATTTGGCAGCTCCTGTTAACTTGCCTAGTTCCAATTGGCTCTCTCCTCCTGCAGCGAATTCTCCACTGTCCAGCCATGTTAAGAGATAGAATAGAATCATGAAAACATAAAGGGGTTAGGGCTAAAGAGAACTTTAGAAGTTATGCACAGTTTATTGATAAAAAGACTTTTTTCCCTCATCCACACTCCACTAAATTCTCTCACTTTCTTTCTTTCTTTTCACATCCCAGCTCTACAAAGCAATTCCCTTGCAGATACCCTCAACTCCTTTTTTCCTTATTCTCTCCACTGAACTTACCTGGGAAAAAGCCCCGACTATCTGCTTACTTTGTTCCTGACCTGAAGCAGCTTAGCATTACTGGAGAAAATCATCTTCTTGAAATTGATAAACTGGGCTCCAAGGAGACACTCTCGACCCCTCCACCGCATTGGTCTCCAGCAATGCAACCTTTACAACCTGTCAGGTGCTACTCTTATTTCTGTTGCCCATTTTGGAGGACTGTTTCCTTGAGGAGGCCCATTTAGGTGTCTTTTCTACCTATCTACCCTTCTAGACTTGATCTGGAAAGGATCTTAGGGATCAGCTGATCTCCTACCTTTCAGTGTTTGTATCTTTAACTGGGAAACTTCCCTGTATAAAAAATCTTATGTGGAACTCTTCATTATAAAACAGTGGAGTTGCTCTTGTTGAAAAATGCTGAGGGCCAAGGGCCAGGGTCTCTCCATGTGAGTCCCCTACTGTATCTGCCAGAGCACCTGAGGGTGTGTTTGTGCCTTAGGGTCTCAGCAGAGCCCATTGGAAATCACTGATTTAGCCTGCAAACCTTATTATCTGGATGAGGGAACTGCTGTCCTGAGAGGTGACATCACATGATAGATCCTGGACCCAGCATGTTTAATCTGGGGGCTCCTCCCAGCAGAGCATGGCACCCCTTGCTCTGACCATCATGCTTTTTGGCTTCCCTCACCTGACTCTGATTCCCACTGAGCTGTGTGGTGGCCACCACTGCCTCCTATTTGGATGCAGAAGGTCAGTTTCTCTGCAGACAGACCAGCCCTTTCAGGGCCACTCTCCCGTGCACTCGGGCCCTGTAGCACCTCCCACCTCATCCTTCCTAGGGACTGAAGCCCAAAGCCTCTTACAAAACTGTCTTCTGAGGGCCCCTTGGCTGTCCTGTTTGTAAAACCATTCACAGTCAGCCATGCCTTTCATTTCCTTAATCTTAAATTGCATCAAAAAGGGAGAGATTAGAGGTAAAACCTCAATAAAGGACTGAACAAAAGCCTGCCCCCACTTCGGATTCTCACACCTAGCTTTGCCTTTTTCCCCTCCCTCTTCTCTGACAGACTGAGTGTATGAACCTTTTTTTTTTTTTTTAACTTAGATTAAAACGCTATTTAGAAAAGGCCCGCAAGTTTGAAGTCACCTCTGGTTCATACATTAAACATCAAATGTACATTAACTGTGAATTATGGTCATGAAAAGTAAATCCTTTAATGCCGTTTTCTGTGTTCCACTGCTGAAGCTTAGCATTAATGGCCTCTTTGCAACTCTGTGAATAGATGGACTTCTTATTTTCTAGCTTTCACCACCACACAGGCTTCTCTCTGTGCACCTGTAAACACACAGCCATGGGAAAAAGATTGAAGGGAAGTTTAAGCTCAGAAGCAGATCCACCTGGGTGGCAGGGGCCATTTATCCCCAATGGGCAGGTGGCCACACCTAGTGTAGGACCACACTATTTGTTCTTTCATAGACCCGGCTAGGATCAGCTTAATCGTTTGCTACATTAAGTTCTGAGGAATTGCAGTTATATAGGTGTCTAACTGGTAACTAGATCAAGCTATTGATCAGCAACCCTGACAATGGAGAAACAGGTTTTCACATGAAGAGTTTCTCTAAAAGGCAGGTTCGGAAGCCAGCTCCTGGGAAATGGTAAAGAATGACCACCACTGGGTTGTGGCATGGAAGCCATGCTCTTGTGTTACTGAATGATCTGACTTCTTTCTGCTGTACCAGGATAAGAAGCAAAGAGAAAGAGTGATAGATATCCAAAATGTTTACTCTCATGAGAAGGACCTTTCTCCATTAAAACTGTGGGAGCTCTCCCACAGTGGAGTAAGATGCAAACTACCTGCAGAGGCTTTTGCTACAATCTGATCTAAAGCCCGGGAGGCCAGAAACATGCCGCAGTTGTGGACAAGCCTTAGCAGGTTTTGAGACAAAATGAGGAGAGTCAGAATGAATTACTTCTCCTCCAAACTGGGTTAAGAGACAAGATTAGATAAAGTAGAGATAATGATAGAAAACGATTTAAAAAGGCATTGAATTGCCTTTCAGTGTTTATGAACCTTTAAAGCTTGCACTAAATTACACAAGTTATTTAAATACATTCTTTAATATTTATGCTTTGTTGTTTTAATAAAGACTTCTATTTTTAAATAAAAATGCATAATTAAGTGGAACAGAATATTTTCCTCTTTGACGTGCTTAATCATGCCTCTGGGAAGCTTAAGTTGTTCTGATTATAAAGTCCAGACACTACCATCTACTAAAGAGCAGCCTGCACTCAGTAGGTGCTTAATGAATATTTAATGATCAACTATTATGTGCCTGACCCTGTGTTAAGTTCTGGGACTACAATGGAGAGAGATGAAAAGGACATGGTCTCTGCACTAATGGAGCTTGTAATACAATGAGGGTGTCAGACATTCGTTCTACAAATGAGTGTAAGCTTCCAAAATGGATCAGTATTAGGAGAAATGGAAGCCCTGTCTGATGAGAGGGTATTACAAAGGAACTTAAACTGGTTGGAAAGAAGGAGAGATCGGGAAGGCTTTCCTGAGGATGTAAGGGTTGGGTGGGATCTGAGGGTTAAGTAGGGGATTGCTGGATAGAAAGAGAGAGGAAGAGTATCCCAGGTTGAGCAAATAGTAAGAGCAAAAGCCAGTGGGAGGAGGGAACATGGTGTATTTGGGGGTACCCAAAAGAAGGCAGGCAACTGGTTTGGCCAGCACAGGCTGTGCTGTGGACCAGGGGGGCACAGCTGGGCTGAGGAAGCAGAGTAGGAGCTGAAATCCAGCCCTGCTTTTCTTGCCAAGTGAGATCGCCCATGAGACACTGCATCAGCTTAGAGGAAAGGGCATCATTTTTCCAACTGGGCTGTCCAGAAGGGGCACCTTTATCTAATTCTCTGCAGAGTGACCCACGTGCTAACATGACCCTGGTGGCTGCAGTATATCAGGGGAGAGGGAGAGTGAGGCCAGGGAAGGCTGGAAAGGCATCCAGGGCCAAACACGCAGGACGGGGAGCCTGTGTTAAGGATATGAGCCTTTCTCCTGAGGACGAAGAGGAGCCAATGAAGGGTTTTAAGTGTGTATGTGTGTGATGAACAGATTTGCATTTTGAAAAGATCACTTGGGTTGCAGTGTGGAAAACTGATTAGAGGAGTATCAGAATGGAAGCGGGGTATGGTTTTGGGCAAAAGATCATGAGTATGATCTTGGACTACGGAGTTTGATGCATCTTGCAAGCATCCTAGTAGAAACGTCAAGTGGGCAGTGAACACAGACAAATTGGATGTATAGTACTTAGTTTCTTAGTTTTCAGTTGTCATACCCCCAGGTGTTGCCCCAGGGCATGCAGCAACTTAATCTGTGGGTCAATAGGGAAAGAGGAGGAAGCTAACTACAGGCAGGTCGGGTACTGGTGGTGTTCACCCTGGTGCTAACGCTGTTTCTCAAGTGATGGTGTCCGGTCCAAATCAGTGTCCCAGTGAACTCAGGAAAGCTGATAGATTCAGTTCGGTGAATGGATAACTCCAGCAAAGCTGATGGTTGCTATTAGGTTGGTGGTGACACATTGCTTCTCCTGGTGCAGGTAGTGGCAGAGCTTTAGACATTTCAGAGATGATTCTAGCCAGGGACCAGGGGTGGGTTGAACATTAAATATTCATCAAGATAAAGTTCTATTTATTTGGAAGAAAGACTGACATTGGACACATAAGCTGGAAAGTTCTAAAAGAGATAGATATGTAGATCAGGGCAACAGCGCTGGAAGAGAATTAGAGTGCAACTCTAGAACTAGACAGAAGGCAGCCATGGTCACTAGGAAGACAAGGTGAGCACTGGTGAGAAAGGTTAATCTCAGTGGGCCTCTAAAAGCTTCATGAGGCTTAGTCCTGGGCCCACTGTGTACCCAGCTTAAGGAAGCAAGGCCAATTTTAGACCTTCCACTGAAGATGGGGCTGGGCCCCAAATAAGTTACTAGGATTGGTCAAGACAGGAACAGGAACTGGGCAAATCTGAATCTGTAATTTGGTCTGCAGTACCTATAGGTGGGCAGGACTAGAGATGGCAGGGGTTCACAGCAATAAGATTAGCAACTTTTTGAACATAAACCTATAAATTGTAATAAGCAGTGTTTCGGCCGGGCGTGGTGACTCATGCCTGTAATCCCAGCTCTTTGAGAGGCTGAGGCAGGCAGATCACGAGGTCAAGAGATCAAGACCATCCTAGCCAACATGGTGAAACCCCATCTCTACTAAAAATACAAAAATTAGCTGGGTGTGGTGATGCACGCCTGTAGTCCCAGCTACTCGGGAGGCTGAGGCAGGAGAATCATTTGAACTAGGGAAGTGGAGTTTGCAGTGAGCCACAATTGCGCCACTGCACTCCAGCCTGGTGACAGAGTGAGACTCCATCTCAAAAAACAAACAAAAAAAAAGCAGTGTTTCCTTTCTCTTTCAGATTGGTTCCTAGACACTCTAGTAGCTCTATTAACTCTGTATAGAAGAGCAAAACTGTATGTAAATGTTTGTGTAGGTGCATGTGTGTATGTGCACACATGGGCTTTCTCTTCCTTAGCAGACTGGGATAAATTTTTCAGGAGTAAGGAGAAAGTTGGGGTCACCTAGTCCAGAGAAGAGAAGGCCAAGAAATAGAATCAAAGTAGTCATTCAATCCAGCTCCTTATTGGCAGGCAAGACTTATGCTAAACTTATTACTATTAATAATAATGCCAGGCACTCTTTTAAACATTTTATATGAATCAACTAATTTAATCATCACAGTAACCTCACAATACCTCTGAGAGGTCAGTTATTATTAACCACACTTTTTAGATAAGGAAACTGACACACAGCTGAGAGGTTAAGTAACTTGCCCAAGGAACCAAGAGTCAAATCCAAACAGTCTACTCCAGACTCTCATGCTGCAAATGATGAGAAAATCTACAAGTTCTCAAGGGCTGACTTACAGAAATGGTTTAGAAATCCTCCAAATTCTAGATTCTAGAATTGTGTGGGTTCAACCCTGTCTTCCCTTCCTCCTAGGAAAACTTGCAGGCCTTGTGAGGAGTAACTCAAGATGGAGGATGTGGATTACTCCGATGTCTGAGAATTGAGCCTTGGAGGGGCTGAGGGACTCGCCATGCAGGAAGAGGGTGTCTGGGTAGTGAGTGAGCCTGGCCAGGCAATCTCAGGGCTCCCCAGGCCACATCTCACAATAGGTATTGGGTACACACTACTTCCACCCTGAATCCTCACTGGCAGCCTCCCTGGTCCCCAACAAACAGATGTAGTCATGGCATCTGCATTCATTGTTCAAGAGGTAAAAGATAGTTTGTGTTGCATTATCATTATTATTAATATTATTATTATTGAGTCAGGTCTCGCTCTGTCACCCACGGAGGAGTGCAGTGGCATGATCATGGCTCACTGCAACCTCGAACTTCTGGGCTCAAGCAATCCTTCCGCCTCAACTCCTGAGTAGCTGGGACTGCAGGAGCTGTAGTCCCATGGTGGCAGGGACTATAGCACCTGCCACCATGCCTGGCTAAGTTTTTCTATCTTTTGTAGAGATGGGGGGGGGATCTCACTATATTGGCCAGTTTGGTCTTGAACTCTGGCCTTAAGCAATCCTCCTGCCTCTGCCTCCCAAAATGCTGGGATTACAGGTGTGAGCCACGGCACCTGACCCACATTCATCTCCTTAAATAACAACCTTGGACCCTCTACCACTGCCTCTATTCTTTCCAGAAATCTCTCTCCATAGTGGATCACAGACTAACACTTATTATGACCTGTTTAGAGAGAATGAAAAAACTACCAGGCAAGTTACAGGTACATAGCTTAGTTATAACATATGACTTCATCTGGCTTATCACCCATGTCTGCCTTCTCAGTTTCAACCTGGTTCACTCCAGGCGAATAAGGTGATCATTTTGCCCACTTTGATTCTAGAGAGAAACAAAATTCCTTCCGGGGAGGTTTACTCCCTGAGCCAGCCCACTGGCAGAAGGGATCCTGCCATTGTTCAGCTGATACCCCATCCTGGCACTTCCCGAATGCTTATCCTTTCTCTGGCAAGTTAACTCTAGGCAGCAGCATCTCCAAGTCCCACCTTCATCTGAAGAGATCAGATCACTTTTCTTCGATTGAAATAGGCATGCAATTCTGACAAACATAAGACTTGGGAGAGGGGTCAGTTTCTACAAAGCCATGTTGAGTGTCTGTATTAGTTGTATTGGGAGAGCTTTTGCCCATGAGGTATTTCTTTTTGTTTTGAGTTTTCATCCTGTTTATTTTAGGAAAATAAAGATTGACTAGCCAGGTGCACCTCTCATCCTAAAGAAACACATTTGTCCATTATGTTTCAAAAGAGAGGTGAAATCTTCCTAGTTACTTGGAAGTCCTCTATTGGAGCCAAGGGCAGCAGGTCCAAAGTGGGAAACTAGACCTAGGGCCATCTACTGAAAATCTCAATCAGGTAGGAAATCTCAGGCTGTGATGGGAATGTGGATGGTCATTCTTCCAAAGTCCCATTTCCATTTTTCCCCTGTGTCTCTCTTTTAGATGAACAGACTTAATCAAAGATTGAGAGAGATGTGCTGGGATTAGATGCAGTTCGAGATGCAGCTGAAGAGTCTCATGCTTCATCTTTTCACTCCCAATATAAAAATCAAGGGAAATCCCATGGCGTGGGAAGAGATTCATTTGTCCCTTAAATAAACAAAACACAAAGCACTCAGGAATGTGAAGAAAAGAGCTCTGAGGAGATACAGTCATGAGGGGCTGCACGTGTAGCACCCAAAACATTCCTCTGGCTGGGTGCGGTGGCTCATGCCTGTAATCCCAGCACTTTGAGAGGCCAAGGTGGGTGGATCACAAGGTCAGGAGTTCAAGACCGGACTGACCAATATGGTGAAACCCCATCTCTACTAAAAATACAAAATTAGCCGGGCGTGATGGCGCTTGCCTGTAAGCCCATCTACTTGGGAGGCTGAGGAGGAGAATCGCTTGAACCCAGGAGGTGGAGTTTGCAGTGAGCCAAGATCATGCCATTGCACTCCAGCCTGGGCGACAAGAGCGAGACTCCATCTCAAAACAAAACAAAACAAAACAAAAGCATTATTTCTGAGTTTCTCCCTTTATCCCTGTCATACCTGACACTCAATTGTCCCTTTGGGCTCAAGACAGAAACAAAGGAAATTCCGTCTCCCACTTCCTCGAGTTATCTAGAGAAAGGCTATTCTAAAATTGAAAAAAAGCTAAATGGAAATGAAGAAAATACAAAAATTCACAATAATCTGCAGCTTAAAATACAGGTATTTGTGCAATAAATGATCCTAGTGATTGGGCAGGGAAGCCCAGCTTCACTCCACATGCTGTCTTTTGGGGTCTGCCAGAGGCTCTCTCTTTTAGTTCTGGAGCTGTTCCCCTTCTGAGCTCTGAGGTGAAGGTCTAGTCAGGTAAATGTCTGACAGTCCCTTATAGCTATTAGTAAAAAGGCGAGCTGCTGTCCCATCCCCAGGGAACGGAGCACCCCTTAACTTCCTCCAGGATCCCACCTATGAGGAGCGAATGCGAACAGTCCAAACACGCCATCTGTTCATTGAGGGGAGGGGTGAAAGAGCCTTTTCTTCCTAGGACCTTTGACAAATTCTGGCAGTGTCCACGGCACTGTAAAACAAAACAAGAGAAAATTCAAGCTCATGCTGCCAGTTCAGTTTATTTCGGTTTCTCCTTTTCTGCAGGCATCAGGTACATTATAGACAGGAAAATTGCATTTCAGAAACAGCACCTGTCAGAGCTAGGCAGGCAACACCCCCAGCCCCCGTCAGCACCAAATGCTTTTAATTAACTTTGGACACTTCCGTGCCTCGCACTTTATTTCTGAATGTTATTGAAAGTTGTCAGAACTTGTCTCACTTTTTTTCTTTTATTATTAATGTGTAAATACAATGCCTCAGGAGTGTTACTAAAACACAGAATCTAATCCCAGGAGATTAATTTATGAACGCAGCATAGGGTGAAGTTGCATCCTGGAGACTGCAAATTGATGTTGGTAAGAGCCACAAGCATCGGCCTCTCCAAACCCACGGGGATCCAGAAGGCCGAGGGGAGTGGAGGCAAGGAGGGATGGTGGGGGGAGAACGACTCTGCCGATTTTTGAGACACCCCCAGGAAATAGGACCTTAGGTTCCTCTTGGTGGGGCAGATGAGAGTAAGGCTACCTTTCTCTCCTGATGGGGCAGTGTCCCCTGCAAGTCCATCCATTAGCCAAGTCCATGGGCATTTATTGAGCACTTATGCCACATCAATCTATGCTCGGCTCTGTGGGAATCAAAACAAGCAAAGCAGTAGTTACTGCTTGTGATGACCTTATCTCTGTGGGGGTGGCGGGGGGAGTCAAACAGGCATTTGAAACTATTGGAGAACAAAGCCAGACTCAAGCAAGTATGGGATTGTGTGCAGCAGATTTTAAGTGCACAGTTCTGGTGGATAGGAGAGTCGGTGTGGACTGCAGTGGTCAAGTTAAGTCTGGAGCAGAGGAGTTGCTGGGTGGATATGCTAATCTCAAGCATAAGGCAGGGGAGTTAAGGATGGGGCGCCCAGGGTCCTTTGTGCGGAGCAGGGCAGCTTGGCTACGGTCATCTTTATTTCCTCGAAGGCCAGACAATCTGCGGGGAACGTGGGGAGGGCTCATCTGTTTAGAAGCTGTGCTTTAGGCAAGCTTGAGAAAACATCTGTCCATCCTTGTCCAAAGTGGGTAGCTAAGGACCCCTGGCAGAGAATCACCCATCTTGGGAGCTCTGAGCACCAAGGAGGAAAGCCCTCCGAATTTGAGCGGTGGTTCTCAATGGGAAAGAGAAAAGGAGTTTGCCCATAGCCAAGGGGAGAAGCTGGAGCAGGGTTAACCTGCGGCTTGGGGTTCAGTTGAGCAGGCTGGGCGCCCGGCATGGGAGGTAGAGGTAGGGAAGCTGGGCCTTCCCTTCGTCTTTTCTGCGACCAGGGACGGGTGGCACCTCGTGGTCCGCAGGAATACCTGTGTGGAGGGCTGGGGTTTGGCTCCTGCCGGCTCCTGGAGTATGCTGGGGGTCCACCCCCCGCCTCCCTGCGTCCCCTTCTCCAGCCTCGCCTCCCCAATGCGCTTCCCGCCTCTGCATCGCCGCCGGCCCCTTCACGCCTCTACCTTGGGCGGGTTTGGGGTAAGGGCCGCGCAGACCCTAAGGGAAGGCCCGAGGTCGCCGGAGCTCCTCCTCTCGCGGCTGAGTGAGGGTCTGGGAGGCCAGATGAAGGGAGCTGCTCGGCTGAGCTGCGGACCAGCGCGAGAGCAGCGGGCAGTGGCGGACCAGCGCCAGGGCAGGGCAGGGGTGGACAGAGGGCTCTCCCCACCCTTCCCTCCTCCAGTGAAAGTACCAGAAGAGATGGCGGCCGCTCCGCCGAGTGTCATTACCGCGGAAGCAGCAGAAGCCGGCGGCAGGAGCGGGCCCGAGAGCCCGCGGCCAGTGGCCTGCGCACCCCGCGCCCAGCGCCCCCGCCGCGGGTCATCAGTGTCAGCGTTGAGGGGTCCCGGGGAGCGGTTGCAGGGCGGCGGCGGCGGCCGGGTCATCAGAAGCACAGTGGAGCCGCCCCCTGCTTTGGGAGGAGCAAAAGAGCCTCTCGCTTGCCTCCCGCTCGAGCTCCTTCTCCTCTTCCTTTTCCTAGCGCTTCTCTCCCTCCCTCGGCGGGGTCCGCAGAGACAGCTGGGCAGGCGGAGGCTGCGCGCCTCTCGCACCTCCACGCCCACCCTCCCGCCGCCCCCCCCTCGGCCTGAAAGATCTGCGTCCACACCACCCTGCACCCAGGGCCCGTCAGGTTTTGCAGAAGTTTGCTGAGGGTCCTCACAGGGGGTCTCCCAGGGGAAGGGGTGGAGGGCTGGAGGGGCCGCGGTGGGAAGAGGTGGCAGACGCCGCCTGGCAACGGAGACCCTACCCTTTCTAGAAATTCAGAACGCAGAGAAACCAGTGCCCAGCCCTGCTCTTCAGCAAACGGTGTATTTCAGCCCGAGTTTCCTTCCGGGGGTTTGGCTGTGAGTGTGTGTGACCTCCCAGATGGCGGCACGGTTCAGATCCCATGCTCCCTCTGTTTCACAGCTGCCAGAGACAGACTCAGGGATTCCGGGCTTTGGAAGAAGGTCAGACCATGACCTCCTATCTCCTGTTCTCTTCTCCCCTCACTCATCACCCGCTGGCCACCCCACTCTCTGCACCCCACCATGCATGCTTACTGTAGACCTAATCACTAATTAGCCCAAGGGTTGACTGAGCGTGCTGGTGAGAGTAACAGGAGGCAGGTGGATGGGGAGGTGTGATGCTGCGCGCATAGTAGGTGCTGAAAACATGCAAGGGCACGATGCACATAAGCTAGACAGAGCCCTTGGTCCTGCTGGGTGCTGGGGGAGTGAGATTCAGAGCAGCAGACCATCAGCCGGGTAGACAGAGGTCATGGCCCCAGCAGCTCAGCCCCATTAGCTAGGCTGGTGGGAGGCAGCCAGTGCTTTTGAGGGCTCAGACAATCCCTGCGATTCAAGGGCTGCTCTTTGGAGCTGCTGCCAAACTAATCTCAGGCCTGCAGTCTTGGGCCTTTCCTTTAGTCTCAGCCCACTTGCTGACTCTGCCCTTCAGAGGAGGCCCACTGCCTCCTCCTGGGGCTGAGGATTAACCCCTAAAAACTGAGTTTTGTTTGCAGAGCTATCTCCAAAGCTGAGGGAGCCTCTGGAGTCTCCTGTTCTTGCTGCTTGTTGACTAGGGGGATCCTTGAGGTCAGATGGTGCTGGCAGCAGCTCAGCCCCTAGCCCCAGACACATATTCAGTCTGCAAATACAGCAGGAAATCTTTCTCACCTGGCCCAGCCATCAGTCCTGGCTTGCCCAGCCCTGCAGGGCACTGCCTAGTAGGCCTTTTCCTACAAGCTCAGCCCCACCCAGCTACGGAGCCTGCCCTAATTGGGCTAGGAGGGCACTAGCACCTCCCTTTTACTGGTAGGGGAAGTGCTGTACTCAGATGTCTGCCCACAGATTCAGGATCCAGTATGTTTGTGGCAAACACCCTTCCCTTGATCACCACTAAAGTGGTTCCATTCCTAGTGCTGGGACTCTGCCTTAGTTTCCTAATTAGCACTACAGCCCCCTGAGCTCCAGTCCCATCTGACTGAGATACTGGCCTCCTCTTGGGCCCTTTCCCACCCACATCCCAGGGAGTGGAGCCTGTTCCTCTTGGCTTCAGGACACTACTGAGATCATGGTTTGCCAGGCTGCTCATTCACAGCCACAGCTGTGTTGCTTTTCTGCCTTTGAGGGTCTTTGCTGCCAGCCCCCCACTAATTGTTGGCCTCCCCTTTCCCCATGGGTACCAACTGCATGCTGAGTCAAGCTGAAGATCCCCTGCTCTACTAACTCAGTCTGCCCCCTATAGCCTGTCAGGCTCCCTGTACTGTCTCTGCATCTTCTCTGGCTTGATGGAGAGCAAGGAACAACAGTGAGCTTTACAGTTCCTTCTCTATTTATGTATTCTGCATTATAGCCCTCTAGATTTCGAACCCCTCACCTGGGCTGAGTACCTTACCTTTCAGTAGCCCTGATAGATGAGGCTCTTCTTTGAGAATCTGAGGGGCGATTATGAGTGAGAATCACTCGTAGTGGTTATACCACTTAATTGGGTGCTTTCTTGGAGACAGCTACTGTTCTAGGCACAAGGTAACAGTGGTGAGAAACCAGCAAAACAACCCAAGGTACAACATGAGAGAAGCTATAACAGAGGCAGATGCTAGCAAGAGAGAGGGTGAGTCGGGGAACCTCTGACCTTAGACTTCATCGCATCCATTAGTCCCTCCCAGTCTAACCCCAAGTAGATAAAGTGGTCAGGGGAAGGAAAGGGAAGAACAAGAACAGAGCTGAACTGGATACAGGGAGCCAGTGTGGGTCGGGAAGCACCCAGATTTCCCACTGCGTGCTTTGTGCTGTGTGGGTTGAGGAGAAAAATAACCCTGTATTTGACTACCCAGAGCTTAATTGTGATGGAGGTAACAGAGTCTTAAAGTAAGTAACTCTAATAGAAGGCAGATGATAAAAGTGCTATAATGGGTGTAATCAATATATTACTAATATATGGGGAAGTGGGCACTTTGCTGAAAAGTTTTGAGGGCGACTTCATGGAGATTTCCTTGATGATATATCGTTATTAAACATTACTCTCAAATAACCTGTATCTCACACATGGAGTAGGATGGTAAATTATTATTTGCAGTGGATATTTCTATGTTTGGGCACCCTGATATCCTCCCTGGCCACTTTTTTGGTAGTGATAGTATACCTTTTTTTTTCTTTTTTTTTGAGATATATTTTCCATGCAACTCTCAGCACCTTGAGTTTGATGGGGCTCCTTCCGTCATTCTTCCCCTTCAGGTGGAATTTGAGACTCAGGGGTAAACCCAGTCATCACACTCCAAGGCCTAAGGTTTGGCGATTGGCTCAGGGATGAGTCCATAACCCAACTTGCCCAGTGAGTGTCTGGCTTAGGACTTAGGTGAATTGTTGGGGGATGAGGTAGAGGAAGAGCAGCCTTTTCTCTGTTGGACTTGGGACTAATACAGCTGCTGTCATCTTGCTGCCACCAAGCCTTGAATGACCTGGAGCCAGGACATAGGAAGCCCAGTCAAGGGATGGCCAGAGAGAAACTTGACCCTGGAGAGAGTTTCATGAGCCACCAGCTAGATTCCCAAAGCCAGGCCTAGCCCTGGATTTCTTAATTATACAATCCAATAAATTCCCTCTATTTAGGCACTTTGGTTGGATTTTCTATGACTTGTAACTTATAACCAAAAATGATGTAAGTGATATATGTTTATTGGGCCCCTCCCATGTGCAAAGCCCTGTGCTCAGTGCTTCTAACTATAGCCTTTCATTTGATAGGTAGCTATTACTCTCTCTGTGTTCAGACAAAGAATCAGAGTCTCGAGAGGTTGAGACTTTGGGAGATAGGAAGATTACCCTGGGACAGAGATTTCGGAAGCTCATCAGGGCCTTAAATGGTCCCAGCCTTCAGGGAAAAATGTCAAGAAAGGAGATTTCAGTAAAATAACAAGTTCTTTTTCCAGATTCTCAGCCCTCTTCTTTCCACTCTTCCTGGCATGACTGTTGGCCCTCTCAAGGCATGAGAAGAGGCAGGACTCATGTTGTTGGTAGATATACAGATTCTGTGGGCTGGTAAATTTGTGGTTCTGTTTTCAAGGCTAAGGTTATTGCTGTAAGACATCAATATCAAGGGACACCAGGTCACCTGATTGGGGGGGAATTGTATGAGGATAGCAAGAAGCTTCAAATAATTATGCCAGCCTGCTGAACCTCATGCAGTCTCTGATTGGCACAGGAAAGTTTTCTAATTCAACTCTCGACCTGCCCTGCTCATGCCAGGGGATCCTCCGGGAAGGGTAGAGTTAATGACCAACCTCCTTCAGGAAAGAAAAAGGCTTCAACAACAAAACCCAACAGCACGGAGGGAAGAGACGCAAGTTACCAGCCACAGAAGCTTAAAAAGGAACCCACCCACAGCTCTCGCTACAAATGCTTTTAGCCACACGTTAAATCTTCCCTCTAATGGCACCCCCTGTTAAACGAGATATGTCACCCGACCTGAGGAGGCTGACTTGAAAGGCAAATAGTTGGAAGTGGTTCCACACGTTATTAGTGAGAGCTGTTCTCACATTTCTGGCAAAAATAATGGAGCTGAGGTCTGAAGAGATGACTAATACCTCCCCATTACTGACCCAAGGCCGGGCATCACATTGTAATCCTGGCCACTCGGCTGGCCCTTCAAGCATATTTTTCAGTGCTTGTCCTCTGGGTGCTTTCTGCTGGAGGACTCTGTTAATGTTAACCTGGGCTGCCCAGCCATTGAAATGAGGAGGCTTTTCCTTCACAGGACAGCTTTCGTCTCCATGGGGGCAGGGGAGGAAGGGCTAGGGCCACCCAGTGCAGAAATGATCCACCCTGATGACTGGGGTGGGTCCCCTGCCTCAAGGAAGAGCTGCATTAGTCCTGTCTCAGACGCCACACAGGAATCTGTCCTGAGCCTAAGTTTATCCAGAGTCCTATCATATTCTTTAATAGCCTTTACAGGCATTTTACAGCCCTTCCTGTCTGGAAGTTCTCTGGGTTTAATCTCAAGCTCTCCTGTTAAGATGTTAACCTGTGTCTCCTTCTTTTCCTCCTTCAATAGAATAGGAGAATATTAGATGTATACATGTTAAAGAGTGAATTTAACAAAAGCTGACATTTACTGAGAGCTGACTACGTGCCAGTTGCTGCACAGGGTGCCTCGTGTGCATTGGCTCCTTTAATATGTGCACAGACACAGCTATGGCTTGGGTTCCCAGTGACCTTGGGTTGATGTCTCTATCTAATGGACATTTTTTACTCCTCATTTCCCTTGACCTTGCAGTGATAGTACACCTTCCTGACCACTCTCTTTCATTGAAATGCCCTCCTCCCTGTTCACTGGGAGATGATGCTCCTTTCTCCCAGAGCATAGTCCTATGCTCCTGGATTCCTTTCTTCTGTCTGGGGGGCTTTTCCCCAGTCTCTGTGGCAGGCTTGTCCTCTTCTGCTATCTGACATCTGCACAATGGGGCTCTTCAAGTTTTGGCCCTCACTTCCTCTTACTCTATATTCTCCCCCAAAGGTGATCTTTCCCATGGAATTGGCTTTAATCATCATCCATATGCCAAAGACTCCCTCATTTGCCTCCAAATCAGACCTCTCCTCTACACTTTAGAGCTGTATTTCCAACAGCAAACCTGAAATCTCCACTTAACCATCTTGAAGCTGCCTCCAACTCAATATTTTTGAAACTGAATTCACTGCCTTCATTCTCAGTCTTGGCTCTCTTCCATTATTCCTTTCCTCCATGTATAGAAATGCTGTGTTTTCATTTGCACAAACTAGGAACCTGGGGTCCCCACTCTCTCTGCCCTCTTATCCAGTTGACCACAAGGTCTCTGCTGATTTTACTTCCGAATGATTACTTGGCTCTCTTCCTTAGCCTTCATTCTCTGCCACCACCACAGGCTAAAGTGTTACAGTCTTCTGCTGGTTCCAGCTTCCTCACTCACCCCACACATGCCGACCCCTCTAGTTATTCTCCACACCGCAGAGGGCTCTTTTCAACTCAAATCCTGAACTCTGCAATGGTCTCCCATTGCTCCTAGGGTGTAGACCAAAATCCTTAGCAAGGCCCCACGTGACCTGTCCCTGCTATTTCCTTGGCCTCCTCTTATGTTCTTCTCTCCTCACTTTCTGAGCTCCATTGCATGGCCTTCCCTTGGTTCCTTAATCTACACTCCTGCATGCCTCAGGACTTTTGTGCGTGCTTCTACTCCTGATGCATTATTCTTTCTTTCCCCTTTGCCAATTTAATCTTTGACTCACTCTTCAGCTCGTAACTTGCATAGCTTCTTGCATCAGCTTTCCGTGATCTTTCAGATCAGATGAGGTTTCTATGACATGCAATCGGCTTCCTGCCAGTGCTTAGAACAGGCTGCTCCCTAAATGCCACTGTACAACTGTTTGTCCAATGAACTCCTCCTTCGTTATGTACCCAATCACCAACCTTGAGGGTCAGACCTCAGAACCTGCTGCAATGCCCCTATTTTCCTGGGTAGAGGAAAGGAAGAGGATCCCCTCTCAGCTGTGAAAGCTCCAGGGGAATCCAGCATTTCTATCTGCTATTTTGCCCCAAGGGTCATGGATCCCTCTAGGATGTTCCCTGATGCTTGGGTCCCTTCTTCAGTCTTGTGGTCTGTCCACACCTGGTCCCTGCAAGTGCTTCTGACACCCTTAATGCAGATTTCCAGGACCATCTTATTGGTGAAGGAGGAAAGCTCAGGAGGCTGGTCCAGCCTAGAAAAGGAAGGGGCAGATCTGACATCTGCTGCTGGGGCATCATTTTTTCATTACCTTTATGCCCAGAGTAGGCATAAAGAGTCCCAGATGCAGGGGATACCTCTGTTTCTCTTCCTCTTGCACCACTAGCCCATCAGCCTCCCCATCAGGCAAATGTGAAGCTCAGAAGCCACAGAATAGGCCACACATACTCCTGGCGTTCCTCTGTAACCCCACCCTCCATCTGCTGACTCAGGGGGTCCTCAGAGGACTATGCTGGCTTCCCAGTTCTCTCTTTGGACAAATTCCCTACTCCTTTTGTAAGATTTAACCTGATTTATTTTTTCTCTTTAGAGCATTTACCTTCTCGTATATAAATATTGGGCAGTGGGATTCGAGTTTGCATTACATGCATAGAAGTAGTGACAGCCACGGCAGTAGGTTTATTTTTAAATAAAAATTGGAAAGTTACGAGGCTCCTGAGGTTTTCTGCATTTTTATTTTTCATTCAAAAGAGAAAAAAGGGAACAAAGAAAAGAAGGATAGGGGAAAATACAGCCTGTGTTTCTGCTTCCATTTTTCAGAGTTCCTTGTCTTCATCTCCCTTCCTGCTTCCCTTCTCTGGCATTTGGCATCTCTGTAAAGAAAGGAAAGGAGTGATTACTTCTAAGAAGGGAGTGGGGGAACTGTTCAAGGCAAGCATTAGGCATGCCGCCCCTGAGCAAGTCGCATGCATGGTAAAATATTACCTTAATAACATACTCACGGAGAGCTATGTGTAAATGGTAACAGCTGCTTTTGTGATGACCGTGTTATAAATGATTGCAGCCCTGATCATTAATAATGCATTTGAACAATAACAACTTGATTCGAAGGAAGAACTACAGCCTTTCATTTTTTTCCTGGCTCGCAAATTCACTCTTGCTGTTGTGCGAAGTGACTGGGCCCTAAGATTGAAGGCCCACACTGGGCCTTCAGAAATGGGGAGCATTTCAGCTCAAGCTGGTCCCCAGCCAGGCAAAACAGGGATTCTGGGGCGGGCCCACCTCAGTGCTTTTCCTACACCCACAGCATTGACCTTTCAGTTAGCATGCCCTCTCTAAGCCTCTCCACCTCCCCTGGGACCCATAGCATCAGAAACCTGCCACTCTGCTGATCGTTGAAGGGTGGACTCCCAGGAGACATCAGGATCCTAGAAATTTCCCAGCAGTCGGTGTTGACTACTGCAAGAGCTATTTTTCTTTAATGTGTCTGAAATTATTGTTCTGCTTAAAACACAAAGTTCAAACTCTTCAGGGTGACATATTAGGGACCCTCACAGTCTAGCCCCAAATATTTGGCCACATCTCTTGCTGCTCCCATTCCACACTCTATTCTAATCACCCCAAACTTATTAGGGTTCCAAAAACATACCCTGCTATTTAAGACCATTGTACTTTTGGATATTCTCTTCTCTATTCTGTCTGCAGAACTCCTATTCGTCCTTCAAGATCCTGGTCAAATATGCCCCCTTTCTCCACCTCCCCAGGGCAGAGTTAATTGTTCTATCCTCTGTGATCCCACCTATACTGTAGCACTTTGCACATGCCTTGACTATAGCATTACTCATACCACACACAGTCATGCTTGATTTACATATTGATTTTCTCCATGGGCTTTGAGCTTATTAAGGGCAAGAAGTATGTGTTGCGCTTATTAAGGGCAAAAAGTTTGTGTTAGTATCCTTCATATTTCTGATCCCTAGCCCGGTGCTCAGTAGTCATTAAATATTCAATAAGTGTGGAATGAATAAATAAACAACCACCCAATAAACATCTTTCTATTTTCTATGTGTGATGATATTTTGGGCCCCTGGATCCTAAGCTGGCATCAGGGACTGTTCTAAAGGCTAACTCCTGCCCACTTGAAACATTGTGCTCTTGGGCTGTGTCAGCCCAAAGGTGTTCAGCATTTACTAATGTGAAGAGGAAGGTAGCCCCTTAGCCTAGCCATTTACCATGCTACTTAGATGATAGCCTGTCACTGCCTGCTCCCTGAAGTCAAGGGTTTATTCTAAAAGTGTTTTGCCCCCTGTATCTCCATCTCTTCTATAGTACTTGAATTTCCCATAATGTATTACTACACTGGGAAAGGTCTTGATGTACCAAAGACATGCACTTTAGGTAAGTTACCAATATGAGGACACATATTATTTGATTCATTTTAGCATGACATCCTATATAGGGCAAACTTCTGTTGTTTCTAGTTTCTACTCCTCTCTTCATCTACTATTTTTTATATTTGTTTGTTTTTGTTTAAATTTTTTATTTCAATGGCTTTAGGGGTACAAGTTGTTTTTGGTTACAGGATGAATTGTGTACTGGTGAGGTCTAGAATTTTAGTGCACCTGTCACCTGAGTAGTATACATTTACCCAATAGGTAGTTTTTCCTCCCTCACTCTCTTACCATCCTCCCCGTTCTGAGTCTCTAATGTCCATTATGTCACTCTTTATGCCTTTGCATACCCATAGCTTAGCTCTCAGTTATAAATGAGAACATGTGGCCTTTGGTTTTTGATTCCTAAGTTACTTCATTTAGAATAATGGCCTCCAGTTCTACAAAAGTTGCTACAAAAGACATTATTTATTCATTTTTATGGCTGAGTAGTATTCCATGGTATATTATATACCACCTTTCTTTATCCACTCATCAGTTGATAGACACTTAGGTTGAATCTTTGCACTGATCAATTGTGCTGTCGTAAATGTGTGTGAAGGTATATCTCTTTGATATAGTGACTTCTTTTCCTCTGCGTAGATACCCAGGAGTGGAATTGCTGGATCAAATGGTAGATCTACCTTTAGTTCTTTAAGAAATCTCCATACTGTTTTCCATAAAGGTTGTACTAACTTACATTCCCACTAGCAGTGTATAAATGATCCATTTTCACAGCATCCATGCCAACATCTGTAGTTTTTGATTTTTTAATAATGGGTTAAGGTGGTATCTCATTGTGGTTTTAATTTGCATTTCTCTGATGATAGTGATGTTGAGCATTTTTTCATATGTTTGTTGGCCATTTGTATATCTTCTTTTGAGAAATGTCTATTCATGTCCTTTTTTCACTTTATTTATTTTTTTTTTACTGAGATTATTTGCTTTTTCTTCCTGATTTGTTTGAGTTTCTTGTAGATTCTAGATATTAGTCCTTTGTCAGATGTGTCTCTTCTCATTGACTCTTGCTTTCAACTTCCAATTCTGGACCAGAGTTTTTTCTTGAGGTTCCTTGACCATTGGGAAGGTAAGATTCTTCCTCCCTAGGCCCTAAATTCATTCCCCCACACAGCCATCTAAACCCAAGTGGGATCCCTCTGCACCGAGGCCTTGGAACTGCAGTTAGACCCTACCTTGTCTGGGCATAAAAACTCCAAGGTTAGTTCCCTGAAACCAGCCCTGTTTTAACTACTTCTTCCTGCTCTAAAAGCTTTTTCTTGCTTTCTGCCTCTTATGATCACACTCTAAAACCACTCTCGTCTCTTCCTGTTCTAAAACTCCATCATCCTTTCCGAATACATGTTTTCTCTACAAGTCCTAATTTTTTTACAACTCTGACCTCGGAGCACCACTTACTCCATCTGTTCTTTCTGGCCCAGGTTTCCCTCAGAATTGCTGATCTGAAGATTCATTTTCCACATTAATTTCTCTCTTCAGAGTAAAAAAAAAAATCAGAAAACATTTGCACACCCACAGGTTCATGAATTTATTTTATTTACTTATAAATGGCCTTCTTTCAGAAGACCTTCTGTGAAGATGCAAACAATATGGCAAGAGAAAATAAACTAAAAATAAGTTTAAAAACAAAAAACAGGCAAATGGAAAGCAAGGCTAGGAGGAGGCAGTGGAGTCACGGGTGAGGTTAGAATGCTCTGTGGACGTCATGGAGTCCTAGTTACCTGCTGGTGGTGGCCATGGAGTTTATTATAGGCAGTCCCGTGGTCAACACAAGAGAGAAATGAGATCATTTACAAAATTCAGTATCCAGGAGACAAAAATGAATCTAAATTGCTTATAAAAACTGCAACTGTTTATGGTACCAAGACTAGAGAAAAATTTCTACTCTGAGTCTTGGGCTAGGTTCTCATGTTATAATAAGTTCTTACAGCATTCTCAGTCCAAACCTCATGAATGTTTTCTGTACACACATCCTTCTAATCTGTAAAGTTTAGCAAGTTTTAACGTAGTGGTGATGTTGAAAGGATATTCAAGTTTGAACTCAGTGATCTTGGGACTTCCTTTCAACCTGAGTGTCTAAGTGTATTGATGTTTATGAAGCCATGTAAGATGTGGTTCCTGCCCTCAGGGAATTTACACTCTCATAAGATAGCTAGCTGCTCTCAGGTCTGAGTACACAAGAGAATCACCGAGGTTACAGGCTGGAAGTGTAGATTCCTTGTGCAGAGCCTGATAACCTGCATTTTAAACAAACACTTTCATGATTCTGATGCAGATGTTTCAGGTAAGAAATCTCATGATGGGAATCCTGGCATGGGTCATCGATCCACAGTGCAAGGTATCACATGCTAGATATCGCACAAATGTTAAAAGCAAAGGATGGCAGGAGTCTAAAGTGATAGGAATCACTTCTAGCTGGCATGCTAAGAGAAGAAGATGGTGGTCATGTTTGAGCTGAGCTCTGAGACATGAGTAAGAGCAGACACAGAATAAGCTGGGAACACTTTCATGCAGAGGAAACAGACTAGGCAAAAAGGTGTAAAAGTGCAGTGCTTGTTCAAGGGAAAGCAAATAGATCAGGTTGTCTGGAGTAAAAAGTCTGTATAGAGGCAATAGTAGGAGATCAGGCCAGACAGGTAGGTTGGGGACAAATTATGGAGGGCTTTGAATACTAGACTGATGAGTGTGAGCTTTACCCAGTAGGCAGTGAGGAATCATTGAAGACTTTAGAGACCCAGAATGATGTGATCAAGGTAGCACTTGAGAAAGATTACCTTGGTGTTGTGTACAGAATGGATTCGAGAGTAGGAAGACTGTATAGGGATTGATACCTAAAAGCCACCTTATACATGTTTGTTGAATAAAATGTTTGAAAAGAGCAAAGAAGAGGCTGTTGCTGAAATCTAGGTACAAGGTGATAAAGGCCTTAAGGAAATAAGAATTAAAAATAAAGAACAAGGGAAGAATCCTAGTGACACCAATAAAGAAGAAATTACAGACCACGATAACCTGCTGTGCAGGATGAAGGAAAGAAAAGAGTCATTGTTTGCTCTGAAATTTGGAGCCTGAGCTAGCAGGGGAGTTGTGGGTCCACGCCTGTACCAAGAAGATCAGAGGAGGCCCTGGATGTGGTGAAAGCTGATGAGTCTTTAAATTAGGAATGTGCATTGGAGCTCACAAGAGGCACTTGGGCTCACAATTCTAGTCTGGGAAGAGGGGGCTTCTGTAAAACTTCAGGCTAGAAGGTGTTGTGGCATACCTGGCACATGGCCTCAAGCAGTGCCCACACTTCCGTGTTGGGAGAATAAACAGGAGCCATCTGAGGAGACACAAGAATGGTCACAGCAGTATGGGGACTCATTTAGGATAGTGTCTGCCATTCAAAGAAGTGGAGCTTTGAACGAAGGAAGGCTGTGGGATAAGGGCTGTGGGCTGCAGACAGGTGGGAGCTGAGAGAGCACTGTGGGATTCAGTGCTTACGTCCTCACTGCTGACCTTGGTGACAGTAGGTAAAATGAGCAATAGGGATGTTGTTTCATTTCCATTTATCGGGTCCCCAATTAGACCTGGAGCCCTCAATCCATAGGCATATTTTTGGAATTTTTTTTTGGCCCCAACTCCACTGGTTCCTTCTATTGCTGGCTCCTAGCTAGACCTACCTGCTCCCTTGTCTTGTTCCATTTGTCAAGAAAAGACCTTTAATGCCCATTTAAAAAGCTTGTTATGGCCGGGTGCAGTGGCTCACACCTGTAATTCCAGCACTTTGGGAAGCCGAGGCAGGTGGATTGCTTGAGGCCAGGAGTTTGAAACCAGCCTGGCCAACATGGCGAAACCCTGTTTCTACTAAAAATACAGAAATTAGGCCAGGTGCAGTGGCTCACGCCTGTAATCCTAATACTTTGGGAGGCCAAGACGGGCGAATCACAAGGTCAGGAGTTCAAGACCAGCCTGGCTAACATAGTGAAACCCTGCCTCTACTAAAAATACAAAAAATTAGCTGGGCATAGTGGCGGGCACCTGTAATCCCAGCTACTCAGGAGGCTGAGGCAGGAGAATCGCTTGAACCCGGGAGGTGGAGGTTGCAGTAAGCCAAGATCGCACCACTGTACTCCAGCCCAGGTGACATAGTGAGACTCCATCTCAAAAACAAAAACAAAAACAAAACAGAAATTAGCCAGGTGTGTTGGCACACTGGCACACACCTGTAATCCCAGCTACTTGGGTGGCTGACGCACGAAAATCACTTGAACCCGGAAGACGGAGGTTATAGTGAGCCGAGATAGCACCACGCACTCCAGCCTGGGTGACAGAGCGAGATTCCATCTCAAGAAAACAAAAACAAAAACTTGTTCTGTGTCTGAGAGTAGTGAGAGTAGGCTCTATGGCTATCCCATTATATTTATCAAGACTCTTGGGTTGCAAGTAACAGGAATGCAATTTAAATTATCTTTTTTTTGAAGAGGATTTACTATCTAGCACATGTAACTGAGAATTTACCAACACATGTAATTGAGTAGTAGCTTAATTCAGCTACTACTGGATTACAGGATTCACATGATGCCATTAGGATATTTTCTCCCTATGTGCACACTCTGTATGTCTCTGCTTGGCTTCATTGTTTCTTCCGAAGAGAGGCCTTCTCCAAGTGTCAGGGAAGGTTTACATCTATAGCCCCATCTACCACACTCAGACTGAAAAAAAATCCCAGGGAAGGACTCTGATTGGGCAGACATGGTCCCATGCCCACGCTTGGGTGAATCGCTGTAGCCAAGTGGATGAGGAGCAATATTGGCTAGACCTGGACTGCTGCTACTAGGGGTGACTGGCATCTCATTAGAATCACGTGACTGACATGGCAGAGCAGTAGTTCCCCCAAGGAAGGAGGCATGGGTGCAGGTGACGGTGCTGGGGGTCAGTTCAAAGCCATAGATGTCCAATTATACTACATCTGCTTGGCAAACAGCTTCTCTGTCACCCTATGACTGTAGCGTAGCTAGAGGGTGACATAGCTCTCACTTGTATTCCCTTCACTGCCCCAAATTAGTGGGCTGAGAGCTGAAGTGGAAGCTGAATGCCAAGGCTTCCCCCTCCTTCTCTCTGAGTTCACTTTGTGACAGCCATCATCTACCCATGCAGGTGTCTCCTGATTTCCAGAGGCCTCAGGCTGGGGTGGCAGGGGAGGCTTAGATCAGGGCAGTGATGAGTTGGCTGAGGTGTGTGGGAGTCGAGGAAGAGCCAGCCCAGGCTGCTGAGCCAGGCAAGATGAAGGTGCACTGAGGCAGGAGCCTGAGGGCAGATTGCCCACTTGCTGCCTGAATCTGGCAGGAGGACCTGGTGCTTTCGGAGGGCCTGCGTTGACTTGCTCTGTGACCTTAGGCTAGACATTTAATTGCTCAGGGCTGCTTCCCCTCACTCTCCTATCTGGCAAACAGAAATAATGACATGACTGAACTGGCAGAAACTGTACCTTTCGAGGCGGGGTGTTGATTTGAAACTTGGTGCGGGGGAAAATGGCTCTCGGTCCACGCTGTACTCCTTGAAGCTCCTGGGCCTGGGCCCCAACCCTCTTGGCAGAAAGCAGGTCTCTGAAGATCTTGGACTTAAGATTTTCTGATTTCAGCTTCCTGAACCATATTGCTCTTGCCACTGAGCCAGGAAATGAATGACCCCTTTCACACTAATTGTTGAGAGTGGGTATGTAGTTTCCAAGGTGCTCACAAACATTTGCTTTCAGAACTGGGGTTTCTAGTGCCACAGAGGCCCTACATGAGGTACAGGAGTTTTGGGGTTGGTGAGTTTTTAATAACCCCTGTTCCTCCAAGCCCCCTCCTCTCCAGCTTCAGTACTAGGAACAATCATATGATGCTTTGGGAGAGTATTTATATGACACAGAACAATCAGATTACACATCAGAGAGATAGGTAAAATAGGTGGGAATACAGTCAAGCCAGGTGGAAGATTTACTTGCAAATTAAGACATGCTGTCAGTCTTTACACTATGCCCTATCAAGCCCTACAGCCATGGTTCTCAAACTTCATTGTGTTTACCAATCACCAAGAACGGTAGAAACAAATGCGTATTCCAGGACACCACCTCTAGAGAATAGACATCCGTAGGTCTGGTGAGGGATTCCATGAGCCTGCATTTTCAACCAGCACCTCACGTGACTCTGTGTGAGGTAAGGGGTAAGACTCAGGGCCCTTCACCTATGTTTAATCAGAACAGCTTAACCTTTATCTGCTTTGTACACTGAGGTTCTAGGCAAGAGGACATTAGAATAGGCTCATGGTCTAAAAGTAACTCGAAAGTGCTGAACGAAAGCAATGAAGTCACCTTGGTAAATTTAGAGTCTGGGCTTCTTAGCTTTGCATTCAAGGCTTTCCATGATCCGATTCCTTTCAATGTCATTTTAACCACAGGCAACTCAGTATCTCTGGAACATACTTTCTGCATCCTCATCTCTGTTCATGCAGTTACTCCCGTGGGGAATACAATTCTTCTCTCTTTCTGCCCTTCCAAACTTCCCTATCCTTCAACACCCTGATGGGGTCTTCCTTTTGCATGAAGCCTTCCAGGACTATACCAGAAATTGAGGGCCCCTGAGCACCCTGGAAGGAGGGCTGAGGAGGAAGCACAGAGCCAGGGGAGGTGGCGAGGGTGCACTCCCTGAGCACATTCCTCCATGTTACCTTTTCATGAAATGGGAAAATGAATCATCTTGACAGGATAGAGGTTCTGAATATGATCAAACACATCAGAGGCAATAGGGAAAGCAAGGAGGCCGGGCATGGTGGCTCACGCCTGTAATCCCAGTGCTTTAGGAGGCCAAGGTGGGTGAATTGCTTTGAGCTCAAGAGTTCAAGACCAGCCTGGGCACCATGGTGAAACCCTCTCTCTACAAAAAATACAAAAATTAGCCAGGCATTGGTGGCTCACGCCTATAGTTCCAGCTCCTTGGGAGGCTGAGGCTGGAGAATCACTTGAGCCCAGAAAGCAGAGGTTGCAGTGAGCCAAGATCGAAGGTTGCAGTCAAGCCGAGATCACACCACTGCACTCCAGCCTGGGCAACAGAGTGAGACCCTGTCTAAAAAAAAAAAAAAAAAAAAAAAAAAAAAGAATAGTGAAAGCAAGGTACAGGAAGTTGAGAAATCAAATGGAGGTAGGAAACCTTCTTCCTACCCCACAACCTGCCCCAGGGCTCCATCTCTGTGTCTTAGGTCCTCATGATGACTCTGGGCTGTGAGAGCCAAATGCTGGCCCAGCTGCAGCATACGAGAGGGCGGAGCAGATGGAGCCCCACTGTGCTTTCACCCCACCCCACTCCTCCCTGCCGCAGGCCTCACACTCTGGCTTGGTCAGCAGGATGAACATATGCTGCACTGGGCACTGGGGAGTGTGGATGGAGGTGCCCTTCCAGCCCAATGCCTGGGAAAATTCCACACACTTTCTGCTTCGTTGGGGGAGGAGAAGAGCAAGGAGCACAGAGCTGTCATCCCTAGAGCTGTCAGCTCACCAGAATGGGCATTCATTTTCAGAATAAATAATCAACTCAAAAAATGTACCAAATTCGTTTTCAAATTGGCTTGTCAGACACACATTTGCCCAGGACAAGTCGGTTGAATAAAATGTATCTTGGGGAGCAAGGTGAGCCGGCCTGCTCATTCCCTTAGGGGCATCTTGTAAATAAGGGCCATTCTTGAGGCCGGAAGCAGAGAATTCCCCAGCACAGATTGAATTCTGGCTTTGTCTTAATGAACGTCAATATTTATTACCAAAGGCGTTGTGCTTCTCGGAGTGATAGAGCATTTCACCATTTCAGCTCTCGCCTGTTGCCTTCCCAGGTACCAAATGCTATGTAATTGCTGCTCATAAAGGCAGCAGACAATATTGCCAAGGAAACTCACTCCCGGCTGTAAGTCTTCATAATCAGAACCAGCAGAGCTTTGCTTTCAGTTTGGACAGAGGGCCCCAGAGGCAGGGCCCACCCAGACCTTCTGGTTCTCCTGCATTGGTGGGAGACTCCCAGATACCCTCTGTCCAGGCAGGGGCTCTTTCTGGGATCAGGGATAGGGTATCAGCCAGCAAGGATTGGGAAGGCTGAGAAGTGACAGAAGTCACAGCCCCAACCCAACCCAGGACTGAGAGAGAGCCAGTCACTGATCACTCATCATACATTTAGAAGGGGCCTCTTGAGGTTGTCCCATCCAGCCCTCTCACTGCAAATGAGGAAGACAAGGCTCAGAGAAGGAGGGTTTTGTCAAAGTCATGCAGCTCCCAAGCCAGTGGCCTTCGCGTCTGGCCGTGCTGTCTTCTAGGGACTGAACAGTGAGCTCAGAAGGAGTCCCAGTGAGCTGGCTGCTGGCCGCAAGAGTCAGCGGCTCCAGGTTGGAGATTTTCCTTGACTTCTGGTGGGTCTGGAGCCCTGCTGCCAACAGGCCTGGCTTCCTGGGGCCTTGTCCAGATAGGTTGCTTTTTCCTGCTGATGTAAGCCTACTGCCTGCCCTGGGCTTTCCTGGCGAAATCTCTGGAAACCAACTCTGAACTCTGCCCCCAGCCAAAACATTCATAGGAGCAGCAATCCCAGCTGGAGAATTTATACAAGAAAACAGAGATTAGCTCCAGCTTTTCCTTGGGATGAGTAATCCATTTGTTTCTAGGAGGACTTTAGCTCTGGGGTACAACTGTCTAGGAGGGGCTTTGGTAGGGTAAAGGAAAGCCTGAAATGCCTGAACACAGGTCGGCAGGCTGGGACCAAGTTCGGCTTCTGGTTCTACTTCCTTTTCTCCTGCCAACTTGCTAAGGACAGAGATGGCCCCGGTGCAGAGACACAAAATGGGTTTTAGAGAGTGATGTCATGTGGTTCTCAGACACCAGAACGCTCTGCAGAAACTGCCTTGCTGTTGTTATGGGAGTTCTGTTGGAGAGAATTATAACTTTTGACAATGGACATCTCATCTTGCGCAGATGCGTCCTTTATAGAATCTGACAGCAAGATTACAGCGGCATCACAGTGTAATGGGGAGAGGAGTCAATAATTCTGGGGTTATTGATTGTAACCAGACCCATTCTTCTTTTTTAATTTATATTTTATCCGCTGTTTTAGACCTATTTTTTTTAAACCCATCCTGACAAAAGCACCTGCTGGATCAAATGCGGTTGATTACATTTTTTAAAATGAGAGGAGTAATTTGCTGTCCTTAGGAGAGTCTGGGACAAGGAAGTATGTGGCTGGTGGTGGTGGTGGGGGGGGGAATGTATGCAGAGAGCAGAACAGGGGGAGAGAGGTAGACAGGAGGGAGGAGGAAGGCATGACTCAAGGGAGGACATGAAGCAAAGCCGGGGGAGCTGGTGAGGACCCCTCCACACAGCCTAACCCTGATTTAAGCCCCACTCTCCCTAGGGCCAAAGTCTGATGAAGACTTCTTCAGAGAGTCAGATTTCCCATTGCTTTGTAGCCCCACTGGGTATCGGTACATCCCTGAGGACATATTCTTATCCTTCAGATCCCACTTCTTCCAGGAGATATTTCCTGATAAGGCAAGTGGAGATTCCGGCTGGGTTATGACGGGTGGAATGTGCACACGTACATACATATATATAGACTCAAATGTGTGCCCACATGGTATATCTTCATTACAGAATGTTTATACTTAGGACACAGCAGGTAACTTGATGTGTTATTAATTGTGGGATTAGATTCCATGGGATGAGCTAGTAACTTGTAAGCTCTTTAAAAAATTGATCATGTTTTGATGCCCCCAATATCCCCTTTATCTTTAATTCGCTGTGTAGTGTGGCATCATGAAAACAGTGGGCATTTGCTCAATAACTCTTGGAGAGTTAAATGATTATCTGAGCATATCTCTCCTTATGGAGAAGTGACCAGAGATGTCTCTAGTCATCAAAACAGGTGCACTGTAAGGATCTGATTCAATGACTACACTTCTATTCATTTCTATTCCAGTCGATGAGAACCCCTGGACTCTGTTTTAGATCACAGAATGCCCAAGTTCAGAGGAAACAAAGATTGCCTAGCCCAAACCTTTCATTTTCCAGAAGAGGAAACTGAGTCCCAGCAAGATCAAAAATGACTTGTGAAGGTCAACAATTGGTTTGGGTTAAAACTAGGAGCACTTCAGTGCTCTTTCCCCATGCAAAATATTTTCCTTCCTCTTGCTTCATTTTCTCCCATGGACAACAGCAGGACCTAATCACCTATGTCTCCCATAGATACTATCAGCCCTCTCCTAACACTTGCCAAGCTGAATTACAGAAAGTTCTTCCTCTTTGCTCCTATTTAATTCTAGCTGGATCTGAAAGCTGCAGGGGCTTGAAGAAAGCACAAGAGACAGAAATGGAGCTAGAATTAGTTTCCTTGTCACCCATTGACTCATTTTATGTAGGCCTAGACCACAATCTTCTAGGCCAGGACTGGTGCTGACATTCTGTGGGGTGAGGTTTTGAGGTCAGGTGAAAAGAGAAAGAAGGATCTTTATGTCATTGTGCTTTTCTGGCTGGGCAAAAATACTTCAAATGAATTCTGGATTGTATTTCCACATCTAGGATGTGGGGGAGATTTGGGAATGGTTAAAAGAGAGAGAGGGGAGCTTTTTCTCATGCATAGGCTTGAGGGAACATGAGACCAAGGAGACCCACAAAGATGACTGTGATCCACTGGCTGACCTTGACTTTGACCTCTTATATGCTTCCTTCATCTCCCCTACTGCCAGCCACTTGGGCCATCAGCCAGAAACTCACACTGTCTTCTTTATCTTCCCTGAGATGATAACATTTGCTTTGATGAAAGACACGAGCCTTTGAGTCATAAGCCTTGAATTAGAAACTAAGCTCTTGGGCTTGGTAGCTATGTGTCCTTCGGCAAGTCTCTTAATTTCTTGAAGTATCAGTTATTTTATTTGTAAAACAGATGTAATGATACTTTTACCTACCACACCACATCCCTCTGAGGCTCACCACTGATGGTTTGAATAATAACATAACATATATCGGAATGTGCCACATTCATGAAAGAGACTTCTTTTAAAAGCAAAATCAAACTATTTTATTATTTTATTATTATTATTTTTTGAGACAGGGTCTTACTCTATCACCCAGGCTGGAGTGCAGTGGTACAATCGTGGCTCACTGCAGCCTTGAACTCCTGGGCTCAAGTGATCCTCCCATCTCTTGCCTCCTGAGTAGCTGGGACTACAGGTGCACACAGCCATGCCTGGCTAATTTTTGTAGAGACAGGGTCTTGCTGTGTTGCCCAGGCTGGTGTCAAACTCCTGTGCTCAAATGATCCTGCCCACCTCAGCCTCCCAAAGCACTAGGATTACAGGCATGAGCCACTGTGCCTGGCAAATTTTTATTATTATTATTATTATTATTATTATTATTATTATTATTATTTGTGTCCAGAGATGGAGTCCCCTATGTTGCCCAGGCTGGAAAATTATTTTAGATTTACAGAAAGACTGTGAAGATAGTTCAGAGTTCTCATGTGTCTAGTGCCTATTTACTTCTATTAGTAATATCTTACATGAACATGGCACATTTGCTACAATTAATAGGCCAATATTCAGAAATTACTATTATGGCTGTAGTTTATTTAGATTTCCTTAGTTTTTCCTAATGTACCTCTTCTATTCCAAACCCCACCCACATTGCATGGGGAGGTGACATCCCCTGAGGCCTCTCTTGGCTGTGACTGTTTCTCACACCTTCCCTGTGTTTGATGACTTTTTCAGTTCGAGGGTTACTGGTCAGGCATCTTGTAGAATGACCCTCAAAGGTAGTATTTTTGTCTGTATTTCTCATGATTAGATGGGATTATGGGTTTTGGGAGGAAGACTCCCTAAGTAAAATGCAAGCTTTGTGACATGATATTCAGGGTACATCATTTAAGAGATTTTATTATATGTATTGATGTGATTTTAGAGTTGTCCTTTGTCGTTAAAAAAGAGTTGTGACTCCCGTTTTAGGAACCCCCCGTTTCTGGCTCACCAGGCCCTGGAGTTAACAGTCCTGGTGGGGTTTTCTCTGAAATACAAGTGGCAAGAGGCGCTTTTCTTTCTGGTCACCTGGGCCTGACACTAATGAGATGTTAATAACACAACCATTATCTATGCAAATGAAGGGAACTGGGCTGGGGAGGGAGGCGCCTGCAGTGACAGCAGGCTCCCTGAGAGTGCTAAGTAATAAATCATGTTGCTGTGGTTATTAACCATCTTAACTGAGGTGCCCCAGGAACTGACCCCCGCGTGCCCCTGGTTTTCTGGCTTATTTACATCACCAGCTTGTTTCTTGGGAGGTCCTAGAGATGTGAAGAGTTAATTCACCTCTGCTGTATATTAAGGGGGCAGTGTAGTCAGGGGCCACAGAGGAGAGTCTAACTCTCCCTTTGGCTTCTGACTCCTGTGTGTTCTCGAGCTGGTCCCTCACCCACTCTGTGCCTCAGATTCTCTTCTGGTTAGAAATAATGGCTCTTGTGAAGTAGCCCCTCCCCTGGTCATGTCCCTACCAAAAGGACTCACAACCAATGAGATGTAGAGCCAGTTAGCCTTTGGTCTCCATCTGGTCATGTGCACTCTCATTCTCTCTCATCGTTTGTCACTCTTTCTCATCTGCCTGCACTCAGACCACAAATACTCTTATCTCCTCCTCCTAGTAAATTCACCAGGGCAGCTCAGCAGTCATTTAATTTCTCTGTCTATGCCTAAGTAGGGAATTTCAGTTCAGGAGAGAAGGAAAGAAAACGTACGTTGGCCCCAGTTCCAAACCTTGTTTTTCTATACAGGTTTACCACTCACAAAACTGGTACTTTGATCTCTATCTGATTCCTCTATTTTCTAATTTCTTCAGACCTCAGGGGAGAGAGTTGTGATGACTTAGAGCCTCAAACATGTGTTTGGAGGGCAGGTGCCAAAGGAGTGAGAAGAATTCTTATCTGGGCAGCCACCCTAAGGTGTTTCCTCCATGCTTAACAATTGGGTGTAGAACAGAACTGAAAAATGTTTGGTAGTTGCAGGCTGCTAGGGCCTGACACAAATAGGTTAGTATAAGGGAGGGAAAAAGTACATAGCACGTCACTTACCTTGGGAGCTGGAAGAGGCCGTCTTGCCTTCACCTTGATTTTGGAAAGGGTAGAGCTTCTATGGCAAACATCTAGAGTAAGCATTGATGTAAGAGGGCCTTTTTGCATACTGTGTGCAACTGGAAACTCCCCAAAATCTTCTTACAAAGGGGGAAGGCTGGGATATGTGTGGCCATGGACATGCTCTGCCACATGCCAGCCTACCTGCTTTTTCACATGTGGGTCTTTGTCATTATTCTGACTCCCTCAAGCCTTTTCTGGGGACACAAATATCAGTTCAACACCTTGTCCCATGAGGGATAAGTGGGGAGAGTCAGAGTGGTTCCCACTCCTGGATTCACACCCTATATAAGTGTGAGCAGGCCTGTGACTTGCTTCTTGTCAACAGAATAAGAAAAAGATTTTGCAGACCTAATTAAGGTTAAAAATCAGTTGGTTTAGAGTTAATCAAAAGGGAGATTATACTTGATGGGCCTGCCTTCATCAAGTAAAATCTCTTAGAAGAGGGATTGGGTCATCCACTGAGAGGAAGATTCCCCTCACTGGCTTGAAAGCCACCATGTTGAGGAAGCCCACGTGGCAAGGAATTGGAGCAGCCTCTATGAAATGTGGGCCACCTTTAGGTGACACCATTGAAAAGTCAGGGTCCTCAGGGTATAGCCACAGGAAAATAAACTTTACCAGAAACTGAAATAAGCTTGGAAATTGATTCTTCCTCAGTTGAGCCTCCAGATAAGAACACAGCCCAGACAACACCTTGACTACAGCCTTGTAAGACCCAGAGCAGAGGATTCAGTTAAGATGTATCTGGACTCCTGACCACAGAAACTTGCAAGATAACAGAGGCATGTGGTTTTAGGTAGCTAAGTTTCTGATAATTTGTTATGCAATGATAGAAAACTAATACTGTCCTCCTGGAGACAGGTGAGAAGGGGCAGGAGTAAATGGAGTAAAAACGCAGGTAATGTTTCTGTGAAGGAAGCAGTTCTTACATTATAACCTGTGCAATGTAGAAAGGGAGAAAATCTTCTCCCTCCCATTACCCACAGGGGTAGATCTCTATAGTTCTTGCCCTAATGATCACTCAAGCCATTTCAATTATTTGCTTTTTGGATTTTTATTTTGCAAAGGAGAGAAACAGAGTTGATTGGAAATTAGAAACTAGCCATAGAAGTGCCTGCACCTCATACAGAGGTTCCGTCAATTCCTTTGGCTTTTCCTTCCTGGGTTTTGATTTTCCTATTCTTACTTCTGTTCTGTGAGATGTCCAATGATCCTTCTAATAAAACCTTCATCCCTACTTTTTAAAGAAGAGTGTAATATGCTAGCCAGAGTTGATTGCTCTTGCTTACAGCCAAAGTAAACTTAATGCCCGGTATATTTTCCCATTAGCCTAATTGCCCCTCAAATTAGTAACCAATTGAATTGCCCATCCCCACTCTTTCTTTTCTGAAATAAGAACTTCAGGCTCTTCTCTGGTCTCTTTGATCCTCTTAATTTTGCTGCACTATTACTGTTCCTATTTCTGATAATGCCACAGCTATCATTGCCTGTCTGGGTCTAACTTTTTGGCTGGAAGCTGTCATTGATAACCCTAATGTTGTCTTCAGGGAGAGGTACAGCCATTCTTCTCTTGGCTTCTCCTTTTTAAACATGGGGTTTAGTGTTTTCTAATTCCTTTCAGCTCAAATGAGGTCAAACTATGACTTTGAATAAACTTTCACCAAACCCTTGACTATGAGAGAAGTTCATTATTTGTAGGATTGACTATCCTTAGAATCTATGGGCATGAACCAACCCCAGAGTCTTTTACTGGGCTGGACCACTGCCTACCTGCTGATTTGCTTCTATGTAGCAGGTGTCATGTCTACCCCAACTCTCCTGATTCCAGATCAACTGATTCTGATTCTCTAAATGGTAAGGTAGGCATTATTTGTTGTACTTCATTTTTTTTTGTCCCAAGATTAACCTTGCCCTAGAATGACTAAAGGTGAGAATATCTATTTTTATTACATTCAGGGAAAATCTCAACTCACCCTCAATGTTATGTCTGTCTGCATAACCTCAAATATCAATACAATGGTTTCACAAGGCATTAAACAAATTCTGTCTTATAAAGCATGAGATAATGTCCTATGCTGACATGAACAGTCTAGTCTAGGTTGTACTATGCCAGATCTAGTCCAGTTCTACTCTTTGCTTCAAAGTAAAGGTCCACATGTCTCTTCCTGCAGTCTCCATACCTGATTTTGGGGGAGCGAATTATTGGCTAATACAAGAACCATACGGATATGTCTCAGAAATACACAGTAATTTTCAGTCATATCTCTCCTGAAATTTAGATTTATGAGAAGAAATATTTTCCAACAAAATATGTAGGGAAATAGGATGAATTGCTCTAAGTGTGTAATACTAAACAGGACACTTGAAGGTTCAATTGGAAACATCAGTATTTGGGTTACTCATAGCTCCCAGGTAGATCTTCCTCAAGAATCTTGGTATGCCATTGCCTTAAGTTTGCATTGGTAAAATGTTTTTTACAGTGATTTTTTTTTCCTAATAAAAGAGTAGTTTCCCCAAAAAGTTAAATTCCAGACTACCTACAGTACGAGGCTTGTTATTTGGTAGAATGAGGAGAATCTTCTATTGAATGTTAAAAGAATGAATTCCAGTTCTGTCTCTAGCACAAAGTAGTCATATTAGCTTGAACAGTCACTTAACCTTTCTAGAAACTTTGTTTTGTCTGAAAAAAGCAGGTGGGACTAGATGTGTTAGATAGTATCTTCTATCCCTTAACTTCTATGCTAGCCTAGGAGTTAGTAGACAGGATGTGACTCGGATAGTGACACCAGGCAAGAAAACCTAGCTGCTTTATTCCAAGCTGTAATGTAGTAGGAATCAAATGCCTCTGGTGCTGGTTGTTCTGCTGATATCTGTGGGTGATAGATATGAATGGGGACTGACATGAACAACTCATTATAATGCTTGTGAAGAATGGGACCTGCCCTCATGGGCAGAGGTGCTGCCCTTTCTCCTGTTCAGTTCAGTGCCTCCAGATCATCACTATTCAGGCAGGGCTTGTCTGATTCGCAGAAAAAGAGTGTTATGGAAGGCTTGGCATTTTTGTGCTAACATTGACCCCCAGATAAGCATCCTCCACCCTGTTCCAGCCCAGTCCAACCAACTCTGCATTTGGATTGTTTCTTTGCCAAATGTTCTGTTATATCTGGGTTCTCTCTGCTCTTAGAATTCTCTGGTCTTCCTGTCTCCTTCCTGTCCCCGAGTCCTGGTAGCTGGGCTGTGTCCTCTTTCTCCTTTCTTTACTTTCCAGAACTCTCTGAACATCTTTTCCTGGCTCACAGAACCATTCCCAGCTGATCCAACCCTTCTACCTGCAGGCCATGGTATCCTAGCTAGTACTTCCTGCTCTCTATCCCACACATTGTTCCCCAGGCAGCAACTCCCAACCTGGGAGCAGGGCCAACTGTGTCAGGGCCAGGAAGTGGGGGCTCCAGATGAGCCGCTGTCCCTTTGAGCCTGCTTCCCAGGGAAGGAGAGCATTAAACCCAGCCCTCCTGCAAGAGCAGGGCCCCTGGTGTCATGGGCCAAGTTGGCACAGGCTGGCTTGAAGCAGCCCACACTCTCTACCTGCCTACCCAGCTGTATTTGTGTGTACACATGATGTGGTGCCAGGCAAGCAAGTTAGCAGCCACTTTGAGGGATGATCAGATCCCTCGGTGTGTTTGTCTTAGAGTCTGTAAGAGACATTGAAATCAAATATGTATCAAATATATATATGTGTGTATATATACACACATATATGTATGTATATACACATATATGTATACATATATACATACATATATACGTACATATATATATACACATATATATGTATGTGTATATATAGTGTGTGTGTGTTTGTCCCCAACCATATGCCTTGGCATCTATCCAAGTCATTAACAGAAAACAAGTAGTAACTGAAAGAAATAAGATTTAAGGGACCTGCTTAATATTTCCTCTTATTCTTTAACTGCGAGACTTCCATAAGGAAGGTAGAACTTGAATACCCATTATGTATTGGGTTCTTTACTGCACTGTTCCTTACCTAACATTCCCTCTCTTAGTTCATGGAAACTTCATTCACTCATGTTATTCCCAGAAATCTCAGCTTCATCTCAAATACCTTTCCTTTCCTCATCCTTCCAATAGTTGAATATTTTCCAGATCTGATTTATTGTTTTATTCTGTTCTTGTAGGGGTGTAGTAATAATTTTTATTTAATAGATAAGAAATAAAGCTCAAAGACACAGAACTCTTGCTGAGGTCACAGAACTAGTAGGTAGGAGAGCAATGTTTTAACCTAAAAGTTTGTCTTTCTCCATGGTCCATGGCAATTCATTAACTCAATAAACATTCAGACTGCCCTTGCCCCTAGGATGATGAGTTGCTAGAGAATAGCCTTGGTATTTGCTCAAGGATCCTGTAATTTAGTGAGGGGGGAATATATTTTCAAAAATCAGAATGCAGTGGAGGAATTGCATGGTTCCCTGAAAGCCCAGGGTAGAGACTGGCTAATTGCTACAGGGGAGTCAGGAGGAACTCCATGGAAGAGGCGATGTTTGATCTGAGTCTTGACGAATAGGTAGAAGTTGGCCAGCAGGACTAGAAGGGAAAGGAAATTCTGGTAGCAGAACAAACAGAAAAAAAAAAGCCATAGAAATAAGAAAGAGCATGTGAGAGACAAGTAGGCTCCTCTGTGCGTGATGGTGAAGGTGTGTTGGGGACACTGTGGGAAGTCGTGCAGCAGGTGTATCAGGGCAGGGGGTCTTAGCTTCATCTCTGAGCAAGAGGGAGGTGCTGCAGTCTGAGCAGGGAAGAGATGCAATCACTTACAGGCCCTACGGCTTAAGAAGCAAAATGAGCTTGGAAAGGTGCATGGAGACGTGCACGAGAGTGTGAGAGTATGTGAGTATATGTGTAAGTGTATGTGTGTATCTGTGTGAATGGGAGCAAGTGTGTATGTGTGAGTGAGTGTGAGTGGGTGAGTGTGTGAGTATGCAAGTGTATGTATGAGTGTATGTGGGTGAGTGTGTATGGTTGAGGGTGAATCAGTATGATTGAGTGTGAATGTGTGTATAAGTGTGTGAATGTGCATGGGTGACTGCGTATGTGTGTGTGGACACTAAACCTATGGAAACCAGTTAAGAGGCTTTTTCAATTGATTAGAGAAGTAGTGGTACATGCCTGGACTGAGGCACAGCAGATGGGGGTGGTGAGGAGGTGGCAGAGGTGACAAATAATTGCATTAGGCAATAGAGCAGACTCAGAGACAAATTAATGGGTGGAGGAGGCAAGGAAAGAGGAGGTGTTTGGGACAACAACGATGCAGTTTCTAGTTAAATAGCTTGGGTGAATGATGGTGCCATTAACTCAGATAAGGCATGTGAGAGAATAATGAGGTCAGTCTTGGACAGTTTGGTGGAGACCAGCATGGTGCTGAGGACTGACACTGCTGTTCTTGGAGCAAAATGGGGGAGGGGGCTGATGTCGTAGGGGCAGTGGTCAGAAGAGAAAGGGGGTATCCCAGGACATGGTCAGGACCCATGCTAATATTCCTGGCCAGTGCATTCAGGTTTGGGTTGGAGAAGCCCCAGCTCCATCTGCAAAGCTGGTCTGTGTTCCCAGTTCTCTTGTCATGTTGACGCCCCTCTCTGCTTGTCATGACTCAGGCGCTGACAGCCTCAATGGTGCTGGCAATCCATCAGTGAGTGGAAAAAGATAATTGACCATCATCTCACCTCACCTCGCCTTGCCTCAACTGATAGAGAGAAATTTAACTGCTTCATTCCACTATAATTTCATATAATTCTCCATCTTTTTCTTCCTCGTTTTTACTTGGAAGTTTACAAAAGTGATTGATGATTTGCTATCAAATATAAAAAAAGAAGCTAAAATATCATTGGACAGTTTAACAGCCTTTAAAATATAATGGTCTCTCTGGCTGGACATCCACAGTAGCTGTAGAAGCCCAGAAGGTCAATCTTTAATGAACTGGTGAGAATTAGAAAAGGAAAGTGAGAGTGATCAATGCTCAGAGCCAGTTCCACAGCCTGCTGACCTTGGGGGAAGAAGGGACATCCGTAAATGATTATGGAGCCCTTCTGAAATGTGCACGGGGCTGTCAGAAGCCAATGGGGAGGCTGGAGGACTGGCCTGTGCTGGGGAGCCAGGGGTTCTGGGTCACACCAAGCAGAGGAGGCTCCTTGCCCTTAGCTCAGTCCTCGTTCGTACCCTCATGATAACCCAGACTGGCTTTAGGTTCTTGCCTCCTTGCTAGGACTCCCTCCAATCTTGTGCCTCAGGGCACAAGGTTGACCTTTGACCCTGTCCGGAGAACCCAAATGCTCCCCTTGCCAACATTTTTGGTCTCTGAGACCCTCTGACTTACTTGCTCACATCCCTTTCCTTCATTGTTGAAAGTGAACCACTGAACTTATCAGGGTTCCATGGCAGGAGGAGGAGGGGAGGGCAGTTATCTTCTATTAACCATCTCCTGTGTGCCACATACTCTTCCAGGCACTCGCCTTCACACTGTCTTATTTGGTTCCTTCTCTACCCTTTGAGGTAGTTGTTATAATGCTCACTATAGTTGAAGAACATGAGGTTCAGCAGTCATGGTAGGCAAGCAGCTGGAACATGGCTCCCAATGATCCAGCCTTGTGACTTTCATGTCTTTGGGTAATCCCCTCTCCTGGAGTGTGGCCAAGACCTAGTGACTTACTACTAATAAACAGAATACAACAAGAGTGGTGGGATGGCACTTCTGAGATTAGGTTATAAAAAGACTGTAACTTCCATCTTGTTCTCTAGTTAGCTTCTTCTGCTGAAAGCTTGCCGCCATGGTGTGAGCTGCCTGATGGAAAGGCCTGTATGGCAAGGAACTGAGGGGGACTGAATCCCACCCAGTAACCATATGAGTGAGCTCAGTCAAGTCTTGAGATGAGACTGCAGCCCCAGCTCACTTCTGGATTGTGAGCAGAGCACCCAGCTAAGCTGCATCTAGATTCCTGACCCACAGAAACTGTAAGGTAATACATGCATATTGTTTTAAGCCACTAAGTTTTGGAGTACTTTGTTATTCAACAATAGATGAATAATTCAGAATGGTTAAATAATTTTTGCAAAACAGACAGTTAATAAATGGTGGAATCCAGACTCAAAATCAGGACTGCTTGATTTCAAAGCATCACAATCTTTTCATTATACTATATTAATTTTAAAAAATGACTTGTACCTGTAGCTCCAGGAGATGTATGCCTGTTGGGTGGTGGGATCCTGAGGTGTGCAGACAGGCAGGGTCACATCGCCAAACTGTGTGTTCTATCCTTGCCCCACTGCTGGGCCTTCCGGGTGTGGCATGTAGAGGCCCAGTGATCACCCTTCCCTCAAAAACTCTTTCCTCTTAGATGGATTGCATTTAGGAACATCTGCCCAGAAGGACTGCAGTTGATTTAAGCATCTTTGCTTTTAATTTTTGGTACCTTTTAGAGGGAAAGAGAAAAATAAGATTAGTTTCCTAAAGTGTAATTGTTTCAGGCAGTTATTTATTAATGAAAAGAAACGACATGTCAACAAAGCTCGGGTTTTGCTGTAGAACTAATGTTAGCCAAGGAATAGGTTATAAGGAAGGTAAGCCTGCTGTCAGTCTGCATTTGTCCATCGCCATGATCATCTATTAATTACCTGTGCTCTGGACCCAGGCTGGGAGACAGTCTTTGACCCCTCTCCACTGAGGGTTGCTGAGCACCAAGGGGCAGGAGAAGCATCATCTCTGACATGGTTCTCCTAAAGGAGCTTTATGGGCTTCTGAGCTTTCTCTGAGATTATGAAGGCTCATTCTCTGCCTGGACCCCAGGATGGGGAAGGGACAGGGGTGCTTTGTTGAAGATGAAGGGTATAGAATGCTGACCTGACTTGTCATTGAGTTGTGTGAGTGTCTTGTATTTGGAGTCAGTAAAGTGATTGGAACTTGCTTTGAGTTTCCTCAGGTATGAAACAGGGGAAATTATAATACATACCTCACAGGGTTGATAGAAGGATCAAATGTGATAATGTACATGGAAACATGTATAATAGAAAGCACTTTACAAATTGTGTGTGTGTGTGTGTGTGTGTGTGTGTGTGTTCCTGTGAGTTTGGTCAAGTTGGGGTTAGACTCATGGAGTGGATCCAAGAGAATAAAACAAATGATCTGATGAACCCACTTGACTAGAAATTGGAAAGGGCATTTCAGAGGTACTTTCAGAGGCAATTAACATAATTCCTGCCTAATAGTAGTTTAAACCCATGAAGGCATTAATGATTCCTTAAGTGTGATGGCCCCATGGCTCTATGCTGTCACAGAGGAGTCAGGCACGCCACCATCCTTGGTGGGTTGAGTTGTTTTGGTCCTCGTGTTCACCATCTCATTATCATTAGATGCCTAACAGGTCCTCATTCAAGTTGGGTTCTGTCCATTTTATCTTGGAAAGCAGTTTTTTTGTTTTGTTTGTTTTGTTTCCTTTTTTGCCCCAGAAGCCCCTGAGCTGAATTACTCCTCTGTCCAGAATTGGTCACACAGGGTGCAAATTCTGAACTAGTCATATTGTATGGAGACCTGAGAAAGCAAATTAAAAAAATATATTGATATGTATTCATTCATCATCATAAGTTGGGAGAAGGCAAGAGAGAAGGGAGTTAGGAATGACTGTTAGAGTGGAAGGGACCCAGGATCTGATTTAATCCCATAAGAAGAGACATGAGGCTCAGAAGGGTTAATAGCTTGTCCAAAGTCACAAATTAAGTGGATAGTACCTACTGTACTTAGAATGGGGCATATATAGATTATTTTCATGTTTTACGTGGATTGTGAGACGATTGAGGAAAATTATCTTACATATAGAATGCCTGGAAACCTAAGCATGACCTTCAAAACATATCTTTAGTGTCTTTCTAAATAGTTACATGGTTCCTTAGAATATAGAGGTAAACTGAGTTACAGAGATAAAAGGGGAAATGGAGAGCATTGGGCTCTTAGGGTTGTCTATTTTGTGGCCAGAATGGTTGAGGTGAGCAAGCTTATTGGAGCCCAGCAAACCACGTACGTCTTCACTATGCAGTCATGAAACATCAGCATAATGCGAGGGAACTGGGAGGAGTTTATGGGGGAGTTAATTCAGACTCCACTGCAAATATTCAGTGAGTGTCCAGACTGCCCAGTACCAAGTTAGGTCCTATGTAGATACAAAGTAAGTGCAATTCAAGTCAATTCAAATTGATCCAACAAACATGCATTGAGTGTGCTTGTTCCTGGCATGATAAATATATGAAGATAAATACATGATGCTTTCCTTCCAGATGCTCACAAATAGAATGGACAACAACACGGGTGACTCACTAAAATGCTATAAAATCCCTGCTGTAATATGGACAGGAACAAAAGGCAATAGAAGCTCAATGGACCCAACCAGAGGGACACTTTTTAATGACCATTCCAGAGCCCAACATAACCAGAGAAGAGATTTATATCATGAGGCTGTCAAACTTTCTCAGATAAAGAGAGTGATAGACTGAATAATCCAGGGTGGTAAGTGTGGGAAGTTCAGATAACACTAAGGAAGTTAAGAGGAGAAAAAGTCAACAAGGACTGGGCCTACTCAAAGAAGACTTTTTGGGGTCATGGACCTTGAACTGGGACTTGCTTGGAAGATGGTATTTGGAAGAAGAATACAAAAAGGAATAAAGGGTTGAGGAGATTAAGCCAAGATAAGGAAGTAGGAACATGCACAATATATTTGGAAACCTGGCCTTCTACACAGAGGGCCTGTGGCCAACTTCTTTTCTACTTCTCTTCAGGTTCCCAGTCACTGAATTCCAAAGGTTTTTGTTATATGGTCCAGACTCAAGGCATTCCTCTTGGCCTTTGGGCAAAGGAGCCCACCCTTTGTGTTTATCCCTAAGAAAAAGAGAGAGTAGTCAGAACCCCTGCAGAGAGGTTTGACTCCCGGAAGCAACTGGTGTCCCACTTTAACCCTGGTTTCAAGTCTGGAAAAAACAGAAAACACTTATTCTTACCTCTCTCCCCACCCCCAGAAGGATAGATTAAAAAAACAGAAGGTTAAGGATTTTGCCAAATATGGAAAAATGCTTTTGGCATTCAATGTGGCAATCAATCTCTAAAGAATTATTCAACATTTGATGTTCATATCCTCCTCAGTGTTATCTCTAGATTTCTCCTTTCAGGAAATCTCAAGAATTAAAAGCCCACAAGAAGTTCCAGATAAAGATGCAAGATGCTGAAGAATCAATAACATTTATTGAGTGCTTACCAAATGCCAGGTACTATTCTAAATGCTTTGCTTTACATGCATAACTCACAAGGGGAAAGCCCTATGGCACTGACTGTTGTGCTCCCACGGACTGCAGAATGGAGATAGTGGACTGGCAAAATGCAAGAAGCTATGTGTGCAAACACAGCTTTTGATAATGTTGGGAAGAGACACGACCATTGGATCCATTTTTATGACTTTATCCATTCTGCCTAACCTCCCTTCCCTGCCCTGCAACAATTTTGGCATTCTTCCACATGCCAGCCAAAGCTTTTCTGTCCCCACTAAATCCATGTAGGCTGCGGCTTGATACACCATCACTCACACCCATTTCCTGGAAAGCTCCTCTTTGGGCAAGTGGCACTGCTCATTGAGTTTCTGAGCAGAGCTGTTATTGGGGTCACAGTATGGCCCAGGGAAGAAACTCAATGACAAGTACAGAGTGGGAGCTCTCTAGAGCAATGTCTGATCGTCATGATGGCATGTTGGAAAATTGATAACTTTACTCTGCCTAAGGAGAAACCTCCGCATGTCACCACTAATCATGCAAACTAGACTCTTAAAATGAAATTACGCTGAAACACAACCAATCAAAGTTGGAGTCTCAATTGCTCTATGACTTCATTTAAAGTTCCAGTGCCAGCAGGAAGAAAAAAGAAATCAATACTACATTTTCTTCATCATCAATTTTGCTTTTTTGCTAAATGAAAATGCTTATATTCCTTCTCTTGTTCCCTCCACCATCGAAGATGTTATTTCTCCCCACCTTACCTTATCCATCCTGTGGTCACAGTTGAACTCACACAAAGAGGTTTTGTAGAACAGAGTTGTGCGTACGGCTTCTTTGTAGGTGGAGAGTCGATAGTCTGCTTACTCCAGACAGCTCTCAAGGCCCTAAGTGCAAATCCCAGTGTAATGCCCTGTGCCAGACTGTTGTACCAGGCCTTGTTGAAGGGAATGTGATAAGGGTGGCAGGCCTGTCATGAACTCATTCATGGGCTTTGGTTACAAAAGTAGCAAAGAGACCTCATTATAAAATGTTCTCACTTGTTCAGTTGCAGAACTAAAAGGGTTTTGCTGAACGATAGAGAAAACTCACCGCCAAAGCCATCCCTCAGTAGTGACCTTTAAGAGCTCTCAGTGAGTTCCTGTTTCTGTTGGCTCCAAGATGGTCCCAATTCAGGACTTAACTCACTTGGCAATATTTGGAAAGACAGAAAGAAAGAAAGAAAAATTTGCCACAGAGGAAGAAAAAAAAATAGTTCCGCGGGCTGGAAACTCATTTCCTGAGGAGCAGGAGCACATCGCCTTGCTCTCTGGGACTCACCAAGCTCCAGGAAGCTCGACCAGTCACTTAATAAGTCATTGAGGACATGTGGTTTAATTAACTCGCCCAAAATTCCTTCTTTCCCTTTCTCACTTTTGCTATTAATATTTTTCGATATCTGATAATGCAGTGTAGTTAATTCTTTCTGGCTTTATAATGAACACTGCCATAATGAAAAAGGTTAGCAGGGCTTCAGGCAGCTTTTAATTAGCCAGCTGAGCAGGTAAAAGCACTTTATTCTTCTCTTTTTTTCCCCTTACTTAGCAATTAATGGAGAAGCTCAGTGGCACTTACCGTACCTTTTTTGTTTTCTAATGGATGATGCTGCACAGAGCAGGAAGGCCTTACTGTACCCCCCTGTTACTACCAAGTGAGAACATTGGAGGCTGCATCACTGCATTTCTGGCCTCTGGTTTGTGGGTAAAAGCGTTTCTGCTGCTGGCTGAAGGTTTACCTCATTAAAAAGCTAAGTTACCTAGAGTTGTTACCAGTTCCCTGTCTTGCACTTTTCGGTCTTTGCATCTGCATCCAGAGGCCCCCCAAGAGGTTTTTGCAGCCCGTCTGGCCTTGCTTTCTGCAAATATTTTCCTGGTTCTATTTAAGTGAGCCATCTTCCTCTGTTTCTCATGCTAACAAGCAGCCTTGGGGTTGTTCTTCTTCTTTTACAGACAGGAAAACTGAGGCTCAAAGTGATTACCTGCCTAGCCAAAAGCCCTTTTTCCAGTTCTGATGGTGCCATCTCTGGATATGAAGAGTGGCATTCTCAAGCTAATTGTGGAACTATCTTACAGGAGGAATGTGGGGTGAGGGGGGAGCTTAGAAATTATGTGGGCCACTTCCCAGTCTATTAATCAATAAAGAAAACTTGGGTGGAATTATTTGCATGATTCTACTCCATTTTGCAAATATAACACAAAAAATTGTTCTTGATGTGCATAGCACATTTTTGGTGTTGTAGGCTTGATAAAAGCTGACTGTGTATGCAGATCTCTAGAGAGAAACTGGGACAATTTTTTTTTTTTTTAGATGAGTCTAACTCTATCACCCAGACTAGAGTGCAGTGGTGTGATCTCGGCTCAGTGCAACCTCTGCCTCTTGGGCTCAAGTGATCCTCCCACCTCAGCCTCCCAAGTAGCTGGGACTGCAGGCGTGTGCCACCATGCATGGCTAATTTTTGTATGTTTTGTGGAGATGAGGTTTTGCCATTTTGCCCAGGCTGGTGTTGAACCCCGGAGCTCAAGTAATCCCTTTGCCTCAGCCTCTCCAAATACTGGGATAATAGGTGTGAGACACTGCACTCAGCTGGGCCAGTTTTTATAAGAGCCCAGGGTCTCCTGAAAAGAAAGAAATAGGCCAGGCACGGTGGCTCACGCCTGTAATCCCAGCACTTTGGGAGGCCGAGGCGGGCGGATCACAAGGTCAGGAGATCGAGACCATCCTGGCTAACACGGTGAAACCCCGTATCTACTAAAAATACAAAAAATTAGCTGGGCATGGTGGCGGGTGCCTGTAGTCCCAGCTACTTGGGAGGCTGAGGCAGGAGAATGGCATGAACCCGGGAGGTGGAGCTTGCAGTGAGCCAAGATCGCACTACTGCACTCCAGCCTGGGTGACAGACAGATACTCCGAGAAAGAAAGAAAGAAAGAAAGAAAGAGAGAAAGAAGGAAGGAAGGAAAGAAAGAAAGAAACAAAGAAAGAAAGAAAAAAGAAAAAGAAAGGAAAGAAAGAAAGAAAGAAAGAAAGAAAGAAAGAAAGAAAGAAAGAAAGAAAGAAAGAAAGAAAAATAGAGACCCCAGGCTCTCTAAGATTCAAAGTTGAGGAGAGTTTGAAAGTGTGTGGGATGGTCCTGTGCGAAAAGTCAAGCTGAAGGAAGGGATGCTGAAAGCATAAAAATGAAGCATACCAGGACAAAAGAAGCCTGAACTAGTGATCTGGGCTTGACCCAAAGCTTCTGGCTTCTCAGCACAGGCTGGTAGAATACTTCTCCAGTGATATATACTGGGAATGATGGTTGATCATTTAAGAATAACCTAACAGAGATCACCATAAGGGCAGGAGCCCCTCTAAAGATGAGTTATGATGTGACACTTATCTCTTTGGGGTACTTGTCTAAACGTGTCTGTCCTGTAATATCTTCTTGTTGATAAGCTTCCCGAAAAGGGGAGATAAAAGGAGAATCATGTGAATTTGGTTGCATCAGTTGTGTAAAATATTTGGCGCATTCTCTTCTCACCACCTCATACCAAGTTCAGGAACTTCTGGCTGGATAAAGATCTCACTAATGCCACTGGGGCAATGGGACTTGAGCATTGAAATTTGCAAATCCTTGGTAGACACTTTGAAGTTTTTGTTGCTTGCGGTCCTTGTACTGTGATCTTAATTAAATTGAGGTGAAAATAATGACTTCACTTGTTTTTATTGCCAGTGCAAACTTTAGCAACAGCAGTGTGGGATAAGGAAACCATGACTGCAGGAGCAGTAGGAGGTGTCCAGGCCTCCAAATCTGCCAGGGTCGACAGCCGCCTGCATTCCAGGGAGAATTCTAGAATGCTACTTTGCAGCCTAGTGCAGGTACCACTGTGGTCTCATGTCCATGAGTGTGCAAGATCTGTGATCCCCTGTGGCAGCCACCACCACAGTGATGCTGGTGGAGCAATCTCACATTCCAGTCCTCCGCCTTCAAAAGCAGGATTGGCCCCATGGGAGAATTTGGGGAGGGATGGTGGCTCGAAGGTGCTATATTGGCTTTTCTGTTAAAAATTGAAGTTGGCGAAGTCTGTCAAAACAGTTCCTTTATATTTGAAAAGCACTTTGAAGTTTTCAAAACAATACCATATCCATTATCAACACCTCATTCAAATAACACTTTTAAGTGTCAGTCAGGAAACTGTACTATTTTCTCCATTTAGAGAAGAGGTTACCCCCTTCTCTAAGGAAAGTTCAACTGGAGGCAGTTTTTCTCCATGGGGGACACTGGGCAGTGTCTGGAGACTCTTTTGTCATCACAACTGGGGTAGGGGAGTGAGTGCTACTGGCCTCTGGTTAGTAGAGACCAGGTGTGCTGCTATATATCCTGCAATGTACAGGTCAGTCTCCAATGGCAAAGAATTATCCAGCCTAAAATGACCATAAGGCAGAGCTTGAGAAATCCTGATTTAAGGACATACAACTAACAAGAGGAAGAGCTGCTAAGTTTTAGAGTTGTTGTCTACTATGAATAACAGCTGCCATTTGTTAAATATTTACTGGGTGCCAAGCACTGTTCTAAGTGCCTCACCCATCAACTCAATTCCCACAACAGGTCTGGGTGGCAGGAATATTACTCCAACCAAGACTCAGAGAGGTTACGTAGCTTTCCAAAGGACATGTGGCAGAATTAGTGATGGAGCCTGTGTTGTCTTGCCCCAACACCTCTCCTGTCTCCACCTCCCTGCATCGTAATAGAGACGGGAGACCCTGCTCAACCTGACTAGCAGCTGGTACTGAACAAGTACTCCTTACGGGCTTTAAGATGAACTGGCTAATTTTTATATGGTCAGAAGTGGCAGGTTCCAGGATCACCACAGAAAGCAAGTTTCAAGAACATTTTCTCCTCTCTAGCATACAATTTCAAAACTCAGGGAGCCCAGTGGCCTCTAAAATTCCTATTCATTGACATATTCTCCTTTTCCTCTCTTAGACCTATGGCACAATGTATCATTCATTCACTTTGTTCATATACTCACTCTAAAATATTTTATCAAGGGTTGGAGGTAAAAAGAGGAAAGAAATATGTACAGTCTTTTATTGCCAAGTTACCAACAGTCTATTGGGTCAAACAAGCCTAAAAATATCATTCTATTACAATGTGCTCAGTGCAGTGATAGAGGTGTGTCCAGGCTATCTCAGGTGCACAGAAAAGAGGCCCCAGACAATTTCTGGAGGCAGGGAATCAGGTAAGTCTCCTAGGAGGTGACCACTGAGTGGAGTCTTAAAGGCTGAGATGGAATTAGTAAAGTAGAGAAGATGAGAAGGACTAACATGGAAATAGGGAGCTGCATCTGCTGAGAAATGCAAGTAATCCAGTGTTATTGGAGCCTGAAGCACCAAGCAAGGAGTGGTTGGAGATGGAGAAACAGGCTGAAGCCTGAAGCGGGGCTTGTAAATGCTAGGGGTACGTTGAGGGAGGAAAAGAAGTTTGAGCATCCAGGTTACAAAAGCTCAGGGAGAGCCACCTTGTGTTTCAGATTCAAGTGTGCTAAATCCATGTGGAGACAAAGCTGGAGGCAGGGAGGTCAGCTGGGAGGCTGTTGCAGGAGTCTGGGCCACGAGCCTAAAATCGGAGTTGGAGAAGGAGGGAATGAATTTAAAAATATTTTGGAGGTAAAGTCAGCAGAACTAGGTGTCTAGATTTGGGAGGTATGGGAGGAGGATAAGTTATGTTTGGAATTGTTGCATGAGGTATCTGTGGGACATTCAGGTAGATGGGTCCATCCAGTGGACGATGGTATATACAAGCCTGAACCTTTAGGGAGAGAAATGGGCTGAGAAAGAGTTGGGAATCATCCGCAGAGAGGCGGGAGTTGCAACAGTGAAAATCAGTTAAGCAAATTGGCCCAGGTGCCTGCCCCAATTTAATTATCTGTCGCCAAAGTGCGAGGCAGATGTACAAACATGGCGTTCAGCAGCCTACCCATATAGATGTGGGAGGGCACTTAAAGAAGTCATTGCAAGCAGAACAAACAGCTCCAAATAAGGCAAGTGCAGCTAGACAATCTAGCTTGATATTCCTTCTTTGGGTAAACAGCATGTAGAGGCTCCGTGGGAAGCTGCCTCTCCCCTCCCATTATAAAGAGAATGGCTGTTTTTTGGGACATGAGATCAACAGTGAAGACTTTACAGTCTTCATGGGCTTAGACTTGGACTACTCTCAATGTGAATATTCACTGCAGGGCCCTGAATTATCGGAGACCCTGTCTGGAATCTGGATTCCTTTCCAGGCCTGAAGGTCACTGGGTTTCCTATATAATTCCCTTTTCTCCCATGTCATGGCCCTTCCTAAATGGCAGAACATGAACATGTATGCAGTATGCAGTATGACTGTGAACATCCCAACAATTACATGCACCCCCGTCCTCCTCCTCTTCCTGGTATGTGCACAAGCTTCAAGTTAGAAAAACAAGTCTTTCCATATTAACACCTGGCACCTGGTATCAAATACATCCAGCCTTAGTAATTATTCTTGGGCTTTGCAGCAGCTTTCTTTTGACCAGTGTTGAAGGCTGGTGCCAGTCACCATAACTAGGTGTGAATTAATGCAACAGCATCCATGCCGCAGAGCCTCCTGGGTTTGTGTTTGAAACACAGGGCTGTGTTTTAGAGCCGTGGATAAAGTTCATTAATAGGTGCGAGCACAGTTCTCAAAGGGCAGTTCTGCCATATTTCGAGTCACTGTTCAGAATTCTCATTAGCCAATTACCCTGCTCCCATCCTCCCTGCTCCTGTGGTAATGTGTATTTTAAAGCCTCGATAAGACACAGCATGTTTTAAATATACCTTAATGTATTGGAAATGCATGAGCCCCCTTTGGGTTTATATATTTTAACCACTAGCCAATTTTGCAAAGTGATAAATAAATGTTACAGGCATCAGCTGCAGTAGTAGAATCAGCTGGGGATATTTAAAACCAGTCTAAAGTCTAACTTACCTCTAAATCTGAGATATCAAGCATGGTGAGCAAAGCAGGCAGGAATATGCAAGTGATTTCCTGGTAATAAAATCAACAACCTTGACACATGAAGCGAGATTGAATGGGAATAGGGTTGGTGGGGGAAGCAGCTTGGTTGAATTAACAAGTATTTATGTGCAAGTGACTGTCCTGGGCATTGTGGGGATACAAAATGGTTCTGGCTGTCAAAGAGTTTATGAACATGTACAGAGTGATGAGACAAGGACACGGATAATAAGCAGAGAGGTTGAGGTGAGTACCACTGGAGAAGGACAAAATGTTATGGGGGCCAACATGGGAGGTCAGAAAAGATTTCTTGGAGAAGGTGGCAATTGAGATGCACTTTGATAAATGGGTCAGATTTTATAGGCAAAGAAAGGAAACTTGAAAGTGGTGGGGGCCAGGGTCTGAGCAAAGGCTGGGAGGTGTGAAAACGTAGATCATGTCAAGGTTCTGCAGACAGTCCAGCAGTCCAGCTGGGTGGAAGTACTGGGCTCACATTGAGGAGCAATGTAAAATGAGGCTGGAGGGCAAGTAGGGGCCAAATTGCATGAGGCCATGAATGCTAACATGAGGAGTTTTAAAATGATTCAATAAGAATTGGGGAGATAATAAAAAGTTTGGAGCAGGGGAACAAGATCAGAGTTACCTTTTGGGAGGACTAAATTGGCAGCAGGATATACAAAGGACAAGAATGGAGAGATACAGGAATCAAGGAGACCAGTTAGCTATTGAAATAAAACACAAGAGCTGGAAGGAAGAGCTGAACTTGGGGTTGAGCAGTGGACGGCAGAGGAAGAAGTGCCTCTGTGAATGGCAGATGCATCTGACAGCAATAGCTAACTTAAGCAAAGCCTGAGAATGACCCTGTGGTCTAAGAAGAATGTGTGTTTGGAGTTCTGTGCTGAAGAGTCTGGGAGTGACCAACCTGGAGATTCATTCCTTATCTATGAGGAGCATCTGAACCCCCCAGCCCATCTCATGGAATGCAGACTGTACAGAGGATTGAGGCCCTTTGTTCTGGGTTAAACAAAGGTTGTCAGGTGTAAGTTTCTAGGGGGAAGGTGCTAAGTGAAAATACTATATAAACTGCATGCTTTCTACAAATGGTAGCACTTCTCCTGTCCAGCCTGCCACCACTGGACTGCGTGTAATTGTCCTCAATAAACCCCATGTCTCATTCACTGGCTATAGGTCTCTTTTTTTGGCCTCTCAAACATGGTGCCATCCCTATTGAAGTCAAGAGGGGTCTGGCACAACACTGTGAGAGATACATTGGGAAGGAAGATGAACATGAAGGACCACAGGCAGCTGACTGGATCCGATGCATGTGTATTGGGGGTACACTCATGAAGAGGGGGTGTCAAAAATGGCACCAATGTTGTTAGCTCTGGCGACTGGTGCCATGGGCAGAGCCTTGAACAGAACAGAAGGAAGGCTGTCCCAAAGATAATCTGACTTGGATGTGAGATTGGGAGATAAGTAAAAAGTTCCACTAATAAAAGTTGTAAACTCTAGCAAGAGCCTGGGTCAGGAGATAGATATGTGCAAGCTAGGGGAGATGAGATCAACAAGGGGGAGAGAGAGAGAGCAAAACGAGAAGAGGGCCAAGGGCCAGAAAGGCCAGCATTTGGGAGGCCCCCTGCCTTCTCCTGTGAATGGTGATCTCTTGACCAGCACTGGGAATTGCTAGTCATTTCAAGATCTGATTCCGTCATTGTCCTTTCTATGCAGGACAAGGAAGACATAAGAGCCAGAGTCTGCAGAAGTCATCAAGGCAGTTCCAGAGTAGGAGTACCAAGATGTATTGGGGGTGGTGGTGGGGAGCAGAGAGAGGGGAAGGTAGTAAGCAGCATTTTTCCCTAAGTCCCTCCATGCGATCTTAGGAGACAGTCTAAAGATATTCCCCACCCCCAGGGGAGGAGAGACGTGTAATAGTTGACACATGTGTGAACAAAGATTTTTGAAGATGATACATAAACATATGCATACGTATATATACACGCAGACACACACATTATACATACATCCATATATATTTATATCTAGCCATGTCTCTATTTATCTATCTGCGTATCTATCTACTTGCCTGTCTACCTGCCCACCTGACTGCCTAAGTGATTTGTCATAGGAATCGGACCTTACACAATTGTGGGAGCTGCTTAAACAGTCTGTGAGGGGCTACTATCTTTCATCTGATGCTGGAGCCAACAGTCCATGGGGCAGGCAGTCAAGAACAGATGATCTATCTCCTGCCTTGGGATAGCAAGGATGAGCTGAACCCCAAGAAAAGCTGGAACCCATGAGTGCTGATGAGTCTGTGCCAGTTCTCACTGCTTCCAACCTTGACAAAATCGATAGACTGCAGGGGAAGGTAGGTAGTGCCTTTCATCGTAGATCTAAAGACGCACCTGGCCCAAGAGTCAGAGAAGCCGAAGAAGAGCTCAAGGGAAGGTGGAGCAGTTACATGTCCAGCAGGTGCCTAGCACCAAAGAGAGACGATAGTAGAACAGCGACATGTGTAAGCTAACACAGCTCCCACTCAAAACTACTAAGTGTGAAAACAATGACTGCTGCTTCATTTCTGCCCTCCGATTCTTGCAGGAAAACATCTTTTATGGTGCTGCCTAACCAGAAACCTACATGGAGGCAGTTCTGGGAAATGTAGTTCATTCTACACTGATAAAGCCAGCACAGCCAATGAGGGTGAAAGGAGTGAAGCAACGGAGGAAGAGAGTAGAGGAGCAGGATAGGAGATAAATGGGTGAGCAATCTGACTTCCCTAGCCCACAGGCCCCCGTCCACTAGACAAGCAGACTCGAGTTTGACTATAAGCAAACTGAGGTCAGGGCCTGTACTGTAGTTACCTAATTCTCTCCAAAGCATTTAAGAACAAGCTATTAAGCACCTGCTAGTCTCCAAGCACTGTACTATTTTATGTGCATGTGCATCTTACATACTATTCAGCATAATCTCAAATGGGGAGTATTATTACTATACCCAGTTTATAAGTAGGGAAGCTGCGGGTTAGAGAGGTAAGTAATGGGTTCAAGGCCACATAGCTAGAAAGTGGTAGAGATTGTATTTGAACCTCAGTCTGTATGACTCCAAAGCTTCTGCTCTTAACCCCTACTAAATCTAAAGCATCCCCAGTTCCTAGCAGAGTGTCTGGGCCACAGCAGGCTTTTGATTAACAGGAATTAAATTACTGGATTTGTGGGTGAGGGATGGATGGTTGGATGCACAAGTGGTGGATGGTTGGATAAATGATGGAACTCAGGTGTTGGAGAAGTTGAGAGTTTAGAGGGGACAGAGGGTCAGGGGAAGAGAATGAACAGCACTTAGAAAAGCAAACTTGACTCTATGCGGTGCTAACCTTTGATTGCATAGGGGAGAGAATCCCAGTGAAAGCCAGACATGTGCTGAGTCCAGCTTTCCTTTTACTGCCGAACAGCCCACAGGCTCTTCATGAAAAGCTGTGCTTCCCATTGATCATCATTTGTATTATTTACTGGGGCCTGTGTAAGCAGTAAACCAAGGATCAGGTATCTGGTTCCTAATTCTGCCTTCACAGGCAACTTGCTGGTGAACTTGAGTGTCTAATTCTCCATCTGCCCCTTGCAATGATAATGCTTGCCAGGCCGTTTGGCAGGGCTCTGTTTGTTACCCTGTGCCTGAGTTTCAACCTGTGGAAAATTAGTCCATCATTTTGCTCCTCAGTTAACTCTGAATGATTAGTCCTGCATGTAGGAGTTGTACCCCTTAGAAATAGAAGTAGACCCCGGGCCCTTTAAGATTGTTTCTGGAATTCATTTAGTCTGTTGGATGCAGGCCTCACCAGAGCCCTTCCTTGATAGCCTGCCCTCCTGGTTGGGGAAGTGGTTCCTCAGAGTGGGAGCCAGTCTCAGGGATGGTTTGTCTGCATTCTCTCAAAGCTTCCTGTGTATGGGAAATGAACAGCTTCCATCCACATCCTTCCTTCTCCTTGGCAGGCTGAGCCCTGCCCTCTCTGTGAGATTCCAGGAGTCTGTGACATTATCTGCTAACTCCCAGGAGAGGCCCTGGACCACAGTTGCAAGCCTTGAGAATGATGAATATGCAGGAAGGGGTAGTGTGCCAGACAGGGGAGCTGCAGAGTTAGTGTGATTGAGCTGGCCAGCCATGCAGGGCAAGGTGAGCTGGGGCCTGAGCACCCTTTGAGAGGGCTCAGCCCATGCAGGGCCATTTGCCATCCTTAGGAGTTAGGAGCTGTCATTTGTTTGTCTGCATTCTCCAGGGTTGTAGACTCAAGAGTCTTAGAAATCCCACTGGCACCCGAGCACCCCACTGGCTGCAATTAACCTGTTCAATAATAGGTCAGCAACTTTGTAGAGGATGTTTGCGGATAGCATTCTACTGGGTGCACTAGTACTATTGACTTTGGTCTATAGAAAGCCTGATGTGTCCCCAGTGGCAGAAAAAAGCTAGGAGCAAATTCTGCTGCATCACAGAATCCTTAGGCTAGTGTGACATTTAGAGGTCACCTGGCCCTTCCATTTGCCTGCAGGCAGGCCTGGACATAAACCAGCCTAGACAGGTAAGAATCTTCTCTTTCTCTGCCTTCAAAAACTTTTGTTCACAGAAGGACATTTCATATATACCCTTAGTGTCTACTATTCCTCAACCCTGAGACAGTTCTCCCTTAGAGCTCATCTATATTCCTCTTGTTCCCAGAGGTTCTCTGATTTGTACTTCCATGAAGATGGCAGGAAGAACCCATCATGTGTTGTACTCAATGGCGTGCTGGAGCCCGCTGGTATGGGTTTCTCCAGAGCCAGTTGTACATATCTCTTCCAACTCTGGGGTCAGTGACATCACATTGGTAACTTATAATCAGCCATAGTATGAATATTTATACCATAGAAATTGGCAAACACTATACCTCAGGGCTTTTGTTTTTCCCCATAGAGAGGCAGTTGTTCAACATTTACCAGCACACGACTGCTTGTGTGTAGCAACAAATCTTCACATAATGTGGGTGACAATTATTCTTTGTACACTTCACTTTAGAGACTTAAGTTGTCACTTTGGTGCCTTTAGGTAAAACTCACTGGTAGGCCGAACTGTAATTTCCCAGAGAGCAGAGGCTATGACTAGTATTCCCCCACCACAGTGGGCCTTTTATACAGCAGTCGCATGTTGATTGCATGCCAAAGGAATGAAGGACACATATCAAATCATCAGGCTGAATGACTGTAGGTTTTCATCATCTTAGTCCTAGTGCCATCCTATTGTTTGAGTCAGATTTGCCAAGTAAGAGATATATTTATCTGAGTTGACTTCAGGGTTGTAAAATTCAATTCAGAAGAAATTATGAAACATCTACTTAATGTTGACCGTGTTTTAGACTCTGCTGCCAGAAAGAGGGAATATTAATGAGTAGCAGCAGCCCGTCACTCCCATTCTCAAATACCTTACAATTTTATTTGGAATATATGTATACAAACAGAATTAAAGATCAATTTGGATGTTCTAGAAGAGTTATGCTTCAGGGATTTTGAGTGATCAGAAAATACAGTGGTTGTAATATGCGGCACCAGGTTCACATCGCCTGCATTCAAACTCCAGACCGCTACTTAGCAGCTATTTGACTTTGGAAGAGTTGCTTAACACCCCCTACCCTGTCCCACCCCAATTCAGATTCCTCATTCTAAGGGGCCAATGAAATCTATCTCATAGAGTAGGTGTCAGATTCAATGTATTAATGATTACAAATCACTTGGCACGTTGCCTGGAATAGAGCACGTGTAAAATATAAATATACAGTAGTTATTATTTTTATCATATAATCTAATGCCCTGTTTTTACAAATAAAGACACTGAGGTCCAAAAGTGGGGAAATGACTATTTACTAATTAGTGGCAGGCCTGGGATTAGCAGCAGTAACTAACTTCATTTATCAGTATAGGTGAGGGTATATGCTTCAGTGACAAATATATCCCCAAATTTCCAGTCTCAGTGCCTTGACACAATGGATGCTGTTTACTGTTTATGCAAAGTCAGATGCAGATCAGGAGACCCTACTCCATTCTGCAGCTACATCATCCAGCCCCCATGTCTCTAAGCCCACCACAATGGGGGCAGAGAGAGATGGAGGAGGTGTGCCAGCTCTTAACTGCTTTGGCCAATCCATTTCTCAGAATGAGTTGTATTGCCCCTGCCCTGGGGACACTGGCAATATAGACAGGCAGAAGGCCACGTGATGAGCACACTATCTTGCACACTAACAGTATGGAAGGCATCACAAGGCAGCATATGATTAAGTGCTTAACAGCAGGACAGGTACTATGTGCCACAGTTTATGATTAAGTGGCCTACTAAGGGGTATAGACAAGTGCTGTGGGAGATTAGAGAAGGGGCAGATAAGGAAGGAAAAGGAACTAAACAATACTTGCTGAAAAAGTGCTAGCTTAGGACCTAGCACCAGTGCGAAGACTGGTGAACTCCCCTTAGCGCAGCATGGACAAGGAGAGAGCCTGCTGCTGTGAAGTTCCTGGGCATCCCTCCCCACCCATCTTCACCAGGCATCAGGTTGGAGGATGGAAGGAGGTGCCAGCTTGTTCAACATCAATTCCTGGTAGCCCAGGCCACTGCTCCTGACTCTCCGTCTTCCATTCATCTGCAGAAACCTCCACCGAGCCCAGATTCTTTCAAAGGCCCTGAAACAAGCGCTTCCTGACAAAGCATGAGGTGGTAGAAACAGTATTGGATGCAAAAGTAATAATGCATTTTTCCGTTTCCACTTTGCTCCTGACAGCCTGTGTGACTTTAAGCTTCTCCACCTCTCTGGTCTGGGCCGCAGTTCTTATTGGTGAAATGAGGCTCCTTAAGCCCTTTTACAGACCCTATTCTCTGGGTGCTGCACCTGTCATAGCCATCATTTGTAGGATGGGGTAAAATCTTTGGAGGGATAGTCTGGGAGTGTCTGAGTAAAGATTCAGGGGAGGAGAGGATTTGACTAGGGATCTAGCAGCTTAGAGGGTGAACAGGACTGCACATGGCATATGGAAATCTTTGGTAAGGGGCCAAGCTTACATCAGAATGGAGACAGGATAAAGAGGCAGCCCTGGAAGCTGTGCCCAGCCTCTTAAATCTCAGCACTGACATATCAATCAGTCAGTTCAATCAGTTGCAACATTTTTTTCTTTTGGAAATAAATAAAGATGAAGGCGGGAGATACCACACAAAGAAGAAACCTCAGAGCGGCATGGAGAGTCACACTGCCATAGAGTCCTGGAGCTGGATTCTGATTTATAGAGCAGGCTGAATTTGATAAATCAGGTACCTCAATCCAGTGGGTTTAGGCTCTTGTTTCCTAAATGGGAACTTAATGTTGTTCACTCATTCATAGGTAAGGATGCTGCACCAGAAAGTTAATATACAAATCTGTTATTTACAAGAGTCGTCATGTTTGTTTGTTTTTTCTTTTTTAAAAAAGCTTATACATAATACACATCTCAGATACAAACTTTGTGGTATAAATTGCCCCCCTCTTCCTACACATCTCCCATTTAGAATCCCTCCTGGCCAATCAGACCTTACACATGTGGGGTGGGAGAGCTGGTAGTAAAAGGGCAGGTTGTGACTGGGTGAGTTGGGAGTCGCTGGAGATAATGGGAGAGGTGGAGTGCGGGGTATGGGGAGTGCAGGAGTAATTTGTTCCTCATTTAGTCTTAGGCTCTTTTATGTTTATTTATTTTACAGCCTATCTGGTTTTGGGAGCCCACTGATTAAAAAAAAGTTTCAAGTCAATAAAATATGCAACTAGAGATGGATTCTGGAGCTGGTTTATTAGGCAGGTTGTGATTGGGTGAGTTGGGAGTCGCTGGAGATAATGGAAGAAGTGGAGTGGGGGGGATGGGGAGTGCAGGAGTAATTTGTTCCTCATTTAGTCTTAGACTCTTTTATATTTATTTATTTTGTAGCCTATCTGGTTTTGGGAGTCCACTGATTAAAAAAAAAGTTTCAAGTCAATAAAATATGCAACTAGAGATGGAATCTGGAGCTGGTTTATTAGGCAATTTCCTGTATGGCTCCCTGGGGGAGCACACTCCACACCCTACTGCCTGGGGCAGGGCTCTCCTCCTGGCATTAACCCTTGGGGTGCCTCGAGCAGACCTCCTGAGGCACAGGAGCCTCACACCCTCCCCAGGTCCTGGGCTCCTGCCTCTACTTTGTGCTCAGGCTTCTGCAGGCTCCTGAAAAGGCCAAAAACATCCCTGCCGATTTAGCGGTCTCCACTCATTCCCTCCCTTGTGCCTCTGTTTCTTTAGGAAGCCACCTCCTCCAAGAAGTCTTCTCTACCTAAATGCACTTATTGGTGAACACATTAGCATTTACATTAGCAAATGACAACAGCAAGAAGGGGAAACTTTATCAGAGGATGAAATGATAAAGCAGATGCTTGTGTTTTTAGGAGTGGCTTTATGTCTGTAGGTAGACCCAGACTTCTAGGTCACTGTTAATGGAGTGAGATGGAGGCAGGAGTAGTGAAATTTCTCTTGGGATGGGCTCCCATGTGGCTGCCCACAGGTATAGGCAGTTCCTCCTACTTGCCAAAAAGGGCTTCTATCTACTTCTCCACGGCCTGCCTTCTTTCTGCACTACGTCCTCGACTCAGCCACCTGCCCTCGGATGGACACACCTTTCTCCAGAGCCCTCCAGGCCCAGGCTGACTTTTTCAAAAGGAGATTTGTCCCAAAGAATGTCTTCATTGAGGAAGTGAAGAGGTTTCATTTTAACTACAGGGGTGCCTCACTTAATACACTAAATAGATTTCTGAAAGGTTGCAAGTAAAATGAAAAAAGAGAGAGAGAGAAACCCTCTCTTAAAAGCACTGAGAGCGTTTCTATTTAAAGCAATCTTATGATAAATTCTTTTGCAAAGAATTGCTCTGGTCCCGAGCAACACATTTGCAGCTCTACCTTCCTGCTGGACATTTCAACCTAGATAATAATAATGCTAACATACTGACTGATTGGCTGCTAACTGTGTGCCAGGCATGTATTTGGGTGTGGCTGTGTGTATGTATATAGAAATATATATATACATTTGAATGTATAACTTTCTCACCACAACCCTATGATATAGGTTCTATATTATCCCCATCTAATGGATTAAGAAATTGTGTTATAGAGACATAAAGTAACACGGCTAGTAAGTTACAAAGTCAGGATGGCCTACCAGCAGTTCAACCAAAATTTACCTAAAACCAAATTTGTCATTTGTCCACCTTAGTGTAACCACCCAGTGGATTCATTTTGCCCACTGCCCAGATACAGCCAATTCATCAAGACAGGGGGATTGCAATAGAGAAAGAGATTAATTCATGCCAAGCCAGCTGAATGGGAGCCTGGAGCTTTATTATTACTCAAATTGGTCCCCTCAAAAGTTCAGAGACTAGGGCTTTTCAAGGATAGTTTGGTGGGTAGGAGGCCAAGGAGTGGGGAGTTCTGATTGGTTGGGTGATAGATGAAATCATAGAGTCGAAGCCATCCTCTTGCACTGAGTTGGTTCCTGGGTGGGAGCCACAGGACCAGTTCATGAGTTCAGGTGGAGCCATCAGTAGTCAGAAATGCAAAAATCTGGAAAGACATCTCGAAAGGTCAATCTTAGATCCTACAATAGTGATGTTATCTGCAGGAGTAGATGGGGAAGTTGCAAATCTTATAACTAATGTGTTAGTCCTACAGAGGCAGTCTGGTCCCCAGGCAAGAAGGGAATTTGTTTTGGGAAAGGGCTGTTATCATCTTTGTTTCAAAGTTAAACTATAAACTAAGTTCCTCCCAAAGTTAGTTCGAGCTGTCCCCAGGAATAAACGGGCAGCTTGGAGGTTAGAAACAAGATGGAGTCAGTTAGGTCAGATCCTTTTCACTGTCATAACTTCCTCACTGTTATAATTTTTGCAAAGATGATTTCATTAGTCGGCTTAGACTGCCTTTTTTTTTTTTTTACTTTTGCAGCCAGCATCACAATTTTCCCAATTAGTGGGCAGAACTAAACCTTTGAGCATTGTTTTCTCTCCCCACTCCTTTTCTTCCTTCTTTGCCCACTCAGTCAATTGTCAAGTCCTGTTGATTTGACCATGATTCCACTTCTCCAGTCACTTCTACATTTCTCCCCAACTTTGTTCCTCCGGTACGCTGTTACCAACCAGTGTCCCTACTCAGTCTCTTTGCCTTGTGCCCCGTCTCCCCGCTGTTTGTCAGTGTGACCTCCCTAAAGCACCAGGCTCCACATGCCGTGCTCCCTCCTGACTCAATTTTAAATGGGTGATCAGAAACAGTCTTAGGATGACAGTGACATCTGATAAAAGCCCAGTAGGAGGGGAGGCAGCAAAACCTGGAGCTATCTGGGGGAAGGGTATTTAAGCAGATGGAATAGCACGTGTAATGACCCTGAGGCAGCTGAGAGCCTGGAAGTGCAGGATGCAGCAGAAAGCTGCTGATGCAGCCAGGCTTCTGGGCCCTCCAGCCTGTCCTCAGCCTCCTCCTCTCATTGAGTCTCCAGCTTTCTCTCTGCCTCACCCCTGCTTCTACCATTTGCTCTGTTAGACAGTGACAGCCTATTGTCTCCTCTCTCTATTACTGACATTGTCCCTGCCAGGACCAACTTACTCTTCACCTGGGCTTCCAGAGAACTCTCTAGCTCTCTGGAAAATCCATCACTTTCTTTCCTGCATAAACTTGATCTATATTTTGATTATTTTTACTAGCTACTTGGGGGCCGAGATCTGATTCAGCCACATGCTTTCTACAGGGCACGTGCTGTAGGTCCAGGGAATACTGAGGTATGTAAGACATGAGCCCCGCCCTAAGAAAGAAGCACTCCGTGGGGAAAAGAGGCACAAAAAGGCATAATTTCAATTTAGCAAATTGATGCAGAGCTGGAGGTCTTCATGTGGAGTTGGGGGTGACTGTAGCCCTGGTCTCTTTTGTACCCTGTAATGTAGAGCAAAGCGCCGTGCGCATCATGGAGCCTCAGGGAGTGTTTATTTAATTGAAGCATTCCTCAGTGACTCTTTTATTAAAAGGGATTTAAAAATATTTAGTTGGCTTACCCCGCCTGAGGTATATGTATTATATCAGGTGCTTGTGCATTCTGCTGGGAGCTCATGGGCAATTGTTGATATATTGTTCCAGAAGTGTCTTCATGGCTATTTCATGTGTTTCATATGTGCATTTTGAATTCCATAAGGATTTCTCTATTCTACTCTTTTATACTCCAGAGAACCATGAACTGACAGACTAAAATCCCATCCACAGCCATACATCAGCATAAGGAGATCAGCCTTTACCCTCTGCTCTCACCTAAGCAGGGACCACTGTGGGCCTGATTTTCTCACCTTGGAGAATGGGAGGATGCAGAGATAATGAAATCACACTCTTGAGGACCTTTTAAAAGCCAACATGGAGATGATAGTAATTATTCACCTGTGCCCTTGAGTAGTCCACTAAAGCATCCTGAAGCCAGCCTCTTTATGTATAAAGTGACACCTGCCCTCAAAGATTGATGTGAAAATAAAGTGAAGCAATGTGTGTGACATGCCACACCCAGTGCCCAGCAGCGGTCAGTATTTAGCAAACAGCAGCCATCATAGCAAATGGCCAGGGTGATTACTGGGCTAGGCCTTGGCAGGCAGTGATAATAAGACAAATTTACTTCTTTCTCTCCAAATTGTCATAGTCTAGTAAGGGAGATGCAAGGAAAAAGATGATTTTAGTGCATATTACGAGTCCCTGGCTAGGGGTCAATGAGAGAGTGGAGGGAGCACCTGGAAGGCTTCCTTGAAAGAAAAGACTTTTCTCCTGAGGGTTGGAGGATGAGTCAAAGCTAGCGAATGATGATGGAAGGGAGGGAGTAGACAGAAAGGATGGCTGTTTTGCAGCAAATTCTAGCATCTTTTATAGCCTGAGAGGCTTAAGTGAGACTATAGACTAGACAGAAAAACAAGGAAATTAATGACATAGTAGAATGAAGAAATTGCTTTCTTTAGGACACTCAGCAAAGGGATGGAGTAGATTAGGCATTGATACAGTAGGACTGATTAGGTAGAAAAAGGTCAGAGCAGAGCTATTTAGCTCAGTAGTTTTCATGCTAATTTCTTAAGGACCTAGTATAACTCTCCCTTCAAATGAAAACTTCCACAGAAGCCCAAAATATAAAGCTGCTGTGGAAGAAAGAACGTGTTGTCGCCAGTGTTTCTTCAGATGGCACCCTGGAAGCCCCCACTTCCATCACAGTGGTCCTTGGACACGTCTAACGGATCCTTTGGATTTCTAGGAGCAGAGCTTGAAAAGCCTTGTTTTCAAGGCAAGGAGATTGATGGCCAGATAGTGAAATGATTTTTCTCAAGGTCCCAAAACTTGTTCTGAGCTAAAACCAGTGACTCTCAGGCCACTGCATTTTTCTCTACTACACAAGAGGTTTCAGACAGGCATGGTGACTCACGCCTTTAATCCCAGAACTTTGGGAGGCCAAGGCAGGAGGATTGCTTGAGGTCAGGAGTTCAAGACCAGTCTGGGCAACATATGGAGACCCAGTCTCTACAAAACTTAAAAAATTAGACGTGGTGGCACGCACCTGTAGTATCAGCTACTCAGGAGGCTGAGGTGGAAGGATGGATTGGGCTTGGAAGGTCAAGGCTGCAGTGAGCTGTGATCATGCCACTGCACTCCAGCCTGGGTGACAGAGTGACACCCTGTCTCAAAACAAAACAAAACAGAAAACAAAAATAACCAACAGAGTTTCCCAAAGTATCTTCTACCATGAGGTTGTCTATACCTTTCTATGACTCTGGGATCGCTAGTCTTTCTACTATGGCTGACCTAGTAATCTTGATCAGGAGCTGTCTTTACCCCAACAGGAGAAAAAAGGCAAATTGTCCAAGGATATTAGTGATGATGGTCTCCTAAAGCTCAGATTGCCTGGCAATGGATGGACTAGGAGCAAGAGCTCCCTTTTTCTAACAGGAGGACCTAGGCATTAACTCAACTTCCCACGGGAATGAAATTCCCTCTCTCAGCAGCCTGAATCTACCTTTTCACAAGGTGTGCAGATGCTAACAGTTGGCACTCTCAGATAACACCCTACACAGCTGGCATTTACACACAGGCTGCCTGGCACCTCGATCTTGCCTGTGTCTATCCTGCTCTGGGCCATTCTGCTTCCCCTATGAGTAGAGTTCTGGAGCGTAACTCCATGGTCTGACCCACAGTGCTTTGACCCACAGGTACCATGGATCTTCTTTTGCTAGTGTTGATGTGTATGTTTCTCCAAGAAAGGCCTCACTTCACCCCACCACATGCTACTGTAGTGTTTGCCTTCTTCCACTTTGACCCCTTCCTCCATTCCATTTTCTTGCCTTTCTAGTTGGCATTTCCAGTAGAAACTAGGGGTGAAACACAGTCAACAGGTTCTCTGCTGGAGAAGTTTTCCCTCTCTTTTCTTTTCATCTTGCCCATCTTTGAAGGGACGCATTCCTTCCATGCTGTCCCCTGCAGACCCTTTTTTGAGCACTGTTCTCAGATGACCAAAACCCCTCAGGTGTAAGCACTCTAGAGTGAAGATGGCAGAAGTGGGCTGGGGGAAGCTTCTAGTTGACTCACACATGACTCCTCTCAGATACCCACCACAGAGTGAACTCTTATTCCTCTGTACATAATTGGTTACTTATGTCGCTATATTCTCAATCATAACATAAACTGAAAAAGCAGGGACAATATTTGTTTTGCCCATTACTGTACAGCAGACCTAGAGTAATCCAAAGTCACTGCAGTGGCCTGCAAGGCCCTTCCAATTTGGCCGCCACACTCCACTTTACTGTCCCTTGCTTCCTTGTCCTCACTCAGCTCCAACCTTTTGCTGCTTCCTGAAATCCCAGGACCACCACTGCCTCAGGGCCATTGCACGTGCTTTTCCATTTGCTTTAATGGACTTCCCCCAGACAGTTCTGGATTTTGCTGCCTCCCTTCCTACTGGGCCTTTGTCAACTGTCACTCTCACCGTAAGACCATTTCTGACCACTCATTTAAAATTGGTACCAAACATCCCCCCTACCCTGCTGACTTAATTAATTTCTCTCTAAAGCACTTACCATGCATTGATATGCTATTTATTTCACTTGTTTATTGATTTTCTTTTTCCCTCTACTAGACGGCAAGCTCTCTTAGGGCACAGGTTTTCGTATGTTGTCTTCATCGTCTCACCCCGATGCCCAGAACAGTGCCTGGCACATAGTATGTGTATTAGTCCATTCTGACGCTGCTATGAAGAAATACCCATGACTGGATAATTTAGAAAGAAAAGAGGTTGAATTAACTTACAGTTCTGCATAGCTGGGGAGGCATCAGGAAACTTAAAATCATGGCTGAAGGCTCCTCTTCACAGGGCAGCAGGAGAGAGAATGAATGCCAGTGGGAGAAATGCCAGATGCTTATAAAACCATCAGATCTCTTGAGAACTCACTCACTATCATAAGAACAGCATGGGGGAAAGTGCTCCCATGATCCAGTTGCCTCCACCTGGTCCCACCCTTGACACTTGGGGATTATTGCAATTCAAGGTGAGATTTGGGTGGGGTCACAGAGCCAAGCCATATTAGTCGTTGTTGAATAAACATCTGTTGAATTAACACATGAATCATATTGAGAATGAGAGCAGGCTCCAGGCTTCATTGCCATTTCTGTTTCTATTTTCTCAGGGCTTGGGGACCTAGCTGTATAAGAACTGCCATGGAAGACCAGTGTCAACATGTTTATTCTTTTTCACATTGGTCTCCTTTCATTTCTTACTAAACCACCTAAATAGGCTTTATGTTTGAGAACTGCCTTCCTTCCCAGCAGCACTTAGTGAAGAAAAATATTTATTTGGGTTTGATGTTGGCAATACATCAAAATCCAATAATCATACCATAGTGCAAATGCATTAAGGGGTGTGAGATCTATAATGTAATAACATGTAATCTGCACATCAGGATCACAAAGGCAAATCTATAATTTCATTTGATTTATTTTCTTAAAATGTGACAGTCCCACATGTTGCTTGAAATGATGGAAGTTGGGACAAACAGAAACTCAGGAGATTTATGAGCTGTGTCAGCCAAGACTTGGGGATTCCTCCTTGGTCTGTGCTTGGAAGATCAGCCTGAACAATTTCCTCTTTTACAGCAGCAATATCTTGTCTGCATTCAGGAGAAAGACCCCCAACCTGTAAACATATTAGCAGGCGTGTTCTCTTTATGAGTGTGTAAATTTCTCCGCAGTGTGTGCCTCCTGGGTCTTGGGGACCTGTTTATTGGTGTGAGCCATTCTGAGGCTCGAATTGACAAGCCTGTGTGGGAGAAAGCTCCAGTGTGGTCTAGACTTGTGCCAAGTGGAAGGTGGTGGACAGTCTGGGAGATTTGAAAAAACAGCATTAGACATTTTCTCTGAATAGTGGGCAGGAGTCTGCTCAAATGAAATAAAACAAAACCGTTTCAAAGGCCTATGAGTTGTGGCCCAAGGGTCAGCACTAGACAGATTCAGACTTACCAAAGCCATCCAAGAGGCTTTTTCACCCCAACGGAAACTTAGATTCCCCCTCCTCCCTCCACATGGTCTCTCTTTCTCCCCAGGGTTACCCTGTCCTATCACTGCCTCAAGTTGGCTTTTGCTTGACGAGTGACCTTATGTTAAAAGCAACAATAACCGTTGTTTATTGGAAGCTGGCTCTATGGCATACATTTTTCAATACCATCTCATTAACTGCCCTGCAAGGCAGGTGTGCTGGTCTCAGATTTGTTCAGGGGGAACTGGAGGCTCAAGGAGGTTAATGGCTGAGAAAGTCAGCATTAAAGCTAGGATTTGAGCCCAGGCCTGTGTGGTTCCGAAGTCTTTGCTCCTTCCACTTGGTCATTTTAGGATCACCAGACTTGTCATCAGTCCTGTCCTTAGCCCTGTGCCTCCAGGGCCCTTGCTCTGGTCTCCTTGCTTAGGAGGAACTAGAACAGGCCTGTTTCCTGTCCAACCCCTCCCCACATCTTGGCTGCCCATGGGACATGACCATTTGGATCTCATATCCCTTCTCATAAGAACAATTTCTAGGTCCTTGCCCTGCCCCAGGTCTCCTCCTTAAATGGCTCTGAGCCCACTCAGAAGGCCTGCATAGTCCTGTTTCAAGGGTCTATTGGTGTCCATCCCTAGGCCCAAAGGGTGACATTTAGATGGTAGAGAAAGTGAATGGAACCAAGCTATGTGGTCTGGGGTATTCACACACATGCACACAGGGCCTCTTGTCAGGAAGGTTAGAACCAGGTATGGGAAGAGAAGGTGGCTGGGCCACAGTCTGGTTGTCTCCCTTGTACTCTAGCTGTAGGGCCTACAAATGCCATCCTTCCCATTTCATCTTCATATTCTGAGTATATGCAGCCTCTGTCCAGGTGCTGTTGAATCTGTTCTGTTGATATTGACAACAATGCCAGGAGACTGGAGGCATGGGAGAAGGAGGGGAGAATTCACAGGGATAACCACCTACAGGCCTGTCCTGTGCTCTCCGTCCCTTGCTTGCCCTGATGCTTAATGCTCCATACAGCCCCTCTTCTTCCCCAGCATCCTCCCTGCACACACCATGAAATCGACTTGTATCTCAGGGCCAAGCTCTCTGAACCTTGCTCCTACCACCATACCTCTACAGTCTTCCTTCATGGGCTGGCTGTGTATTACCTACTGGTCAGATCATAGGCAAATGTGGCAACTGAGGGAAAGACCTGCAGTAACTAAGCACCAAGCCCCTTCTCATTGTGCCCCTGGCTGTCCCCCACAGGGTCCACAAGGACCTGGGCTCTCATGAAGCAGTAGCATCTGGCTACCAGGAGGCCTCTTGAACCGCAGACAAGGCTCCTCTTGGAGTGAAAGACACTCTTGAGGATGTGGGGTGTGGAGGACAGTCAGACTCGGCTGGCAGATCAAGGCTTTCCCCAGGTGGCCTCCCTCTTACCTGTCCACCTGCATCTCCCACCAGTCCCCAGGTCAGTGCAGCCCCAGCTGGACTGGTTTCTTCATGGGCCAGTCCACACAGATGGCCTCTGTCAAACTCTGTGTCTTGCTTATACCATTTTCCCTATTGAGAATACCCATTCCATTTCTTCCGTTTTGTGTAAGTTTTATCCATCCTCAGAGCCTTTGTCAGTTGGAAGTTATGACATTTGAGGTATGCTTTAAAAACCACAGTAAAAAGACAAAAGAGAAAAAAGGTGTTAAAGCTGACTTTAAATATGAAGGATCATCACGGTGGGAGAGGCAGCAGACCTGGTGTATGTGGCCCCAGGAGGCCAACCAGAGCCTCCAGGGAAACAGAGCTCAGATCAATGTGAGAAAGAACCTCTGAGTAGGCCTGGGCAACATTGTGAGACCGCATCTCTACAAAAAATGTTTAAAAAGTTACCCAGGCATGGTGGTGTGGGCTTGTAGTTCCAGCTCCTTGGGAGGCTGAGGCAGGAGGATATCTTGAGCTCTGGAGGTTGAGGCTGCAGTGAGCTATGATCACCCACTGTACTCCAGCCTGGGAGACAGAGCCAGTCCCTGTCTCTAAAAATAAATAAATAAAATAAAAATAGAAGGAACCTCCAAGTATGAGAAAAACTCGAATATAGAAGAGACTAACTTAAACATTATCAAGTTTCTGGTCAGAAACTGGCTATGTTCAACCAGGGTGTCATGCTGTGAGGCTGATGAAGATGAGATACAAGCTCCAAATGTGGAGTTGGTCTAAATGGCTCCTAAGATCCCTCAAACTCTGATATCCAAGCTTTTGTAGTCTCACCACCTCAGGAAAGTCTTCTTTATCCACCACTACCTTCAGAAAATTTATTTCTCTGGGCACCTTAGAACTGGAACCTCTATATTTAGTCCTTATTATTAGTTACCCTATCTATTATTAGTTATCCTATGTAGATTAAAAACTTTCTGAAGGGCCAGGCATGGTGGCTCACCCTGCAATCCCAGCACTTTAGAAGGCTGAGGTGGGCAGATCACCTGAGGTCAGGAGTTTGAGACCAGCCTCACCAACATAGTGAAACCCTGTCTCTAATGAAAAAAAAAAAAGATACAAAAATTAGTTGGGCGTGGTGGTGCACACCTGTAGTCCCAGCTACTTGTGGGGCTGAGGCAAGTTTGTATTTTTCAGATTTAGAAACAAATGGCAAGAAGCTCAGTCAGCCCTCTGGGATGCACAGCTGGGTCCAGAGCTTCTTCCTGCTGCTGGTGCCTCCTCTGGAGCAGGGGAAGAATCCCTTGAACCTGGGAGGTGGAGGCTACAGTGAGCCGAAATGGCGCCACTGCACTCCAGCCTAGGAGACAAAGTGAGAATCTGTATCAAAAAAAGAAAAAAACAAAAAACAAAACTCTCTGAAGTTAGGGAGTTTTTAAGTTATTAAGAAAATATCTTAGATAATTTTCCCCCTGTCTATAGTAGGGTGTGTCAATAAATGTATCTTTCTAAAACAACTGTTTCGGATTGTAGAATTTCTTTACACTTATTAAAGAGAGTTCATAAAGTGCCACAAAATGTCAGACATGACATAAAGATCATCCATAATCCCATCATCCAGGAATAACCACAGATAAACACATTCATGTACTTCTTTTCAGTCTTCAATGAATACAGTATTTATTTTTTGAAGTGATGATCGTGAACTTCAGGGGAAGTTTGTACTTTTCAGATTTAGAAACAAATGGCAAGAAGCTCAGTCAGCCCTCTGGGATGCACAGCTGGGTCCAGAGCTTCTTCCTCCTGCTGGTGCCTCCTCTGGAGCAGGGGAAGGGAAGGGCTCTTAAATTGCTATGGGTACTGACTGTTCCAGGTACAGTACCAAAGAAGCACCTGAGAAAGTGTCCTTTTTACAGATGCTGTTTGCCTTCCAACTCTAAGATGTTACTCATGGTCAAACGAGCTCTCATTCCCTACAATTACCAGGGGGTGTCCACGGGGAGGATTAACCTGGCTGGAAATGTGTGTGTGCCTATGTGTTTTCCTTTCTCCCTAACTCACGGAGAGCTTGGCAAGGCCAGGGGAGAGGCAGCTGAATATTTTTAGCCCCTTGTTCCTCCGAATGGATTGTGCATAACAAAAGAATGCTAATGCTCAGTGTCTTTATGAAAGCACTCGAGTTCATCAGCTTTGCAAAGAAGTGAAATTAAATCAAGATTTAATTGGGATATGCATGTTTTATTCATGCTACTAACCACAGGAGAAGCCAGCAAGCTGAAGGTAAAAAAGAGGGGAAAAAATCTTTTGAAAAGTTGTTTCTCTCTGATTAAATAGATATAGTTTCCAACTTCAAAGGGAGTAGGCCTTTAATGTATTTTAAATGCTCAACTATGCTTGGCCTGGCCAGCTCTGCTGCTGGTGGGCAACAGCAACCCAGGCATGCCCTGCTCCTGCCTACATGTCCTAACGTCCAAAAAACAGGTGTGTAGCTCCTGGTCCTACCTTCTGTGCTTCAGTATGGTGCCCTTCGAACAGTTGTTCCAGGACCCTGGGGAGGGAGAGGGTGGTTGCAGCTCAGAGGATGTACAGTTAGCCATTGGAATCTGAGCAGCCCCTACAGCCAAAGTCTGAAGGACAAATAACACTGAGGAATATGACTTTTTCCATTCGTCAGATATTTCTCTTTTCTAAGGGAACATGTATTGAGTATCAAACTATGTTAACTACAAAGATCAGGCAGTCCCTGCCTGAGCCTCTTCCACCTAATGGGATAGGACCAGAGATTAAACTAAGGCCTGAATACCATGGGAAAAAAAAACAGAGAAAGGCAAAGTTTGCTGGAAAGTCTTATTATGCTCTGAGAGACCAAGGGAAGGAGCAATCCAACAGGGAGACAAAGAAAGCCTTATGAGTAGGTGGCATTGGAGCTAGGTTGGAAGAATGTCTAGAATTTCTGAATGTATAAACGAAGAGTAAGTATTCCAAACAGTGAAACCCTGAGTCAAGTTGCTGGAGATGGAAATGTTGGAGGATGTTTAGGGGAAGGCGGAGTCTGCTTGGCTGTGGATTTTAGTACATATGGTGCAGTGGTGAAACAGTCTGGAAACAGAGGTTGACACAAGAGCATAGAGAGCCTTAAACTCGGGGTGAGCAGTTTGTAAAGTGAGTGGACTGGTTAAAGTTTTGGGGATAAATTGCTCTTTATATTAATAAATTTAGGGCCCCAAAGAATGAGAAAAGATTTTCAAATGATTTGGTCACAGGATTGCCCCTCCTGTGGCATACCACCTCTTGTGACCATGACAGACATCATTAATTCATTCGGGCACTCTTTTCTTCTAAGCCAGAAGGAATCTTGCAGTCTTTTTGAACAAAGCAAACCAGTAGCCACTGCTAGATTCTAGCCATCAGAGTCTTTTTCTGCTACTCTTGTGTATTTCATGCAATGAAATGTGGGTTCTTCGGACCTAATTACTCATTGAGAAAAAACTACAAGTCCTTTTAAAAGTATCAAATGGATAATAAGATAGTATGGAATTAGGAGGAAAGTTGTTTAAGGAAACAAATGAGAGGTAAAGGCAACCCAGAAGACATTTTTTTTTTTTTGCCCTAACAACATTGGCCAATTTAGGGAATTTTGAACTTTTGTTTTGAGGTCATCATGGACATATGGTAACAGAAATCAAAATTGGCCAATGATTTTAGTTCCAAGGACAATGTCAGACTATAATATTTCCATCAGCTGAGTAAATAAATCCCTTATTCCTGAAAGGGGAATGTCCAGTGCAGCACAGCATTCATTACACCATGTTTGAAATTTTTAAAAGTGTAAATATACTCGTATGAGCAGGAAACTATAAAAATTGACACAGTGGAGTTTTTTAAAATAGAACTTCTGAAAATAAAACTCCAATTACTAAATTAAAAAAAAACCTAAAGGATTAATTTAACCTGCAGATTAAACACAGCTAAGGAAAGAATTAGTAAACTGGAAGATATGCCAGAAAAAATTAGTCTACATGTGCCATAAAGAGATAGAAAGGTGGAAAAATGCAGATGAGGAGTTAAGTGGTATGCTGGATATAGTGAGAAGAGCTAGCATATATTTAATCAGATTCCCAGGAAAGGAGAGAGAGATAGGGCAAAAGCAATATTTGAAGAAATCTTGGGTAAGAATTTTTCAGGAACAATGAATGATATGAAACTGTAGATTCAAGAAGCCTTAAAAATCTCAATCAGGATAGAGAAAACATTGACACATAATAGTGAGAACAGAGAATATCCTAAACAAAGAAATGTTTTTTTTTTAATATGGAATTTCACTCTTGTTGCCCAGGCTGAAGTGTAATGGCACAATCTTGGCTCACTGCAACCTCTGCCTCCCGAGTTCAAGTGATTCTCCTACCTCAGCCTCCCAAGTAGCTGGAATTACAAACATGTGCCAACACGCTCAGCTAATTTTTGTATTTTTAGTAGAAGCAGATTTTCACCATGTTGGCCAGGCTGCTCTCAAACTCCTGACCTCATGTGATCCACCCACCTCAGCCTCTCAAAGTGCTGGGATTACAGACATGAGCCACCACGTCCAGCCAGAAGAAATCTTAATAGCAGTTATAAGAGACAAACAGATTGTCTTCAAATGAATGAGTTAGACTGATTGCTGACTTCTCAACAATAATAATGGAAGTCAGAAGGCAAGGGAATAAGATCCTCAAGATATTGACAAAAGTTAATAGCTGATGAATATTCTATACCCACGAAATATATCTTTTAATAATGAGAACAAAATAAAGACTATTTATTTATTTATTTATTTTTTGAGACAGAGTCTTGCTCTGTCCCCCAGACTGGAGTGCAGTGGCTCAATCTCAGCTCACTGCAAGCTCCGCCTCCTGGGTTCATGCCATTCTCCTGCCTCAGCCTCCCTAGTAGCTGGGTCTACAGGCTCCCACCACCATACCCAGTTAATTTTTTGTATTTTTAGTAGAGATGGGGTTTCACCATGTTAGCCAGGATTGTCTCGATCTCCTGACCTCGTGATCCACCCAACTCTGTCTCCCAAAGTGCTGGGATTACAGATGTGAGCCACCATGCCTGCCAAGACTTTTTAATATAAGTAAAACAGAGTTTGTCATCAAGAGACCCTCAGTAAAAGAAATTCTTAATGACGTATTTCAGGAAGAAAGAAAATGATTGTAGATGGAAGGGTTGAAATACAAAAAGTAATCAAGAGAAAGACAACCTTTCAGCTATAAATAAGTGGGTAAATCCAAATGAACATTGAATATACAAAAAATAACAATAAGACCCCGTGGCTTACATTTAAAAGTATAATTAATGGAGCTAGGGTCCTTATATTATCTGATAAGGTAAAGGTATTCACATCTGGCTAGATAATTTAAGCATACATTTTGTATTTTTAAGATGGTATTGGTCACAAATTAGTGCAGAAAAATAGAGGCAAAGTACTTCAAGAAGAAAATAATTTAATGTTGGGAATTAGAAGCTTGTAAAATCATTGGGAAACTGGAGGTACGAAAGTTAGAGGGCTGCTTCTAGGCTTTTGGCTGCATCACTACAACACAATCCGGAAGTCAAAAGGCTGCCATTGCTACCCAGAGGAGAGTCAATTGCAAAAAATACTTGGTGATATTACAGCTTTTCCACATCTTGAAGCTGGTGACTGGCAATGGAATCCTATGTTCAACTACTGCAAACATTCATGTCTTCCACAACCCGCACATCAGCTGTCATCACTGTCAAAGAAAAAAGGGTCGTTTCCTCCTCCCTGCTTTCCAATCATACATGAGTATATTTCATCAGCAGAACATAAATTGCATTTCAAAACTGGTGTCAAGGAGCCTAAGAAGTGTAGTGAAATTTCAGCTCTTGAGATACAGGGAAGAACACGGAGGATGGTGGAAATTAAAGATGATTGCTAATAAACATGATCCAGTCCAAAAGAATAAAAACAATATCATCCAAAAAAGTAAATTTTCTACTTTTTTTGTAGAATTTTAGGTTTTACATTTACTTCTAAATTTCATTTTGAGTTATTTTTTGCATATGGATTGAAATTCATTTTTTTTTGCGTATGAATATCCAATTGTTCCAGCATCATTTGTTGACAAGGCTATGCTTCCTCCACCAAATCATCTTTGCACCTTTGTCAAAAAAATCAGTTTTGTGTGTGAGATTTTTAGACTCTATTATGTTCCACTGACCTATTTGATCTATTCATCTATCCTGATACCAATACCTCACTATCTTGTTTACTGTAGCTTTATATTGAGTTTTGAAACAGGTATCATTAGCTTTCCAACTTTGCTCCTCTTTTAAAAATTTATTTTGATTATTCTACATTCTTTACATTTCCATGTGATATTTACAATCAGCTCATCTATATCTACAAAAAAACCTTTTGAGATTTTAAATAGGGATTGTGTTGAATCTGTCTGATGATAATTGACAGTTTAACAGCATAGATCCCTTAAACTGATGCACAAGGTACATCTTTTCATTTATTTAAAGTCTTCTTTAATTTATTTTGACAATGCATTGTACTTTTCAGTGGCAGGTTTTGCATATCTTTTGTCAGTTTTATTCCTATGTGTTTCATATTTCTTGCCATTTAGAGTGTGTGTGTGTATATAAGTTTCTGGTTGTTCATGGTTAGTATATAGAAACACAATTAAATTTTGTACATTAGACTTGCAACTTGCAGCCTTGCTAAAGTCACTTATTAGTTCCTGTACAATTTGTTTTACATGTTATACCCAATTTTCTGCATAAATAATCATATTGTATGTGAACAAAGACAATTCTACTTCTTCCTTCGCAAACCGGATGCCTTTTATTTGCTTTTCTTGCCTTATTTCACTGGCTGGAAATTTCAATATGCTATTGAACAGAAGTGGTAGAATGAACATTCTTGTCTCTTTCCTGATTTTAGAGGGAAAAATTCAGCCTTTTCATTATTCTGCTGGTTTTTTGTTGATGCTCTTTATCTGAGGAAAGTATCTTCTAATTATCAATTTGCTGAGAGGTTTTTGTAAACAAATCAGAAAGAGATGTTGAATTTTTGTCAAATGATTTTTATGCACCCATTGGGATAATTCTATAGTTTTTCTGTTTTGGCTTGTTGATATGATAAATTGTATTGATGCATTTAAAAATGTTAGATCAACCTTGCCTTTATGGAACAAATTCTATTCAGTCAGGATGTATTATTGTTTATTTTATGTGTTAAAATGTTGCTTAAAATTATGGCATCTATGTTTATGACAGGTATTCTGTAGTTTCCTTTTCTTGTAATGTTTTTGTCTGGATTTGGTATCATGGTACTGTTGGATTCATAGAATGAGTTGCGAAGTATTCCTTCTTTTTCAATTTTCAGGAAAAGTTTGAATAGAATTTGTCTTATGTCTTCTTTAGTGTTAAGCAGGACCCACAGAAGAAGCCATTTGGGCCTGGGGTTTTCTTTGTTGGAAGGCTTTTATTTATAAACTTAATTTTATTTTTTCTTGAATAAACTTTGGTAGTTTGTGACTGTTAAGAACTGTTGCATTTTATCTAAGTTATCAAATTTATTATCATACAGTTATAATTGTCCTCTATTATCTTTCTAAATCTGCAAACTCTGTAGTGATGTCACTTTTTAATGACTAATATTGGTAGCTTGTGTTTTCTGTTTTGCTTTGTTTTGTTTTTATCTGATCAGGTTGGCCTTATTAATTTTAATATTATGAAATAATATTATTACAGATTATTCATATATATACACACATATTAAAGAAGCTGTTAATTTTGATTTTTAAAATTATTTTGTATTACATTTATTTCCACTATTATCATTTGATTTTATTTCCTTTTTTTCTACTTTTTTCTTCCAGTTTCTTAAGGTAGAAGATGAGGTCATGGATTTGAGATCTTTCTTCTTTTCTAAAATAGGCACTTAGTGACATAAATTTGCTGCTAAGTACTGCTTTAGTTCTGTCCCACACGTTTTTATATGTTGTGTTTTAACTTTCATTTAGTTCAAAATGCTGTTGGCTTTCTCTTTTGGTTTGTCCTTTGACTCATAAGATATTTAGAAGTACGTTACTTTCCTAATTGAGAATTTTCCAGATATTTTTCTATTATTGATTTTTAATTTACTTCCATTTTGGTTAGAAAACATACTTCATGACTTGAATTCCTTTAACTTTCTTGGACTCATTTTATAGCCCAGAATATGATCTATTTTGATAAATTTTCTATATGTCTCTGGAAATAAGGCATATTCTGCTGTTGTTTGGTAGGATATTCTATAGATATCAGTTAAGCCAAATTCTTTAATATTGTTGTTTAGGTCTTCTGTATCATTGCTAATTTTATGTTATTAATATTTGTTTTTTTCAATTATTAAGAGAAGGGCATTGAAATCTCCAACTATGCTTGTGGATTTGCTTATTTCTCATCTCAATTCTATCTATCTTTGCTTCATGTATTTTGAAGCTCTATCATTAGGTGCATACATGTTTAGGATTGTTACATCCTATTAATAAATTGACTCCTTAATCAATTTACTGATTATTGATTGATTGATATGGATAAAGACATAATGGTCTTTATCCATAGTATTATTCTTTGCTATTAGACCTACTTTGTTTAATACTAATATAAGCACTCCAGCTTTCTTTTGACTAGGATTAGCATAGCATACGTTTTCTTTTTATTTATTTATTTTTTTTTTTTTTGAGAGGGAGTTTCACTCCTGTCACCCAGGCTGGAGTGCAGTGGCACGATCTCGGCTCACTGCAGCTTCCGCTTCCCGAGTTCAAGTGATTCGCCTGCCTCAGCCTCCTGAGTAGCTGGGATTACAGGCGCCCACCACCATGCCCAGCTAATTGTTTGTGTTTTTAGTAGGCATGGGGTTTCGCCATGTTGGGCAGGCTGGTCTCGTACTCCTGATCTCAGGTGATCTGCCCGCCTCAGCTTCCCAAAGTGTTGGGATTACAGGCATGAGCCACCACACCTGGCCTAGCATGTGTTTTCTAAGCTTTTATTTTTTTTGTAAATAAAATTTACTATTTATGCTAAAAAAATGGCAAATTAAGAATAGTTGGAAGCCTGTTTAGTTTTATACAATATATTTGCTAAAACCTACAACAAACATCATACTTAATGGTGAAGCTCTAGACGCTTTTCCTTTTTTTTTTGGAAAAAAGTTCTCACTCTGTTACCCAGTCTGGAGTACAATGGCACGATCATGGCTAACTGCAGCCTTGACCTCCCAGACTCAGGAGATCCTCCCACCTTAGCCCCGCAGTACCTGGGACTCCAAGTGTGCACCACCTCACCCAGCTAACTTTTTTTATTTTTTGTAGAGATGGGGTCTCTCCATGTTACCCAAATTGGTCTTGAACTGCTGGGCTTAAGCAATCCTCCCACTTCTGCCTCCCAAAATGCTGGGAGTACAAAGCATGAGCCACCATGCCCAGCCAGCTTTTCCTTTAGAAAATAGGAACAAGACAAATAATTGCACTACCCCAACTTTCACCAGATCAACACTGTAGTAGAGGTTTTGGCCACCACAGAAAAAAAATCTTCCATTCTCTATTCCCTAAAAATGATTGAAAAGGTGGGGGGAAGTCATGATTTAAAAAAATCATGTAACTGTGCACATTATGATATAATCAGTGTGGATTACAGAAAATTCAAAAAGATTCCATAGATACATTTTTAAATTTAGAGAGTTTTAACAAGTTTTCTGCATACAAAACAAGTATAAAAAACATTTGTGTGAATATTTGCACCACCATATATCAAGACTTACTATAAAGATATGATAATTAAGTCAGTATGTATTGGTGCGGGGATAGTCAAATAGAGCAATTACCTAGAATAGCAAGCCAAGCAATAGACTCTTGTACAGTACAGAGGTGAGCCCCGCAGAGTATTTGATAAAAGACAGACTTCTCAAAAATGGTGCCAAGACAATTGAATATATATGGAGAAAAAAATGAAATTAGATTTCTATCTCACATCATAGACTAAAATCAATTTCAGATGGATTAAAGACCTGCTTGTGCAGTCAAAATTATATTGCTTTCTGGAATTTTAGTTCCAGAGCAAGGTGCTATAGATTCACTTTTCCCTGCTCCTCCTTTCTAAATATAACTTAATACACAGAAATTTATTAAACGTAATGATGAAAGGACTCTGAAAGCTGGAAAGAAACAGGTAGACTGGGTAGAGACCTCAGGACTTGAAAAATGGCAACGTGGTGATTTCCCTAGGTTTTAATTTTTTTAATCTTCCAAATACCACTGAACTGGGCAGTGGAGAGGCCTACAGTCCAGAACCAATAAGCAGAGAGAGAAAAAAAAAAAGTGTTCTTTCTCTAGCCAAAGGACCAAGAAAGGGGAAGCTCAACAGAGACAACAGAGATCTAGTGGGGAAACTCATTCCCTGCTCCCTACCTGGGGACCTGGGGACCCTGCTTTTGGACTCATCCATTGGCAGCAGTGGCAGTGGTGAAGACCCAGTCATCTCAATCTCTGCTCCATGACCAGAGCCCTCCTAGTGGATGGTCTTATCTATTTGCCCCTGTAGCCACAGCAATGGTAGCACCAGCAACAAGGGAAGTCCTAGGCCATCCAGCCCCTGCTCCACAAACCAGGCTCAGTGAATGATCTCATACCTTGGCAGCAGTGATGCCCTGGGCTTTCCAAGCCTCTATTATACAATGAAAGTACTGGTAGGTCATCCCATTCACCTTCAGTGGCAACAGCCCTGAAGCCCTGCGTTTCTCTGTCTTCCACCAGTGGCATAGTGAGACCCAGGCCAAGTGTTCCTCTCCTTCTCCTCCACCAAAGGTCCCCCAACGACAGCAGGTAGCCAAAGGAAGTACCTTCTGTACTGCAGACAGTGCTGGCAGGCATTGAGCAAGTGTCATAACAACACTAAGAGAACAAAGCTGGTCAGAATAACATACCAGGGGGCTTAGAAAACTAAAATTTTATTAGAATTAAAGCCACAAAAGTAGGGCAGAACCCATATGCTAAACTTAAAAAGGGTAACTTCCTGCTAACATACATTTACTCAGGATCAAGGGTCACTTCACATAATAACCAAAATGTCCAGGATACAATGAAAAATCCTCCTTCTTACTAAAAATCAGGAGAACCACAATTTGAAAGGGAAAAGACAATCAACAGATGCTGATGCTGAGATGAATTAGATGGTGGAATTATTTGACAAGAATTTTAAAGCACCCCTCATAAAAATGACCCAATATTCGATAACGATTTTTTTGAAACAATGAAAAGATAGAAAAATCTTAGCAAAGCAACAGAAGTTATTTAAAAAAAGAGCCAAACAGAAATCGTAGACCCCAAAAATACAATAACTTAAATGAAAAACACATGCCAGATAGAATCAACAGAGTGGAGATGACAGAGCATAGAATCTATGAACTTGACAAATCAATAGAATTTATTCAATCTGAACAATAGAGAGAAAATAGACGGAAGAAAGGCATGGTCTTAAGGATTTATGTAACAAATACCTAACATTCATATCATTGGAGTCTCAGAATAAGTAATGGTTGAAAACTTTCCAAATTGGCAAAAGACAAAAATTTATAGATCCAAAGGCTAGGTGAACTCCAAATAGAATAAACCAAAAGAAATCCATATCAAGAAACATCATAATTAAACTTCTGAAATCTAATGGCAAAGAAAAAAATCTTAAAAACAGCCAGAGAGAAATGACACATTATCTATAAAAACCCACCAATTAGAATGACAGATGATTTTTCATCTGAAACAACACAGCCAGGAAGAAATGGCATATTTTTCAGTTCTGAAAGTAAGTGTCAACCTTGCATCTTGATGAAATAGACAGTGAAATTAATTTTTTCCCTCAGAAATTAATAAAAAATAGATATCTTCAGAGAAAGGAAAACCAACAGGATATGTTGTTAGCAGACCTATCTTTAAGGACTGGCTAAGGAAAGCTCTCCAAACACAAAGAAAAGGACAATAGAAGGCTAGGACCTTCAGAGAGAAAACAAAAACAACAGAGTGAGCAAAAATGGAAATAAATGTAATAGACTGTCCTTCACTCCATGATTTCTTTAGTCATACTTTATGATTGAAGCAATCATAAAAGTTACATTATCATCTGATATGGCACTCAATATATATAGAGGAAACACTTGAAACAATTATATCTTAATTTGGGAGGCCAAGGTTGGCAGATCACTTGAGGTCAGGAGCTTGAGACCAGCCTGGCCAACATGGTGAAACCTTGTCTCTACAAAAAAATACAAAAATTAGCCAGGTATGGTGGTGCCCACCTGTGATTCCAGCTTCTTGGGAGGCTGAGGTGGGAGAATTGCTTGAACCCAGGAGGTGGAGGTTGCACCAAACTGAGAATATGCCACTGCACTCCAGCCTGGGCATCACAGAGTGAGACCCTGTCCCCACCAAAAAAATTATATTTTTAATATTGGGGGGAGTAAAGGGACTTAAATGGAAATATGATTTCTAAACTTTACTTGAAGTGGCAAAATGTTGACACTAGTAGACTGTCATGTTACATATGTAAAAGGTAATACCTAGAGCAACCACTAAAAAAAAAAAATACAGGCTGGGTGTGGTGGTTGGCGCCAGTAATCCCAGCACTTTGGGAGGCCGAGCTGGGTGGATCATGAGGTGAGGAGATGGAGACCATTCTGGCCAACATGGTGAAACCCTGTCTCTACTAAAAATACAAAAAAATTAGTTGGGTGTGGTGGAACGTGCCTGTAATCCCAGCTACTTGGGAGACTGAGGCAGGAGAGAATCGCTTGAACTTGGGAGGCGGAGATTGCAGTGAGCCGAGATCGTGCCACTGCACTCCAGCCTGGTGACAGAATGAGACTCCGTCTCAAAAAAAAAAAAAAAAAAAAAAAAAAAAAAAGATATACTAAGTATTTTTATAAGTAAATTAAATTGTAGTACTAAAAATGTTAAAGTAACTCACAGGAAGGCGAAAGAAACAGAGGAGGTAGAAACAGAAGGAATAAATGAAAAACAAATAAAATGTCAAACAATTCTCTGCATATCAATAATTACTTTATAAATAAGTATAGAAATTAAAAGTTAGAGGCTGGGTGCGGTGGCTACACCTGTAATCCCAGCACTTTGGGAGGCCGAGGTGGGCGGATCACGAGGTCAGGAGATCGAGACCATCCTGGCTAACACGGTGAAACCCTGTCTCTACTAAAAATACAGAAAATTAGCTGGGCGAGGTGGCAGGCGCCTGTAGTCCCAGCTACTCGGGAGGCTGAGGCAGGAGAATGACGTGAACCTTGGGGGGCAGAGCCTGCAGTGAGCCGAGATCACGCCACTACACTCCAACCTGGGCGACAGCGAGACTCCGTCTCAAAAAAAAAAAAAAAAATTAAAAGTTAGAGATAGGCAGAGTAGATCAAAATATCCCAGCCCAGCTAAATGATCTCTCAAATATCACTTCAAACATATTGACATAGGTAGGATGAAAGTTACAGGAAGGAAAAAGATTTATAATACAAACATTAATCAAAAAAGAAGGCATAGCTATGTTAATATTAGACAAAGTTGACTTCAGAGCAAAGAATATTATGGGGAGCAAAGAAGTATATTACATAATAATTAAAAGATCAACCTGCCAAGAAGATATAGCCCTTCTAAAAGCATATACACAGCACAACAGATCCTCAAAATACATGAAACAAAACTGACAGAATTGAAGTATTGATAGAAAAATCCACAAAACTTGGAATTTGTGAAAGTTGGGAAGTTCAACACTTCACTCCAGCAATTGACAGCACTACCATACAGAAAGTCAGCAAGGATACAGGACTGAATGACACTATCAAACAACAACATGTAACTGGCATGTATAGAACACTTCACTTTTCAACAGCAGAATACATATTCTTTTGAATTGCCATGAAACATTCACCAAGATAGATCATAACCTGGGTCATAAAACAAATCTGAACAAATTTTAAAAAACTGAAACACATAGTGTGCATAGAGTAATATTATTTGGTTGTATATATATTACATTGTTTGCACACATGCTACAACATGGATAAAACTTGGAGACATTAGGCTAAGTGAAGTAAGCCAGTCACACACAGACAACTATTGTATGATTCTGCTTATATGAGGTACCCAGAGCAGTGAAATTTATAAAGACAGAAAGTAAAGTGAGGGTTTCTAGGGGATAGGGTGACTGGGGAATGAGGAGTTAGCATTTAATGGGTTCAGAGTTTCAGTGTGGGAAGATGAAAAAGTTCCAGAGCTGAATGGGAGTCATGGTTGCAGACCAATGTGCATGTGATGCCACTGTACACTCACTGGACACTCACTGTATACTCTCTGTACACTCACTGGACACTCACTGGACACTCTCTGTACGCTCACTAGACACTCACTGGACACTCCCTGGACACTCCCTGGACACTCCCTGGACACTGTACACTCACTGGATACTCACTGGACACTCCCTGGACACTGTACACTCACTGTACACTCTGTATGCTCACTGTACACTCACTGGGTACTCACTGTATGCTCTCTGTACACTCACTGGACACTCACTGGACACTGGACACTCACTATACACTCACTGGACATTCACTGTATACTTTCTGTACACTCACTGGACACTGGACACTCACTGGACACTCACTGAACACTCACTATACACTCACTGGACACTGGACACTCACTAGATACTCATTGTACACTGTACACTCACTGGACACCCACTGTATACTCTCTGGACACTCACTGGACACTCTCTGGACACTCTGTGGACACTCATTGGACACTCACTTTACACTCTCTGGACACTCACTGGACACTCACTGGACACTGTACACTCACTGGACACTGTATACTCTGTACACTCACTGGACACTCACTGTATACTCTCTGTATGCTCACTGGACACTCACTGGACACTCTGGACACTCATTGTACACTCTGTACACTCACTGGACACTGTACACTCACTGGACACTCGCTGGACACTCGCCGTACACTCTGTAAACTCACTGGACACTCTGAACACTCACTGGACACTGTACACTGTACACTCACTGGACACTCACTGGACACTCTGTACACTCACTGGACACTGTACACTCACTGGACATTCTCTGTACACTCACTGGACACTCACTTTACACTCTGTACACTCACTGTATAATCTCTGTACACTCACTGGACACTCACTGGACACTGTACACTCACTGTACAGTCACTGGACACTCCCTGGACACTGTACACTCACTGGACACTCCCTGGACACTCACTGGACACTCTCTACACTCACTGGACACTCTACACTCACTGGACACTCACTGTATACTCTGGACACTCAATGGACAGTCACTGGACACTGTACACTCACTGGACAGTCACTGGACACTCACTGGACACTGTACACTCACTGGACACTCACTGGACACTCCCTGGACACTGTACACTCACTGGACACTCCCTGGACACTCACTGGACCCTCTCTGTACACTCACTGGACACTCACTGGACACTGTACACTCAATATACACTCACTGGACACTCACTGTATACTCTGTACACTCACTGGAAACTCACTGGACACTGTACACTCACTGGACAGTCACTAGACACTGGACACTCTCTGTACACTCACTGGACACTCACTGGACACTGGACACTTACTGGACACTGTACACTCACTGGACACTCCCTGGACACTCACTGGACACTCTCTGTACACTCACTGGACACTCACTGGACACTGTACACTCACTGGACAGTCATTGGACACTCACTGGACACTGGACACTCACTGGACCCTCTCTGTACACTCACTGTACACTCTCTGTACACTCACTGTACACTCACTGTATACTCTGTACATTCACTGAACACTTACTGGACTGTCACTGTACACTTAAAAATCAACTGCACACTTAAAAGTGCTTAAAATGAGATATTTTATGTTATGTATATTTTACCAAAATAAAAGACAAGAGCAAAAATAAAATTTTAAACAAGAAAACAATAGAAATAGAATGAAATAGAGTAGACAGAAACAAAAAGCCAGTTCTTCAAAATAATCAATAAAATTGATAAAACTCTAGTAAGACTGACAAAGATAAAAAGACACAAATTACCAATATTAAGAATTAAACGGGGATATCACAAGATTCTATAATCATTAAAAAAGTGATAAAGGAACAGCATAAATGACCTTACACGTAGAAATTTGACAATTTAGAAGAAACTAACCAGTTTCTCAAAAAACGCAAATTACCAAAACTCAGCCAAGATAAAATAGATAACCTGAGTAGCCCTTTTGCTATTAAGAAAATTGAATATGTAATTTAAAAGCTCTAAATAAACACATCTCTAGGCACAGCTAGTTCCATTGGAGAATTTTACCAAACATTAAAATAATTAACACAAACTTTACGTACTCTCTTCCAGAAAGCAAAAGAGAAGTGCACACTTTTAACCTTATTTTATGAAGCCATTATTACCTTGATATCAAAACCAAAGATGGCACACAAAAAATAAATCTATACACTAATATCCCTTGAACATAAATGCAAAAATTCTCAACAAAATTCTAGCAAATCAAATCCTGCAATGTATAAAAAGAATAATACACTACAACCAAATGAAATTTATTCAAGGTATGCAATCCTGTTTCAATACTTGAAAATCAGTGTAATCCACCCTATCAACAATCTAGAGAAGAAAAATCATATGATTATATCATTTGATGTAAAAAAAGCAATTGACAAAATTCAACATCCATTTACAATAAAAACTTTTAGTATACTAGGAATGGAGGGAACTTCCTCAACCTCATAAAGAACATCCACAAAAAGTCTACAGCTAACATCTTAGTCATGGTAGAAAGCTGAATATTTTTCCTTTCTTATTTCCACTTTCATCACTCTTATTCAACAAAGCACTGGAAGATCTAGCCATGGCAATAAGAAAAGGAAAAGAGATAAAAGGGATACAGATTGGAAAAAGTAAAGAAAACTGTCTCTATTTGCAAATGACATAATAGTCTATATGGAAAAGTACAAGGCATCTACAAAAAAACAAAACCATGCATACACACACCCACACACACACAAAAGAAAACCCACAAAAATCGTAGAACTAATAAGTGCATTTAGTAAGGTCACGGGTTATAAGATTAACATGCAAAAATCATTGCATTTCTTCATACTGACAATGAACAAGTAGAAACCAAAATTAAAAATGCAGTACTATGTATAATTGCTCCAAATAAAACAAAATACTTAGTTGTAGGTCTAACAAAACATGTACAGACTATGTGTGATAAAAATTACAAAATGTTGATGAAAAAATTAAAGACGTGAGTACTTGGAGGGACATATTGTGCTCATGAGTTACATGACTCAACATAGTAAAGATGGCACCTTTCCCTAAATTGATCTATAGATTTAATGAAATTCCTATCAAACTCTCAGCAATTTTTTCGTGGACATACACAAGCTCATATTCAAATATTTATGGAAATAGAAAGTCTGTAGAATAGCCAAAACAATTTTGAAAAAATGAATGAAGAGGGAGAAATCCCTTTTCCCAATGTTAAGTGGTTATCCACTTAACATAGATATCCAATGTTCTATGGCTAGTGTATTCTAGAAAGTGTGAAGTGATAGACACACAAATCAATGCAATGGAATAGGGAACCCAGAAATAGATCCACACAAATATGCCCAACAAATTTCTGAAAAAGGAGCAAAACCAACCAATGGAGAAGGGATAGTCTTTTAATAAAGAGTTCTAAAGCTATCCATAGATATAAAACACACCTCTGCCTAAACTACATGTTTTACATACAAATATTAACTCAAAATGACTCATGGACCAAATTCTAGGAAAAAAGCATAAGAGAGTACCTTTGGGTTCCAAGGCCAAGCAAATAGTTCTTAGGCTTGACACCAAAAGCATGATGCATAAAAGGAAAAAATAATGGGACTTTATCAAAGTTAAAAACTTTTGTATTACTAAAGACCGTATTAAGTATACAAAAAGACAAATATAGACTGGAAGAAAATATTTGCAAACTACATGCCTACAAAGAACTTGTATTCTAGAATACACAAATAACTATCAAAACTCAACATTAAAAAGCCAAACAATCAGGTCTGGGGCGGTGACTGATGCCAGTAATCCCAGCACTTTGGGATGCCGAGGCGGGTGGACCACCTGAGGTCAGGAGTTCGAGACCACCCTGGTCAACATGGTGAACCACTGTCTCTACTAAAAATACAAAAATTAGCTGGGCATGGTGGCGGGCACCTGTAATCCCAGCTACTCAGGAGACTGAGGCAGGAGAATCACTTGAACTCAGGAGGCGGAGGTTGCGGTGAGCTGAGATCATATCATTGCACTCCAGTCTGGGCAACAGTGTGAGACTCCGTCTAAAAAAAAAAAAAAAAAAAAAGCCTAACAATCAAATTAGAAAAGGGGCAAAAGATATGCACAGATATTTCATCAGAGAGCCTACACAGATGACAAATAAATGTGATGTTCAACATCATTAGCCGTTAGAGAAATGCAAATTAAAACTACAATGACAACATTACATACCTATCAAAATGGCTAAGATAAAAAAGAGTGACAGCATCACATACTGACAAAGATGTAGAGAAACTGGATCATGTATACATTGCTGATGGGAATGTAAAAGGTAGAGTCACTCTGGAAAATAACTGCATTTCCTTTAAAATGAAAAATGAACTTAATGTGTGACCCAACTATTGCACACTTAGGCATTTATCACAAAATATGATTTTCACACAGAAGCTTGTATGAGAATATTTATAGCAGCATTATTTGCAATAGCTCTTAACTAGAAACTACAAAAATGACTTTCAATGGTGGAATATTAAATAAGTGGTGGTACACTCATATCATGGTTTACTACTCAGCGATAAAAAAATGAACTATTGATAATGCAACAACTTGAGTAAATCTCAAGGAAATTATGTTGAGATTAAAAAGTCATCGTCGGAAGGATACATGCTGCATGATTCCATTTATATAGCATTTATAAAATATCATAACTATAGAGATGTAGAACAGATTAGTGGTTGCCCAGGGATAAGGATAGAGGGGAGAGAGAGTAGCTAAAAAGGAGTAGCAAGAGGGAGGTTTGTGAGGATGGTACGGCTGAGTATGCATTTGTGCTGGTGGTTCCATGAAGCTGCACATGTGATAAAATTGCATAGGGCTATATAAAGATACCACCATGTATGTATAATGCATACATATGAGCGCATGTATAAATGATGACATCTGAATATGCTCTCGGGATTGTGCCAATGTCAGTTTCCTAATTGTGATATTGTACTGCAGTTATGAAAGATGTTTTCATGGGGAGACACTGGGTGAAGAAGCTAAGAATGTCGCTGAACAGTTTTTAGCAACTTCCTGTGACTATATTTGAAGTAAAATGATTTTTAAAGTTATATTGATAAATTATATTGATGATGATAAAATAGAATACCCTCATGACCTCTAGGTATTGAAGAATTTCTTAAACAAGATAAAAAAAGTAGTAGATATAAAGGACATGTCCTCAGTTTTAAACCCTACTCAACTCCCTACCCCAGTTATTATTATTTATCTTGAAATCTCATTTTGAAATTATTTTCTAGCTTGGCTTCAACAGCAGTATGTAAACACATCTAAATTTTCCTTCTATCTCTCTGATTTATTTATTCCTTCATTAAATAAACTTACTGAGCACCTATTATGTGCCAGGAACTCTTTTAGGTGTGGGATATATAGTGGTGAACAGACTACTCACAACAGAGGAGCTTCCTGTCCTGTCAGGGCTCTGGTGTTGTACCAGCCGGTGGGTGAGTCGATAAAAAATGGATAAGCAAATAAGTCAAATAGAGTAGCATGTCAGTTGGTGATAGTGCTATGGAAAAAACTGATCGTGGGATGGGAGGAAGGATGCTAGGAAGGGATCAGGTACTGTACACAGTTTTAAAGAAGATGCTAGGGAAGTCCTCATGGACCAGGAGTCTGTTGAGCAAAGAATTGAAGGAGGTGAAGAGTATGCCATGATGCTCTCTGGGGGCTATGCTCGGAGAAGAGGGTGGAAGAAGAGGTAGATGTGACATGAATGGAGTGAAAGAAAGAGTAATAGGAGTGAGGTCAGAGTGGTCATGAGGCCAGATCCCTGTGAGAGCCTTGTAGACCATAGCAAGGACCTTCATTTTACTCTACATCAGTGGTGGAAATACGTGGTTCCCAAATAGCAATATCAGCACCCTCCAGGGAATGTGTGAGAAATGCAGGTTCCTAGGCCCTGCCCCATACCTACTGAATTAGAAACTCTGGAAGTGGGGCCAGAGATCTGTTTTAACAAGACCTTTAGGTGATTCTGATCCACACTAAAGTTTTCAAACGCCACTCTAAATGTTGTGAAGGCCACCTGAGAGCCCTGAGCAGAGGCATGAACTACCTTCTGGCTTCTGTGTTTAAAATACTTTGTAGAGGGGGGAAAGATGCAAGGAAGACCAGGTAGGAGGCTACTGCAGTTGTCCATGGGGGAGATGATGGTGACTTGGCCCAGGCCCATAGTGGTGGAGATGGAGAGGGGGTTATAATCAGTGGTCTCCAAAGGCTTCTCTCTCTGTATAATCTTTTTTTGTTTTGTTTTGTTTTGTTTTTGGGACGGAGTCTCGCTCTGTCGCCCAGATTGGAGTGCAGTGGCGTGATCTCGGCTCACTGCAAGCTCTGCCTCCCAGGTTCTCACCATTCTCCTGCCTGAGCCTCCCGAGTAGCTGGGACTACAGGCACCCGCCACCATGCCCGGCTAATTTTTTTGTATTTTTAGTAGAGACAGGGTTTCACCATATTAGCCAGGATGGTCTCGATCTCCTGATCTCGTGATCCACCCGTCTCGGCCTCCCAAAGTGCTGGGATTACAGGCGTTAGCCACCGCGCCTGGCCGTATTTTTTTTTTTTCTTTTTTTTCTCAGTACAGACAGGGTTTCACCGTGTTAGCCAGGATGGTCTCATCTCCTGACCTCATGATCCGCCCACCTCGGCCTCCCAAAGTGCTGGGATTACAGGCGTGAGCCACCATGCCAGGCCATAATTTTCTTTAGAGAGCCTGCCTATATGGTTTCACATGCAACTTTCAGAAAAAATGCTCAGATCCATGTATTAGCACTCTGCAGAGCTCTGTCTCCTGTATTCAGCTGCCTCCAGGATATTTTGTAGAGAAATATCACCACACTTTCACTTACTGAGAATACTCTGCCTACTTCAGTATCCACAGTATATACTCTTATACTGATATATTCCTTTAAAAAATTAAATTTCCATTTCTCTATTCTGTTATCCCTGACATGACTCATGAATTCCCTCACACTTAGGATCAGGTCAGTCTGACCCCAAAACCCATTTTTAAAAAACTTATTTTATCATCTGTTTTCCCAAGAACCCAATGACAAACTTCAGTTTAGGATGATATGTCTGTCATTTAGAAAGGGTAAGGTGTGCCTTCCTAAGTTTATGTAGGCCTGGTTTCATGGAATCACTACAACCAATGACTGCAAGCCTCTAGCTGATTCACTTATAAATACTGACAGTGACAGGTGATGAGAATGAAATGAATGTTTAGAAGAATTACATGCATCTCTGTTTATTTGCTCTTTTTGAAATTAATCTTAGAGTGTTTACAACATATAATGCTAAACACATGTCACTTATTCTGAACTTAACACAGTGCATGGAAATGTTTATAAGAATTAGAGGCACTTCAGAGTCTGTCACAGGGATAGACTATTGACACAATCTGTTTATGCCTTCTGAAACCTGTATTTAGTCACGGAAAACTCTGTGTTGCTCTTTTATGAGTTCAATCGCTGAAATCATTATTGTTGCATCTGAGAAGAATGAGGTTGTTAATTGTGTTTACAATAAAATATGTGAATAAATAAGAGAGGTTAATATTTTTTATAATTGTTAGGATTTGCTAGAACAGCATTCACTCCACTGGGTACAACTAGTAGATTCTATTTCTCTTGTCAAGTTTTATTGATTGTTAATGACTGCTTGGAGCTCTGTGAGAAGAATTCTGAGACCGAGTCTGGTTTCAGCAAAAAACAGCATCGTGTTTGGTAGGAACCATCCACCACCAGTACAGGTGAAAGAGGTGATGGCTCCAGAGACTCATATTGTCTAACTTTTCCACAGAAGCAAAAGAGAATCAGCTTTATCGGGATATCCAGCAATCATTCAAAATTTCCGAAACCAGTTGTTTCTCTTGGCCCTCCGCTCTGAACATTCTCATTTTTCTCTACTTTGCATTTCTCTCATGACCCCTATGCCCTTCTAGATGCCATTCCATCTGGCATAAAATTCTCTGTTTGGCTCTTAGTATCCTTATGATCTCTCCGCACCCCTCCTACACATATTATAGCCCATAGCTCCTGTGTGCCTAGCCTTCATTCAGGTTAGCCTGGTTTCCTTGGAGTCCCATGTGGAAATATTGATAACTTTGTCTGTTAGCATTTGTTTAAAGCTACCATTTCAGTCTGAAATGTCCACCCCCTTCCTCTCTGTCAATTCCATTTCGATCTAACTTTTAAGAGGTGGTACATATCCTTTATAAACTATGGAGTCTTCCCTGAATTTCCAAATTTTTATTTCCTAGAGACCTTGGCTTAGCTTCAGAAGACAGAAACAGATAAGAACAGATACTACACTGGATCAAAAAGTGGGCGAAGGATATGAACAGACACTTCTCAAAAGAAGACATTTATGCAGCCAACAGACACATGAAAAAATGCTCATCATCATGGGCCATCAGAGAAATGCAAATCAAAACTACAATGAGATATCATCTCACACCAGTTAGAATGGCGATCATTAAAAAGTCAGGGAACAACAGGTGCTGGGGAGGATGTGGGGAAATAGGAACACTTTTACACTGTTGGTGGGACTGTAAACTAGTTCAACCATTGTGGAAGTCAGTGTGACGATTCCTCAGGGATCTAGAAGTAGAAATAACATTTGACCCAGCCATCCCATTACTGGGTATATACCCAAAGGAATGTAAATCATGCTGCTATAAAGACACATGCACACATATGTTTATTGTGGCACTACTCACAATAGCAAAGACTTGGAACCAACCCAAATGTCCAACAGTGATAGACTGGATTAAGAAAATGTGGCACATATACACCATGGAATATATGCAGCCACAAAAAAGGTTGAGTTCATGTCCTTTGTAGGGACATGGATGAAGCTGGAAACCATCATTCTCAGCAAACTATCTCAAGGACAAAAAACCAAACACTGCGTGTTCTCACTCACAGGTGGGAATTGAACAATGAGAACACTTGGACACAGGAAGGGGAACATCACACACCGGGGCCTGTTGTGGGGTGGGGGGTGGGGGGAGGGATAGCATTAGGAGATCTACCTAATGTAAATGACGAGTTGATGGGTGCAGCACACTAACATGGCACATGTATACATATGTAACAAACCTGCACGTTGTGCACATGTACCCTAGAACTTAAAGTATAATAAAATATATATATATATAAAAAGAAGACAGAAACAATGTTATCTTTCTTAAAGCAAAAAAATAGACAAAATATGGATAATTTGGTAATGTTGGAAAATTTCAAGGAGCATGTTCTAGGCTAGGCTTCTAGAAAGACTTGCAAAATACCGCAGAACTTATCTTTGGAAACTGCTCCGTCTGCCCAATCAGAAACGTAAGGAATCGGGAAATACCCTAGAATACTTAGTTTTAGGGACATGCCATTTTAGGTAATGTTCAGGGATCAGGGTACTACTACCACTATAACTTGTATTAAGAGCCATATCACTCTTGCAAGATCACACCTGAAGAAAAAACTGGATGACCTATGCCGAGTATGTTGGCATTCAAGAAGCTAATGAATGGACTCAGGAACATTCTGCATAGACCCCAGGGCTCTTGGTCATGCTTGCCAGCAGAAAACAGTCAATGCCTGAAAGAAGGCCCTACCTCTGCCTTTCAGATCTTACATGAGTGGGTCGGCTTAGCTGAACCTAAATCTCAAAACCCTGATGAAGGAGCCTGAGAGATGTAATTTTTTAGTCTTTCTAACAACTGCAATACAGAAAGGCACACCAGAAAGTACAGGTAGTGGGTGTGGGTTCCTTTCTACCATTTTTGTCCTATCTATCACAACTTGCTATATTTGAAGGTTGCAAATCCACTCCTGCCATGTTCCTGTTTAAAACCACTCAGTCACCTACAGTGTGAAGCCCTAACTCCGTAGCACGGCATATAAGGATCTCTGCTCTGCAAATGGGACACAGACATGTGTGGCACCAGCATCTTACAGCATAAATGTAAAATAGGGTTTATTAGGCAGGGGTAGCCAGGATAGTTTGTCTAGCTTCAGGGCACTAGAGTTTCCTCCTCTGTTGTTTTACAAAGCAATTAAAAATATGGCTTCCTGATAGTGTACTTTCTGAGATCTGAGTCTTCTGATCCCTCCCTCACTTTTATCTGAAGGTTCTCCCTCCTATGCTCCTATCATCCCTGTCCTGCCCATTATGGATAGGAAACACCCATAAGTTTCTCCTTTGTGTGATGTTTTGTTGGAGAAGTAAGGTTTTTTGTTTTGTTTTGTTTTTGAGACAGGGTCTTGTTCTGTCACTCAGGCTGGAGTGCAGTGGCACCGTCATAGCTCACTGCAGCTTCCACCTCCTGGACTCCATGGATCTCTCTGCCTCAGCCCTCCCAAGCAGCTGCAATTGCAGGTGTAAGCCACCATGCCTGGCCAATTTTTGTATTTTTTTTGTAGACACTGAGTTTTGCTATGTTGCCCAGGCTGGTCTTGAACTCCTCAACTCCAGTGATCCTCCCACCTTGGCCTGACAAAGTGCCGAGATTACATATGTGACCACCATGCCTGGCCACAAGTAAGTTTTAATTGGTTAGCTCTAAAAAGGTTAGGGTCCCGAATGGGTCAGTACCATCTGTCATTAGCGTACCACTGTCCTCTTGCACTCACCCACAAATTGGATCCTGCAGAATCCCTTCCCATTCATTGTTTGGCTGTTCTCAGATTGGGCCTCCATAGTTCCAGTGCATGCCTATTGGCATTTGGGGGGTCTCATGTTCTCGGGGCTATCAGAGCCAAGTTGCTTTCCCTCCCTTCCTCCAGCACAGGTGCATGGGTCTTACACCTGTTGGTGGTTTGGGCCTACATATTTGAGTGTTCCTTAGGGCACCAGGATTTCTACTTCTAATGTAGATGTTTTCCGTGGTTCTTTGGTTTTGATATCCTAGTTGCAGGGTCATTTTTTAAAATGGGAGAATTAAGAGAAGAATAAAAATTGTTCAATTTTTGTCACCACTTTATTTCAAAACTACTGAATAAATAGAAAATCACTTATGACTCTGAATTTGCCCCCGCTTTTGTTTGAAAAAAAAAATCTTGGTCAAGTTTTGCTGTCATGAAGAAGGATGAGTTTGCAGGGATTCCTTCAACAACTAGTCAGCACTGTCACTAAGTTGGCATTTTTCACTTGTCTGGTTCCACTCAAACATTCCTAAGTTGGACCAAACACAGTCCCTGTCCATCCACTGCCCTTTTCCTAGGGGAAACAGATGCCACTATCATTCTCTTAAAAAAAAAATTAGGTGCTTTCATTGTCGTTATTAAAGACAGTGCCTGTATGCTGTCATCAATCATGTAAATAAATTCTAACATCCTTCATCTTTGCATCATTTTTTCAAGACTTAGGGTCTGGGGTAGGAGAGGGTAAGGCAACTTATTGGCTAAGTCTAGGGTTGTTCCTGTTATTTGCTTGCTAAGGAAATAGAGGGAAAAACTAGTATTTCAGTGTCAGTAATGCAGCAGGAATACTATATAACAGATATTCTTCCACAATAGAAAGAGGAGTTAGATATTGGAAAGAGGAAGGGAAAAAACAAGTTTCTACCATAGTCTATCTCTTTAGCTGGCCAAAATTCATATACTCTTCCTTAAATCTTAAAACTTGTCAAAAGAAAAAAGGAAGGAAAGAAGGAAAGGAGGGACAGAGAGAGGGAGAGAGGGAGGGAGGAAGGGAAGGAAATCTCTTAATAAAATACAACTATCTTTCATACAATTGCAAATACACCCACTCTTTCACTGAAGGGAGAAGCCTAAGATCTTGCAGTTCTTGCTCCGGTTTCAGGTGCAGCATTTTTGATTATGCTGTTTTAGTGTTAGGCAAGCCATATTGTAGAAGTTCAACATCACCAATGCACATTACATTAAATCATGACAAAAAAGAGAAAGGAAGAGGAATTTATTATACCACAAGGAAATAAATACAGATGGAGACCATACCCATTTTTTCGATAGTTGGTTATGACACTGTAGTTAATTTTTATGACTTCCCTTCTCTATTACCCATTTCATGTTTCCTTTGACCTTAGGTAATGCCTCAACTCCTTGGGATTCTTTCTCGGATGAGGTGGTGCATATGACCCAAGCCTTCATTTCTGAGAGAACTGAGCCGTTGATCCTGCCTAGAGACATCCATGAACTTTTACCACTGCAAATGATGCCACTAGGAAGTGTCCCAGTAGCGTCCCTGAATTTATTCCTTTCTCTTCCTGGCTCTTCTTTTGCAGCAGCAGCCCTCTATTCCATCTATCACTACAAAATAATTTTTTGCATGTTCTCCCAAGAGTATGAGAAACCCAAAACATCCAGGAGGCCATTACAACTTCCAATTCAGTGGAATAAACTTTGTGTTTCCTCATGGAAACATACCTCCACTGAGAGGTAATATAGGATAGTAGTTAAGACCAGGGACACTGATCTTAAACTGTGTTCAAATTCTGGCTATCCCATTCTCTGAACTCAGTTTCCTGATCTGAAAAACATGGACAATATAGTACTTTACTCATAGAGTTGTTATCATGACTAAATAGATTATTACATGTAAATCATATAGAACAGAGCCTGGCACCTAGTGTTTGCTAAATATTAACCATTATCACCAAGTGCTAAACGAGCAAAGCCCAGTTATAAGAACTATAAACAAACACAGTCAAAAGCTTCACTAGATATGGCTGTGAGCCTTGTACAACCCCTTGCCACTCCACTTCACATCTTTATTTTCAACCTGGGGAGTATATTAGTGGAAGAAATAGCACCATATATTTGTTGCTTATTCAAAGCATACAATTTGCCTTACACAATGTACTCTAATCTCACAAGATTGTCCTACAACTGGCTCTGATGTTTACAAAGAGTTCACATTTATGTTCTATAAGGCCATCTATTTCTGGATGATAGTCACATGATATGACCAATGACTCCATGGATATGGGCTCATTGTTTTAATTCTCTTCTGTAAAGTGAAATATTTGATAAGAAACACGTTGTGAGGACTGTCAAAATGATGTATAACGCATTTATTTAGACCACAGATGATAGGTGACAAAATTATGTTAAGAAGAAAAGAAAATCTTAATCCAGAATATCTTTCTTTTCCAAGAAGTAAATCATTGTCCCTTCAGAATGGAAGGGTTCAATGTGTTCAACCTGTTACCAGGAAGCTAGCAGATTACCTTGAACTATGCACCATATCAGAGGCTAGGGTTGTTGGCTGTGGTTTCTACTGTTGATGAGAAAAAGTCCTTATTCTTAGTCCCCATTCCTATCACCTCTTGGTCACATGGTCCTGCTGTTCCATCTGCAAAACAGCACTACGTATTATCTACTTATTCTGAACATACTCTATATTCTGAAGAATAGAATCAACACCAACTTAGCTTTGTTTATGAAAATATTCAGCAATGTTTTAGTTTTATATTACTGCCATAAGAAAATCATGACAAATTTGGTGTCTTAAACAACACAAATTTATTATCTCACAGTTTTGTAGGTCAGAAGTCTGATATGGGTCTCATCTGAACAAAATCAAAGTGTTGGCAGGGCAGTGTTTCTTCTCAGAGGCTTTGGAGATAATCTGTTTCCTTGCTCTTTCAAGGTATTGATAGAATTCAGCTCCTTGAAGGGTGTGGGACTGAGCTCCCTGCTTCACCTGCTGGTTGTCAGCTGAGGGCTATTCTCAGCATCCAGAGGCCCCTGCATTCCTGAGCTCATAGCCCTCTTTCTGTCTCTTCAAAGCTAGTGCTCATAGGCTGAGGCTTTTTTTTTTTTTTCACTTTAAATCTCTCCTGCTTATTCTTGTGTGGCATCACTCTGACTCTTCTGCCAGCAAACATTCTCCATTTTTAAGGACACATTTGATTAGACTGGGTTTCCACAATAATAAAGGATAACCTTCCCATCTCAAGATTCATAAGTTTAACCATGTTTGCAAAGTTCCTTTTGTCAAGTAACAGTGTATTTCCAGGATGCAGGGATTCAGGCATGGACAGCTATGGAGGGCTCTTCTATTTACCACAAGCAAGACTGCAGTGACTGGAGATGAAGTCTGACTAATGTTCACCTGATTCTCTACAATAGGAAAATTTTGATGATTTTTCACATGGGACACAATATTATCATAGCAATCCTGACATTTTGCTCCTTCCAACTCCCTAACCATTTGACTAAATCATTAGCAATCACCTAAATCTTTGACTCTGTGCATCATTCTTTCCAGGCAAAGTGGAAAAAGAGAGATGCTGGTCAAAGGACAGTTAAGATATCTCTAAGCCATAAAAGTGTACATTTGTCCCATCAAGTAAAAGAAAATTGCTTCTGGTGTCCTCTGTTTGTTGGAAATTGAGGCGGGGAAAAGCATTTGTCAGATTAACAACTCTATGCTCAATATTAAGGGCTGTACTGATTTGTTCTAATAAGGAGACTAGAAAGGAAAAGCACCTGCAGTTAGAGTCATACATCATTAAACTCACAACAATCCACTGCCATTTTTCAAGGTATATCTATCCATGGCAGTGGCTAAAACACAGAAAAAATGGGCCAGTGAATTGGAATCATGACTCCTGTTTTTTTCTAAGTATTTGATGACAACACTGATTTCCATGATTCTCATAAGGATATGGTTTTTATTTTGATTTATTTTGGTAGGAAACAGAAAGTGTGGAGACTCCCTCTTGTCTCTTTTCACCTCCCTCCCTTGCATTTTTTTCCTCCCTCCATTGGTAAAGGAGACTGGGAGACAATTTTTCCCAGGTATATTTATTCCATTAATTAAGACATGGATTTTGAGTCCCATTGTTCTACCATCATTAAATGACATAGGTGAAAACTCCATTTGTCACCTGTCTAAAACAAATTCTAACAAATCTAACAAATTCATTCTGATTGTTAGATCACTGTGGTGTTCTGGGTACCTAGGCAGTAGCACCAGTTTAGACCTGATGTTCAACATACTTACAAGGTTTAGATAATTACCTTTCTCAGAGGGTAAATATCCACAGGGACCTTTGGAGAAGAACAGGAGGAAGATTCTGAGTATGCACTTGGATATTTGTGCAGGATCTTTCCTCAAGTGTACCTGATCTTCCCTTCATTCAGGGGTTTCTGTGTCTTTGAACTTGAGTCTGAACATTGAGTGAGGGGCCGCAGTCACTATAACGTGGTGGCAGTTGAAGTCAGTTCTCTGCTTACGCACTTACATACATTCAGTAGGGCCTTAGGGATGGTAGAAAAAGTAATATTCACAAGTGGTCCTCCTGGTCCATCCATTTCCCTGCCCCCTTAGAGTTAAGTAGTGCCATGTGACCAGTTCTGCTCAATTGGCTGTGAGCAGAAGTAACATGTGTTGCTTCTGGACTGAAGCCTGGAAGAGCAAGTATGAATTCCCCATGTGGTCTCTTTCCTTTCCATGGAAACTGTGAATTAGATCACAAGACTAAAGCAGACTAAGTCACTGCATGATCAAAAGCCCTAGAGAGTCACTCAGACCAGTGGCCAACTTTGTGTAAATGAGAAATAAACTTTTAAGTGCTAAGTCACTGAGAGTTTTGGGGCATTATATTAACACAATATAAACCAGTCTATCCAGACTAATTCAGCGGGGAACCCATCCTTACAGTCAAAGGACCCTGTGAGCAATCAAGCACCACCAATGATCTAGTGGCTTAGACCATTGTATTTGCTATGTTTATACTTTTTTCTCTTATAGCAGTCAAGCTCATTCTGTCTTTGCCAGTCAAGTTTCTCTGCTTGTGTTTTTTTCCATCCTGGGATATATGCATAACATTGAAATCAGGGAGCTCATTTTAGCTGCAGCAACTTCTATCAACTCCTCTGTACTACATAGAACAGCCACCAAAGTGTTTCTCAAAGATGCTCCTACTTCACTTACCAGTATCTGTCTTAAGGTTTAAATTAAAAGAGATTTTTCTGGGCAGTCCCTGGTGACCTAGGGAGTATGGGAATGCATGTGATTCTCCCCAAATTAAAAATCCTTCATCTACATTATGCCAAAACTTTTCTTGGTATCTCAGTTTTGTTTAGAGGTCAGCACTGAACACAGTTGTCCATTGATTAGTTACACAAACTATCATATCTCATACCAACAGGCACACAAAAATGAGGATCTGTGGCAAGTTCATCCATATTGATAAATTCAGTCCAATCTAAAGTTACTTTTCTTCCAATTTTGTGAGGACCCTCTAAATTCATTCACACACACATTCCAAAGACTTCTGCAGATATAAATTAATAAGTTCTGCAATTCTTTTGGGATTAACGTCCTCTATTTCTTGATTTGATTTATTACTTTTTCCTTGGAGTAGGATGGAATCTAATCTAATTACAGGTTTGGAGAAAAGAAGGGATTGAAATAGTGTAGAGAGTGTAGATCAAAAGGGAAACTGGCTTAATGTTGTAGGGTAACTCCTTCAGACATGGGCAAGGGAAGGTCAGTGAAATGTAAGGGTTCTAGATACCAAGATATCTCCAGATGTTGCCATTTATATCTAATCCAATGTTTCAGTGTTCTCTTATTTCCCGAACAGGGGCCCAACTGAAAAGACATCACAAGTTGATTTATTCAACAGATGTTGTAATTTGACAATCTGCAGGGAAAAAAAAAACCTCTGGTAAATTTGGTTTTCAGTTATCTCAATCCTAAAGACATGACTGAAAAGATTCTTTCATACTGTCCATAGAAAATCTGAGAATTTAAAAATTTTAGTGAATCATTTCTTAAAAATGTTATTCAATGCTAAATAGCTTCCTTACCCTGTAGACCTTGAATTGGCAGAAAAACAATCTCCCAAGCTTTGCCCTTAATGGGTACTTTATTCCAAATGACCGAAAGTAATAATTTGATTAACTGTGTGCTACCAAACATGTGCCACTATGTGCCATGAACTAGAATTCTATCTTGGAATAATAACAGAACATTCATTGCGTGTTGCCTTCCCTAAGCTAGACAACCATCTCAGATTTCTCATATTTTATTGGAGCTCTGTTAAACACAATGTGCTTATTAAATGCCAGGCACTGTTCTGAGCAATTTTAATACATATACTCTTTAAGCATTAAAACAATCCAATGAGAATGGCACTATTTTATCCACACTTACAGTTGAGGAATTGATACATACAGAAGCTAGTTCACACAGCTGTAAGTGGCAAAGCTGGAGATTCAAATCCAGGCAGCCTGTCTCCTGAGCCCATGTTTATAACCAGTGTGCTATGCTGCCTCTGAATTTGAAAGTAAATTTCAGTCAGTTGGAATGTTTTTGTCTGTAAGTAACAGAAACTATTTTTTTTTGTTACCTAAACAAAATGATGTTTTATTACAAGGCTGTCAGAATTGACAGAAGCAGGCTACAAGACCAGTCTTGGCTAACAAACAGGAACTAAAGTCCCTACAGTGGGCCAAGGAGAAAGAAATACATTCAACATTTTGCAGGGAGACAGTCTGGCCAGGACATTGCTCTCATCACAACTGCTGCCATCACTGCTAACTTCATGATGGAATTCTGACCACTTCATCAAATGTCAAAGTCCAGGGTAGGAGCCTCTGATTTGCTGATCCTATTTACCTGCCTGTGCTGTGGCTGCCAAGACACAGAGAAAAAGAAGGTTGGGCGTTTGGGGCTTCCTTAGTGGCAGGGAGGTGAAGCCAGCTTCACAATGAGATGAAATACATGAGGGAATCTCACAAAATAACAAGTTGCTTGACAGACATCAAAATGATAACTATCCACTACAACTTGTAAGGATCTAAAAGAATTGTGACCCTACAATCTCATTTGTGCCCAAATATGCAAGAAGCAAATAACGTATATTGCTCAGTCTTTCCACCCTCCACATCTCTCCCAGCTCCACTGCATAGCTGGATTTACTTTAGTAAAGAGAGGTAAACCAGCTACCCCCACCTCATCCCTGACATACTGCAGGCTTGATGTAAATTCTAGGTTCTATCCATTTGTTGAGGCTGTTTTTCCAATAACTTTGCAAATCCAGGACACACCCTAGACTATTTTAAGCTTAGAGCTATTTCTCAGAACTCTTTGTGGTATTGGTTACCCACAGTCCGAGCAGTCCTAACCCAGTCCCAAAACCACTGAACTCAGCCCATCTGGCTTTTAGATAAAATCTGATGCTTTAGCACTAGTAACTGCCTCTTAAGAAGCTCTGGGCTGTCCAACATGTCAAAACAGGCCAACTGCCCAGATTTCTTGCACTCTCTTCCCCTCACCCCAATCAACCTGGAAGTACTATATAAGGAAACATCAAGCCATAGAATCAAATTAGGCTGAAGGCAGATAAAATAGAAAATTAACTGAGAAGGTTCTGCTCATGTTTTTTTCCCATGATTGCCTTGAACAACTCTTGTCAAACATCTGTGGCCACTCACAGCTCTGGTCCATTTGTCCTTAGAAGTAAAATCAGGGGAGCACAGAAACTGTGCCTGTGAGGAAGTGATATAAACAAATGTGTGAGGCGAGTGTGATAACTGCTACACTACAGAAATGATAGAACTTTGGGCATTTGCTTTCTCATCCTTTTTATTCTTGTATCTTCCGAATGTTGCCTATGTCTGTGAGCAATAGGCAAAGCCCTGCACTGATCAGCTCTTTGTGCAGTGAGAAGTTATCGACTGTGTTTTCTAATGCCCAGGCTCTTTATCTGGAGGGTCCATCCACCACTCTATCTCATGAATTCAATGGGATTATCACAGAATGGGGTCTGACCTTCCCATGAAATACAGACTGACAGAGCAACTGAAATACCCATAGGGTCTAAAGACCTCCTGGTGAGAGTATTTCAACTTGAATATAAAACAGAGTAAATCATGAGTAGGGAGAAAGAAAAGGCAGCTTCACTTAAGAGAACATCCCCGCCATCTCCAGAGCAGGGCCCTCCTTATCCAGAAAGACCCCCATTTCCAGCACACCTGCTTGCCTACCCTTTACCAAAATGCCCCACAAGGAACTCTGCCAATCAACATCTACAGTCTTTGTAGTGCCCAACTGCAGATATGAGGATGAGGCTGATGAAACCTACACCAGCTTACTAAACCAATGGACACAGTTCCTCATTTATAAATATTAATAGACAATCACTAGATACATGAGTAAAACTTTTGATAGGAAATGAAGGTGCAAGGTGAACAAGCAGAACTGACCATAGATGAAATGGAGATGATAAAGGAAGCAGAATAGAACTTTATACACATTTGAGAGGCCACTGCAAACATAAAAAGATGCAATCAAAAAACAGAGAGGAGACTAAAAAATTATATTTTTATTGTTAACTTTAAAAAATCAACTAACCAACTAATAATAAAATGAACATAGCTGAAGACAAAATTGGGTACCTGAAAAGTGAAAATCAAGAAAACCAATTATAATGTAGAAGAGCAAAAAGTGAAGCATGAAAAATCTGATCGAAAAGTCTAAGAGATGTGGTGAATAGGGATCTAAGGTCTGAATAAGAGAATTTCCAGAAGGCACAGAGCAAATGGGGGAGAAAGCATAATCAAAGAATAATGGAAGAATAGTTTCCAGAGCTGAAGAAAGACATACACTGCAGCCGGACACAGTGGCTCACACCTGTAATCCCAGCACTTTGGGAAGTCAAGGTGGGCAGATCAGGAGTTCAAGACCAGTCTAGGCAACTTGGTGAAACCCTGTCTCTACAAAAGAATAAAAAATTAGCCAGGCATGGTGGCACATGCCTGTGATCCCAGCTATTTGGGAGGTTAAGGCTGGAGAACTGCTTGAACCTGGGAGGCAGAGGTTGCAGTGAGCCAAGATGGTGCCACTGCACTCCAGCCTGGGCAACAGAGTGAGACTCTGTCTCAAAAAAATAATAATAATAAATAAATAAAAGAAAAAAAGAAAGTCATACATTACAACAATGTTTATATTTCCAAGTTTTCTTCTTTTTTGCCTTTTCATTGTGCTTTCCTGATACACTTATTCTTATTTTCTGTTCCCTTAATTATCTCTGTTTCTTCTGAGTTCAGTTCTGTTTACTCCCTAAATGTGAACAGAAAAGATTTTAAAAGGTCCACACCTGGATTTATAGTTCCAGTCTTGATGAAGTAGCTGGTATTTGGTTTGCACTCCTTTCATAAACAACTATAAAAATGGACAAAAATATATAAAACCTTTTGTTTGTAGGTATTGGAGAAAAAAGCAGAGCAGAGATACAATCCAGGGAAGAGGAAATGCATGTGAGGAGAACCCTGTATTTATACTCACTTTCTCCCTGAAGATGTTTTCCAAACTGAGGTACAGAAGCCCAAGCAGTAGTCTATTAGGAAGAAGGTAGTTTATTAGGTAGAAGCTACCTGAATAGGCTACCTATTAAAAGGTGGTCTATCATTCCTAAATTTCCTCTTTTAGAAGGTAGGTTATTCAAGAAGAAAAGACGTGGATCAGAGTTTAGGACTGCCAGGAGAGCTGGCAATTAAATTATTGGGTCACAGGTAAGGAGAGAGCTGCAGAGGTGTCCCAATAATCTTTTAAAAATTCACTTTGTTTCTTGGGCAATCTCTAAATTATTCATGCATGGGGAGAGACTCTGAAAGAAAAGCTGCTGGCAGGTTAGATGGTGGACACTGAAATTCTGACATAATAAGAATGGAGGTATCTTAGCTAACCCCATAGACTTTCAGTCAAGGCCTAAAAAAGACTATGTCCTGGTAATCAGGATTTTTTTTTTTTAACTTTCATATCAATTTTGTTGAGGTATAATTTACTTGCAAAAAGAAATGTTAGCAACTTATTTTTAATTGTAGAGATTTATGAGTTTTAACGAATGTTTACATCCATATGATCACCACTCTAAGAGAGAAGTAGATAATTTCTACTGTTCCCAAATTTCCATTTTTGTAGGACTCTTTGTAGACAATGACCCCTACTGTTTCTCTGGCCCTAGGAAACCACTAATCTGCTTTTCCTCAGTAGATAAGTTTTGCCTGTTACGTTGTATCCTTTTGTCTGGCTTCTTTTGCTCAGCATAATGTTTTTGAGATCCTCTGTTATTGGGTATATCAGAAGTTTGTTTCTTTTTATTGCTGAGTAGTATTTCATTGTATAAATATGCTACAATAATTCACCATAGGTTGCTTTAAGTTTTTGCTATTATGAATAAAGTATGTATAAACATTCATGAACAAGCCTTTTGTGGGTATGTTTTCATTTATTTTAGATAAATACTTAGCAGTGGAATTTCTTGGTGATGGGGTAGGCATATATTTAACTAAACAAGAAACTACCAGACTATTGAAGTGGTTGTACCATTTTACACTCCCACTAGAAATAGTGAGAATTCGAATTGTTCCACATCCTTGCAACTCTTAGTATTGTCATACTTTTACATTTGAGATGCTCTAATGGATGTATAATATTATCTTATTAACTTTTTAATTTGCATTTTTCTGATGACTAATTATATTGAATATCTTTTCAAGCATTACTGACCATTGTATTTCTTCCTTTATGAAGGTCTGTTTGAACATTTTGCCCATGTTTTAAAATTGAGCCATTTTGTTCTTATTATCATGTTATGAGTTTTTTAATATACTCTGGATACAAGCCTCTTCACAGATATTTATTGTGAATTGCAGTATTGCAAATATCATCTCCCAATCTGTGGCTTATCTTTTTCTTAATAGAGTCTTCTGTAGAACAGTTTTAAATTTTGATGGAGTCATATTTATATATATTTTTCTTTTATAATTTGTGCTTTTATAATCTATTTTAAGTAAATATTTATGTTGTGAGATAAGAGCTGAGATTTATTTTTATCCAAACAGATATCCAGTTGTTCCAGCATCATTTGTTGAAAAATTTTAATTTCCTCATTGTATTATCATGTTGGAAATCAATTCAATATATATATTTCAGTGAGTCTTTTCAGATATTTTATTTTTTATATGTTAAAGTTCAGTTTGGTTCTATTTTATAGTTTCAATTAATTTCCTAACTATGATTGTTTCCTTTAAATTCCTAAGGGTTATTTTTTAAATTATTTGCTAGTTCCATCATTTTTATTATTTTTGATTCTGTCAACTGATTTCTCTGTTGACTGTGGGTTGCATTATCCTGCTTCTTGGTATTAAATTTCTCTTAATTATGGGATGCATTATTTCCTTCTTGGTATTTAATTTTGATTGGATGTTAGACATTGTGATTGTTATGCTGTTGAATATCTGGACTTTGTTATTGTCTTAAGGAGTATCAATCAATTTTTCTTGGGGGTGGGGGCAGCTAAATTAGTTGTTGATCAGCTTGATCCTTTTGAGGTTTTTTAAAGAGATTTATATGTACAAGCTTTAATCTGTGGTTATCTTTAGTCTACCTATTAGCAAAACATGACTCTTTGGGGGACTCTACTTAATATTCTGGGTGTTTAAAAAGGTCTCCCCACTCTTACTGGTGATAATTTGAATGTCTTCAATCCCTGTAGGCTTTCTGGAAGTTTTTTAGCTTTCAGAAACCTAGAACTCATAATTCCCCAGCCTCACAGAATTTCGTTTAATGTACATACAGTTAGTGTTCAGCTAAGAAAGAATACCCCTCTGCAGATTTTTGAAGCTCTCCTTCTTCATAGCTCTCTCCTCTCCAGTACTGTGCCCTGGACATTCCTGCCATGTTGGCTTCCCAAAAATCCTATCTATGTCTTCTTGAATCAGTAAAGCCACCTTTATTTACTTGCGTGTTTTTTAGTTTGTTTGTTTTTTGTTTGTTTGTTTGTTTTGCAAAAGTCTGGAAGTCATCTCCTGGCACAAGAGTGGTTTTAAAAGGGGGTAAGAGACATGTGGAATATAATCTAAAGATGTGTAATACATATGTATTTGATATGCCAGAAGTGAGGACATAATGGAATAGAAGCAATATTTAAAGAAATAACAAGTGATAATTTTCCAAATCTGATGAGAGACATCAACCTCTATAAATTCAACAAATCAAGCAGAAGAAAAATATTAAAAATACCTACATCTAGGTGCATAATAGTAAAAATGCTAAAAGTCAAAGGCAAGCAGAATATTTTAAAACATTTAGAGACAAAAGACATATTACCTACAAAGGAGCAACAATAAGACTGCTGATTTTTTAAATATATACTATAAAAGTCAGAAGATATTGAAATGACTTATTTGAAATGCTAAAACCGATAAATAGAACAGCCAACTTAGAATCATATACCCCATCCCAAATATTCTTTAAAAATGTGAACAAAATAAAGATGTTTCAATTTAAAATATTGAAAGAATTCATTGTCAGCAGACCTATACTATAATAAATACTGAATGAAAATAAAAGGCTGAAGAAAGTGATCAGGTGGAAGCCCAAAACATTAGAAAGCAATAAAAAACAATATAAAGAAAATAATGAATAAATAAAAAGATTGACTTTTAGAAACAACAGTAATAAGGCTGTCAAATTTAAAACATATATAGGCCAGGCACAGTGGCTCATGCCTGTAATCCCAGCACTTTGGGAGGCTGAGGCGGGGTGATCACAAGGTCAGTAGTTCAAGACCAGCCTGACCAATATGGTGAAACCCCATCTCTAGTAAAAATACAAAAATTAGCCGGGCATGGTGGCGGGTGCCTGTAATCTCAGCTACTCAGGAGGCTGAGGCAGGAGAATCGCTTGAACCCGGGAGGTGGAGGTTGCTGTGAGCCAAGATTGCACCATTGCACTCCAGTCTGGGTGACAGAGCAAGACTCCATTTCAAAAAAATATGTGTGTATATATATATATATATAAAGGTAAACTACAGGATATTAATAGCATAAAGGGAGTGAGATGGAATCCATGGAGTTAAATGGTTGTAGGTTTATTGCAATATTTGAAAAGTGGTATAAGTATTAATTTAAATATACCATAATAAATGAAAGATGAATATTGCAATCTTTGGTATTTAAAATTATATGAAATATTTTTTTAAATCTCCATATAAATGAAAAATAGAAGATACAACTAAGAAAGGCAAAAAAGGAGAATAATTGAAATATAAACTTGATTAATTTAAAAGGGAGCAAACTTAAAGTTGACTAGGTCAGTAATTATACTAAATATAAAACCTTTAAATAGTTATACTATAAATGCAAATCATTAAATAGTGTAATTAAAAGACAAAGTTGTCATCATAGATAAATAAACCGCATATGTATGCTGTTTATAAATGATATTTTTCATTAAAGGCCACTAAATATTGAAAATAAGAAGAAAAGAATATTGAAAATAAGAAGAAAAGAATATTCAAAATAAATACTCAAAGAAAGCTAGTATAACTATATTAATATGGCAAAGTAGACTTTAAGATAAGAGGAATTGTAAGATATAAAGAGGTACATTTTATAATGACAAAAGGTTAATGTAATAAAATATTGCTTACTTTGTGTGCACTCAAGAATATAGTTTCAAAAAATATAAAGACAAAATTGAGAGGTAGATGAATAGACAGCCAGGGTTGGAGATTTTAACACATCTTTCTTAGTAACCCATTTAAAAAGTAAACAGAAAATTAGTAAGGATATAGAAGATTTTGTTAACACGATTTGCCAACATGGCCTAATTGACAATATTGACACTATTTTTTGCAACTGGAGAATATATTTTAAAAAAATATAGACATGGAAAATTTAATAACATAAGTTACATTCTGAGTCAAATGCAAATCTCAAAAAATTCCAAAAGGTTGCTATCATACAATGTATATCCTCTAACCACAGTAGAAATCAATAACAAAAAGATAACTATAAAAATTCCAAATGCTCGAAAATGTTTAGGAGTAAAACACACACTCTTAAGAAACTCTCTTGGCTCAAAGAAGAATCACAAGGGAAATTAGATAATAATTTGAGCTGAATGGTAATAAATACATGACACATCAAATTTGTGGAATGCAGCTAAAGCAGTGCTTCAAGGAACAGTCATAGCTTTGAATGCATTTATTAGAAAAGCAGAATACTTAAATCTCATTTATGCCTAGTGTTTCATTATTAGAACACGAAGCATGTGAGAGTTATTTATATCCTACTGCTCAAGGTCATTGCCAAGGTCTGATTGCAAAAATTCAAAAAATTGCAACCTCAGGCATAAATGGGTTAAAAAGCAATTATGTAAGTTTTCAATTCAATAATCAGAAAAAGAACATAAAATTAAACCTCAGGAAAATAAAAGAAAGAAAATTTATTTAAGAATAAGAATCAATGAAGGAATACAGATATAAAAAGAGAAAATCAATAAAGCTAAAAAGTTGGCTGTTAAAAAATTAATGAAGTTAATAAACCAACAGTAAATATTAACATGACAAAAAAGAAAGAAAACACAAATTACTATTATCAGAAATGAAAAAGGGAATGATATTATATTCCTAGAAATGTTAAAGAAGGTAATGAGGGGATATTGAAGATATTATTATGACAATATCATTTTCAATTTAAATAAAATGGATAAATTTCTTGAAAAATACAACTTATCAAAATACAACTAAGAAGAAATGAAACTCTTTATATTTCCATACTTATTAAAGTAATGAAATTAGTAACTGTGAGAATTTACACAAAGAAACTTTCAGGCCCACATGACTTCACTAGTGAATTTTATAATATTTAAGAAAGAAATACCAATCTCACACAAGCTTTCCAGAGAATACAAAAAGAGGGACCACTTCCCAAGTCATTTACTTTTGTCCAAAAATCTGACAAAAAATTGCGAGAAAGAAAAATTTATTTCTAATGTATACAGAAACAACATCCAAGAAACTGCAAATAAACCCATTAATATGTAAAATGATAATATATCCTGATTAAGTATAATTTATTCCAGGAATATAAAGGTGATTTAACGTTTGAAATTAATCAGTCTACATTACCTTATTTTAGAAAAAAAAATTATGATAATCTTGATAGTTGCAGAAAAATATATATATATTTTTTATTATTATACTTTAAGTTTTAGGGTACATGTGCACAATGTGCAGGTTAGTTACATATGTATACATGTGCCATGCTCTTGTGTTGCACCCATTAACTCGTCATTTAGCATTAGGTATATCTCCTAATGCTATCCCTCCCCCTTCCCCCCACCCTACAACAGTCCCCAGAGTGTGATGTTCCCCTTCCTGTGTCCATGTGTTCTCATTGTTCAATTCCCACCTATGAGTGAGAACATGCGGTGTTTTGTTTTTTGGCCTTGTGATAGTTTGCTGAGAATGATGATTTCCAATTTCATCCATGTCCCTACAAAGGACATGAACTCATCATTTTTTATAGCTGCATAGTATTCCATAGTGTATATGTGCCACATTTTCTTAATCCAGTCTATCATTGTTGGACATTTGGGTTGGTTCCAAGTCTTTGCTATTGTGAATAGTGCCGCAATAAACATACGTGTGCATGTGTCTTTATAGCAGCATGATTTATAGTCCTTTGGGTATATACCCAGTAATGGGATGGCTGGGTCAAATGGTATTTCTACTTCTAGATCCCTGAGGAATCGCCACACTGACTTCCACAAGGGTTGAACTAGTTTACAGTCCCACCAACAGTGTAAAAGTGTTCCTATTTCTCCACATCCTCTCCAGCACCTGTTGTTTCCTGACTTTTTAATGATTGCCACTCTAACTGGTGTGAGATGGTATCTCATTGTGGTTTTGATTTGCATTTCTCTGATGGCCAGTGATGGTGAGCATTTTTTTGTTGTGTTTTTTGGCTGCATAAATGTCTTCTTTTGAGAAGTGTCTGTTCATGTCCTTCGCCCACTTTTTGATGGGGTTGTTTGTTTTTTTCTTGTAAATTTGTTTGAGTTCATTGTAGATTCTGGATATTAGCCATTTGTCAGATGAGTAGGTTGCGAAAATTTTCTCCCATTTTGTAGGTTGCCTGTTCACTCTGATGGTAGTTTCTTTTGCTGTGCAAAAGCTCTTTAGTTTAATTAGATCCCATTTGTCAGTTTTGGCTTTTGTTGCCATTGCTTTTGGTGTTTTAGACATGAAGTCCTTGCCCATGCCTATGTCCTGAATGGTAATGCCTAGGTTTTCTTCTAGGGTTTTTATGGTTTTAGGACTAACTTTTAAGTCTTTAATCCATCTTGAATTAATTTTTGTATAAGGTGTAAGGAAGAGATCCAGTTTCAGCTTTCCACATATGTCTAGCCAATTTTCCCAGCACCATTTATTAAATAGGGAATCCTTTCCCCATTGCTTGTTTTTGTCAGGTTTGTCAAAGATCAGATAGTTGTAGATATGTGGTGTTATTTCTGAGGCTATTTGACAGAATTCAATATCCATTCATGATAATAATTTCTAAAAAACCTCTCAATAAACTAGAAATAGAAGAGTGCTTCCTTAAACTATTAAAGAGTGCTTACAAGAACTCTACAGTTATCATCATACTTAAATGATAAAATATTGAATGCTTTTCCCTGAGATAGGAAATAAGACAAGTATATTTAAGTTACCACTTTTATTTAACAGTGTAGTGGAGATCCTTTTTATTTCAATAAGGTGTGAAAGCAAGTAATATTGGAAAATAAGAAATACAATTGTCATTATTCAGTAATGACATGATTGGTAGAAAATTCCCAAGAATCTATTTTTAAAAATATATTAAATGTATTAGGTATAACACTTGAATTAAGCAAGTTTGCTAGATACAAGTTACATATACAAAACTCAATTAAATTTTCATACATTTGCAAAAATAGCAGAAAATTAAAAGAAAAACAATTTACAGTAATACCAGAAAAATAGCAAATACCTTGAAATTAATCCAGTGAAAGCTACACAAGATCTCTAAACTTAAAATTACAAAGAGAAATTTAAGTGGGTCTACATAAATGAAAGTACATACCATGTTCATGGACTGGAAGACTCAATATTATTGACATCAGATCTGTCTAAACTGAGGTATAGATTCACTACAAATCCTCACTTTAATTTTTGTTTTTGGTAGAAATCAGCCAACCTATTTAAAATTTATGTGGCTATGCAAATGACCTAACATATCCAATGTAATATTGAAAAAAGAGCAAGTTAAAGAACTTACACCACTAGATATTCATGCTTATTATAGATCTACAGTAATTAATGTCATATTTGAATATGGGTAAATAATAGACTAATGGTATAGAAGCCAGAGTCTAGAAACAGTCCTGTATAAGCCATATATATGGTCATTTGTTTTTTAACAAAGACTGTTGCAATTCACAAAGAAAAGAGGATGGTGTTTTCAATAAATGGTGCTGAGTCAATTGCATATCTACATGGAAAAAAATAAACCTTGATCTCTAATTCACAATGTACATAAAAATTAATTTGTGATGAATTATAGACATAAATGTAAAAATAAAACAATCATAATATGGGGGAAGAAACTGAAGATATTCATGTCCTAGGTCATGACTTCTTAAACAGGTCTCTGGGTCAAAGAGTTCTTGAATAGGACACAAAAATATTAAATGTAAAAAGAGAAGATTAGTATGTTAGGGTTCATTACAATTAAGAACTTTTCTTTGCCAAAAGACAACATCAAAAAAGTGAAGTGATTTGGTAGGCCGAGGTGGGTAGATCATCTGAGGTCAGGAGTTTGAGACCAGCCTGACCAACATAGTGAAACCCCATCTCTACTAAAAATACAAAAATTAGCCAGGCATGGTGGTACATGCCTATAATCCCAGCTACTTGGGAGACTGAGACAGGAGAATCACTTGAACCCAGGAGGCAGAGGCTGCAGTGAGCCGAGATCATCCCATTGCACTCCAGCCTGGGAGACAGAGCAAGACTCTGTCAAAAAAAAAAAAAAAAAAAAAAGGAAAGGAAAGAGGCAAGCCACAAGCTGTAAGAAAAAGTTTGGAATACAACACCCAGCAAAAAACTAATATTCTGAATATATTAGGAACCCCAACAAATCAATTAGAAATAGACAATCTAAATTTCATAAGTGGGCAGAAGACATAAACCTCAAGCATTTCACAAAAAGATACACAAATGGTGAATAAGCACATGACAAAGGATTGAGCATCATTAGTTATCAAAAACTGCAAACCAAACCACAAAAGTTATCACTATATATCCATCAGAATGGCTAAAATTAAAAAGAATATAACATTGCCAAGCATTAGCAAGGATGTAGAGTGTGTGAAATTATCTTATATTGTTGGCGGGTGAATAAGCACTATGGAAATATTTGGCAATACTTATCCTTTGTTTACCCTGTGATCTAGCAATTGCATCTCTAGGTCTACAGCCAACAAAAGTGAGTGCTTATGTTCACCAACACGTATGTATAAAAATGTTCACTGCAGTTTTACTCCTATTCCCAAACTGGAAGTAACCTAAACACCCAACAATAGGTGACTGGGTAAATAAACTGTGGTACATCTGTGCAATGGAATATTACGTAGCAATGGACAAAAAGCTTACACACACAACACAGAAAAATCTTACTGACATAATGTTAAGTTAAAGCAGTAAGGCACAAAAGACTATGTACTTTTGATTACAGTTACAAATAGTCAAAAATAATATATGTTGGTACAGGTCAAAAGAGTGGTCTTGCCTAGAGGTAAAATGACAGAAGGAAAGTTAAGGAAGCTTTCTACAGTACTAGACATTTTCTACATTCTGATCTGGGTTGTGATTAAATGGGTTGGATTGTTGTGTAAGGCAAAAGAATCTTAAGGCACCCTTAAGATTTGAACATTTTACCACATGTAAGGCATACTTCTTGTTTTAAAAGGGATGGAGGAAGGGAAGAAGCATACCTCAACATCTGATGACATTTTAGTTGTGGCTAAGTGAAAAAACAAAAATTCCAGAACTATACAGAGAAAAGATAAGAGTACCTTAAAAAGAATTAGAAAGAGATTGGTATCAGCCTTCTTATTAGCAGCTCTGGATGTTAAAATGCACTGGAGGCGTCTCTGAGGAGGAACTATCTGAATGTTTCAGAATATCTGAAATTCTAAGGGGAAACATTTTGAACCTAGAATTCTATAGCCAGGCAAACTCATTCAATTGTTAGGACAGAATACAGCCTTTTAGACAGGCAAGATCATGCATGCTTAATAAAAATAATAGTCGACAGGCCAATCAGCAAAATAAAAAATAACCAGGAAAGAGGACATCCTCTTGATGTCTTTCATCACATGATGAAAGAAAGGATGGGATTATTCTTAGAAGTGGAATAATTATGACTCAAAGAAGTGAAGTGGAAAGAAAGTAGCACAGGATGTCTTAGACTTTCATACTTGGTTATATTACCTGTTCTATGGTCCTGATCACCCAACCTGGTTCCACTAAAATATTATTTCCATAACCATAATATTGTAAATATGACCTACTGATTTCAATTTTAGAACCAACCTGTTTAATAAAAGAACACATGAAAAAGCAAAAACAACTGAAGTATGGTTACAGAGTGGAATGTAACTGTTGCTTACTTTGATAACATTAAAATAATAATATAATTAACAAAACTTGGGAAGTGTAGGGAGAAGAAAAAGTAGAAGGAGTAAGGAGTGAGGAGTATTTTTCCCATCTTTCACAACATGGAGTCAATAAATGGTGTCTAATAAATCAAGAATGAGATGTCTAAAAACATTATCTAGTCAGAAAAGCAGCCAGTAGAAAGCATAAAAATATGTAACAATAAAAGTTGAGGGGTGAAGTGGGGGAAAGGAGGTGGGTAGTTTAAGAGTGACAAAATCCTAATCATTCATATTGGAGGGTGGTTAGTAGATCCTAGTAAGTGTGATAATTCAAAATAAAAAGTATATGCACATTTATGCATCCCTTAACAAATGCATTAGTAGGTAATTTTGTCATTTTGTGAACATCCTAGAAGTGTACTAACACAAACCTCTAGATAGTATAGCCTGCTACACTCCTAGGCTGTATGGGATAGCCTATTGCTTCTAGGCTACAAACCCATACAGCACGTTACTGTACTGAATGCTGTAGGCAATTATAACACAATGATAAGTATTTATGATTGAAACATATCTGCACATAGAGAAAGTACAGTAGGCCAAGCATTATGGCTCACACCTGTTAATCCCAGCACTTTGGGAGGCCAATGTGGGAGGATAGCTTAAGTTCGAGACCAGCCTGGGCAACATGGCAAAAACCCATCTCTATTAAAAAAAACAACAAAGCAAAACAAAAATAAAGACTACAGTGAAAACACGGTATTATAATTTTATGGGACCACGGTTGTATATACAATCATTGACAGAAACATTGTTATGCAATACAAGACTATATTATTTACTGATACAGTAGTAAGTAGGGAAGAAATAATTGTTAAGACAGTATTTCCTGAAAAGTTCTAAGAGAGACTATGGCAGCCCCAGAGAATGGCAGAGAGGAGAGCAGGTGAGAGCTAGTGGTGAAAGTTTCAGAACAGGGGCTTCATACACGGAACACAGGATGTTATGGCAAACACCTCAGATAGGATTGGAGGATCTGTGAGAAGAGAGAACAGGTGCTGTCTGCCCAGGGCAGCCTTCGAGGTGGCAGAGGAAATTTTCCTAAGCCAGCATGATGGGTTAGGCAGCAGCGGGGTAGAAATGGCAGCAGGCTGACTCCCGCCTGACAGAGGGCCCGAGGCGGCACCCAGCATGGAAGAGCACAGGAGTCTGAATGTCGATGAAGGGGAACCATGACAGAGTGAGGACATCTGGACAGCTGTCAGTGGGTGAGATGTTGATGAACACGCAGAGACATAAGGTTCATTTCGAAGGGTGTAGAATCAAGGTGGGCCACAGACCAGAGGCTCTGTGCCCACCATGATGCCACAGGAACCCCAGAATGTATATGCCACTCTGGAGAGAAGGGTTCCAAAGAAAGAAATTCCAGCTGACTGAGTTTGAGTCTAAAGTGACTGAGCAAACCCTGAGGTGAGTGAGTTTTTTAGGAACTGACACAATTATGTTTTCTGTCTCCAGACAGAATGGTGAACTGAAATACAGATTAATTTGAGTTATGGAAAAAGAGGGTCAATATTTTTTGCATAATCCTGTACATGACTGCGAAATTCATGCCCCATAATTAAAAATAATAAGCTGTGATTCATTGACTCAATGGAATACTATACAGTAGTTAAAAGAGTGAAATATATCTATGGGCACTGTTATACAAAATTGTTGACATTACTTTTTTATTGATACAAATATTTGTACATAGTTATCAGGTGCATGCTGTATTTTGTTACATGCACACAAAATGTAAAGATCAATTCAGGATATTTAAGTTGTCCATCATCTTGAGTATTTACCATTACTATGTGTTGGGAACACTTAAAGTCCTCTCTTCTAGCTATTTTGAAATACACAATACATTTTTGTTAACGATAGTCACTCTACTCTGCCATCAAACATTAGAACTTATTCCTTCTATCTAACTGTATTTTTGTACCAATTAACCAACCTCTATTTCCTACCATGGCGCATCCAACACACACCCTTCACAGACTCTGGTATCTCTCATTCTATTCCTACCTTCATGGTACCAACTTCCTCAGCTCCCACGTATGAGTAAAAGCATGTAGTATTTGTCTTTCTGTTTCTGGTTTATTTCACATAACATAATGAGTTCCAGTTCCATCCGTGTTGCTACAAATTTCGTTCTTTTGTAAGGCCAAATAGAATTACATTGTGTATAAGTATGTTTTTATTCCATTTGTCTATTGATGGACATCTAGGTTGATTCCCTATCTTTGCTATTGTGAATAGTGCTGCAATAAACACGATAGTGCAGGTATCCTTTTGATATACTGATTTATTTTCCTTTGGGTACATGTCCAGTAGTGGAATTGATGGATGATATGACACTTCCATTTTTAGTTTTTTGAGAAATCTTCATACTGTTTTTCATAGTGACTGTACTAATTTACATTCTCACCAACAGTATATAAGAGTTACCTTTTCTCTGCATCCTCCCCAGCATCTGTTATTTTTTGTCTTTTTAATGATAGCCATTCAAACTGAGGTAAGATGATACTTCATTGTGATTTTTGTTTGCATTTTTCTGACGATTAGTGAGGTTGAGCATTTTTTATATACCTGTTGACGATTGTATGGTTTTTTTTTTTTTTTGAAAAGTGTCTCAATGTTCTTTATCCATTTTTTTAAATGAGATTATTTGTGTTTTGTTGTTGTTGAGATGTTTGAGTTTCTTGTATTTTCTGGATATTAGTGCCTCGTAGAATGAATAGTTTGCAAATATTTTCTCTCATTCAACAAAATTGTTTCTTCACTTCGTTGATTGCATCCTTTGCTGTGTAGAAGATTTTTAGTTTAATATTGTTGCATTTCTCTATTTTTATTTTTGTTGCCTATGCTCTCAAGGTCTTAGCTATAAAATCTTTGGCTAGACCAATGCACAAAGTGTTTCTTCCTTGGTTTTTATGTAGTACTTTATAGTTTTGGATTTCATGTTTGAAATCTTTAATTTATCTTCACTTGGATTTTGTGTATGGTGAGAGATAGAGGTCCAGTGTCATTCTTCTGCATGTGAGTATCCAATTTTCCCAGCACCACTTATTGAAGGGGGTGTCCATTTTCCAATGTATGTTCTTGGCACCTTTGTCAAAAATCAGTTGACTGTAAATTCATGGATATATTTCTGTGTTCTCTATTTTGTTCCATTGGTCTGTGTCTGTTTTTTTGCCAATGCCATGCTTTTGGGTTACTTTAGCCTTGTAGTGTATTTCGAAGTGAGGTAGTGTGATGCCTCCAGCTTTGTCCTTTTTGCTCACGATTTCTTTGGCTATTCAGACTATTTTTTGGTTCCATATAAATGTTAGAATTATTTTTTCTATTTCTGTGAAAAGTGACATTGGTATTTTGATAGGGATTGCATTGAATCTATAGATTGCTTTGGGCAGTTATGGTCATTTTAATGGTATTAATCCTTCCAATCCATGAGTATGGAATGTCTTTCCATTTGTTTGTGTCCTCTAAAATTTCTTTCATCAGTGTTTTGTAGTTTTCCCTGTAGAGGTCTTTCATTGCCTTGGTTAAGTGTGTTTCTAGGTATTTTATTTTTTGTAGAAATTGTAAATGGGATTGCCTTCTTAATTTCTTTCTCAGCTAGTCCATTATTGATGTATAGAAATGGTACTGATTTTCATATGTTGATTTTTTATGCTACAACTTTGCTGAATTTATCAAATATAAAAGTTTTTTGGTAGAGTCTTCACGTTTTCTAGACATACGATCATGTCATCTACAAAGAGGGACAATTTGACTTTTTTTTTTTCTTCAGTTTGGATTCCTTTTATTTTTTTCTCTTGCCTGATTATTCTGGCTAGGACTTCAGGTACTATGTTGAATAGGAGTAGTGAAAGTGAGTATCTTTATCTTGTTCCAGTTCTTAGAGGAAAGGATTTCAGCTTTTCCCCATTTGGTATAATGTTAGTTATGGATTTGTCATATATGATCTTTATTATGTTGAGGTATGTTTCTTCAATGACTAATTTGTTGAGAGTTTTTTTTTTTTAATCAGGAAGCAATGCTAAATTTTATCCAATACTTTTTCTATGCCTTTTGAGATGGCATATATTTTTTGTCCTTCATTCTGCTGACGTGATGTATGACATTTATTGATTTGCATGATTTGCAAACTTTGAACCATTCTTGCATCTTTGAAATAAATTCTACTTGATTATTGTGTATTTTCTTTTTGAGGTGATGTTGTATTCAGTTTGTTAATATTTTGTTGAGGATTTTTGCATGTATGTTCATCAGTGATATTGGCCTGTAGTTTTTTATTGCATCATTGTCTGCTTTTGGTACCAAGGTAATGCGGTCTTCATAGAATGAGTTAGAGAGAACTCCCTCCTCTTCAATTTTTTGGAATAATTTCAGAAGAATTGGTGCTAGTTCTTGTTAGAAAGTTTGGTAGAATTTGGCAATGAAGCCATCAGGTCCTGGACTTTTCTTTGTTGGGAGATTGTTTTTTAATGGTAATTTTCTCTTTTTTAAAAATTATTTATTTATTTTTAATTTTACTTTGAGTTCCAGGATACATATGCAGAATGTGCACATTTTTTTTTGTTATATAGGTATATGTGAGCCATGGTAGTTTGTTGAACCTATCCTGTCACCCAGGTTTTAAGCCCCGCATGCATTAGCTATTTGTCCTGAGGCTCTTCTTTCCCTTACCCCCAACCCCCAACAGGCCCTAGTGTGTGTTGTTCCCCTCCTGTGTCCATGTGTTCTCATTGTTCAACTCCCACTTATAAGTGGGAATATGCAGTGTTTGGTTTTCTGTTCCTGTGTTAGTTTGCTGAAGATGATGGCATCCAGCTTCATCCATGTCCCTGCAAGGACATGATCTCATTCCTTTTTGTGGCTGCACAGTATTCCATGGTGTCTATGTACCACATTTTCTTTATCCAGTCCATCATTGATGGCCACTTGAGTTGGTTCCATGTCTTTGCTGTTGTGAATAGTGCTGCAATAAACATATGTGTGCATGTATCTTTACAACAGAATAATTTCTATTTCTTTGGGTATATACCCAGTAATGAGATTGCTGGGTCAAATGGTATCTCTGGTTCTAGATCCTTGAGGAATAACCACACTATCTTCCACAATGGTTGAACTAATTTACATTCCCACAAACAATGTAAAAGCATTTTTATTTCTCCACAGCCTCACCAGCATCTGTTGTTTCTTGACTTTTTAATAATAGCCATTCTGACTGGGGTGAGATGGTATCTCCTTGTGGTTTTGATTTGCATTTCTCTAATTATCAGAGATGTTGAGCTTTTCTTCATGTTTGTTGGCTGCATAAATGTCTTCTTTTGAGAAGGGTCTGTTCATGTCCTTTGCCCAATTTTTGATGGGGTTGTTTGTATTTTTCTTGTAAATTTGTTTAAGTTCCTTGTAAATTCTGGATATTAGACCTTTGTTAGATGGGTAGATTGCAAAAATGTTCTCCCATTCTGTAGGTTGCCTGTTTCCTCTGATGATAGTTTCTTTTGCTGTGAAGAAGCTCTTTAGTTTAATTAGACCCCATTTGTCAATTTTAGCTTTTGTTGCAATTGCTTTTGGTAATTTTATCATAAAATATTTGTCCATGCCTATGTCCTGAATGGTATTGCCTAGGTTTTCTTCCAGGGTTTTTATGGTTTTGGGCTTTACATGTAAGTCTTTAATCCATCTTGAGTTAATTTTTGTATAAAGTGTAAGGAAGGGGTCCAGTTTCTGTTTTCTGCATATGGCTAGCCAGTTTTCCCAGCACCATTTATTAAACAGGGAATCCTTTTGTTGGGAGACTTTTTATTTCTACTTTGATTTCATTACTTACTGGTCTGCTCTAGTTTTCCATTTCTTTCTGATTCAACTTTGGTAGGTTGTTTGTTTTCAGGAATGTATTCATTTTCCTTAGGTTTTTCAGTTTAGTGGTGTGTAGTTGTTCATAATAGTCTCTGAAAATCTTTTGTATTTCTGTGGTATCAGTTGTAATGTCTTCTTTTTCATTTCTGATTTTGTTTATTTGGGTATTCTCTCTTTTTCTTGGTTAGCCTAGCTAACAGTTTACTGATTTTGTTTACCTTTTCAAAAACAACTTTTAGTTTCGTTGACTCTTTGTATTTTTTAGTCTCTATTTCATTTACTTCTGTTCTGATCTTTTTTCTTCTATGAATTTTGAGTTTTATTCTTGCTTTTCTAGTTCCTTGAGATGCATCATTAGATTATTTATAATTTTTTAACTTTTTTGATGTAAGCATATATTGCTGTAAACTTTACTCTTAGCACTGCTTTTACTGTATCCCACAGGTTTTGGCATATTGTGTTTCAATCTTTAGTAGTTTCAATAAATTATTTAATTTCCTCTTTAATGTCTTCATTGACCCAGTGGCTATTCAGGATAATGTTGTTTAATTTCCATGTATTTTTACAGTTTTCCAAGTTCCTCGTTATTAATTTCTAGTTTTAATCCATTGTTATCTGATAAGTTGCTTGATATGACTGATTTTTAAAAACTTGCTATTGAGACTTTTTTGTGTCCTAGTATATGGTTTATTTTGAAGAACGTTCCATGTGTTGAGAAAAATGTGTATTCTGTAGTTATTGCATGAAATGTTCTATAAATGCATGTTAAGTTTACATGGTCTAATGTGCAGTTTAATTCCAATGTTTCTAAGTTAATTTTCTGTATAGAGAATCTGTCTAATGCTTAGACTGGGGTGTTGAAGTCCCTAATTACTATTTTATTAGAGCCTATCTCTCCCTTTAGATCTAATAATATATGTTTTATATATCTGGATGCTCCATTGTTGGGTGCATATGTTTAGAATTGTTATGTCCTGTTGTTATAATGACCTTCTTTGTCTCTTTACTGTTTTTGACTTAAATTCTCTTTTATCTGATACAAGTATAGTTACTCCTGCTTGCTTTTGGTTTCTGTTTGCATGGAATATCTTTTTCTATTTCTTTACTTTCAGTCTGTATGTGTCTTTATAGTTAAGATTAATTTCTTGTAGGCAGCATAATATTAGATCTTTTTAAAATCAAGGTTATTTTTGATGTGTAAGGGCTTCTTCCTGTCATTTTATTAATTGATTTCTGGTTGTTTTGTATATCCTTTTTTCTTAAAGCATTTTCAATATATTATTCCATTGTCTCTTGGCCTCTAATGTTTTTGCTGAGAAATCTGTTAGTCTGATGGGGAGTCCCTTATAAGTGACCTAGCTGCTTTTCTCTTGCTGTTTTTAGAATTCTCTCTTTGTCTCTGACTTCTAACAGCTTGATTATAATGTCCCACAGAGGCTTTTTGCATTGTTTCTGTTTGGAGAACTCTGTGTTTCCTGGATGTCTAAATCTCTTGCTAGGCTTGGGAAGTTTTCTGCTATTATTTCATTGAATAAATTTTCTAACCCTTTTCCTTCACCTTCTGGGACACCAAATATTTATATATTTAATTGCTTTATGGTGTCCCAAGTGTCACATAGGATTTGTTCATTGTTTTTTATTCTTTTTTTACTTTTAGCTGACTGAGTTATTTCAAAAGACATGTTTTCAAGTTTTGAAATTCTTTACTCCACTTGACTTATTCCATTGTTGAAGCTTTCAAATTTATTTATTTATTTATTTTTTAATGAATTCTTCAGTTCCAGAATTTCTGTTTGTTTTTTTTTAATGTTATTTATTTCTTTGCTAAGCTGCTCATTCATGTCCTGAATTGTTTTTCTGAGGTATTGTTTTTATGTGTTCTGTTTTATCTTACTGAGCTTCTTTAATATCATTACTTTAACTTACTTATCCAGGATTTCATAAATTTCTTTTTGATTGGAACCTGGTTGCTGGAGAATTATTACGTTCCTTTGGAAGTGTCATATTTTGAAGTGTCATATTTTACTTGCTTTTTTATGCTTCTTGTGTCCTTATGTTGATATCTGTGCATCTGGTGTAACAGTCACTTCTTGAATTTTTTAAAATTTTGCTTTTGTAGGGGACAATTTTTCCTAAAGATATATCTATGATTTCAGTTGGGTAAGGCACTTTGGCTTTGATTCTGAGTATGTGCAGTAGTGTAGTCTTCATGTGACTTATTTGGCTGTACACAGCACCAGTGGTTTCTGTGATTTCCTCAGTGGCTTAGGGTGTGGTTGTTGACGAAGGATGTAGTGATGTTTTTCTGGGGATGGGGATACCAGGTGGGCCTCTCCTTGGGCCCCAGTAGTGGCAGTGGCAAGCTGAGCATGCCTGTCCTTGGGATCCAGGGTGGCATATTCTGGCACGGATGTTAGCAGGTTCAGGTCAGCTTATTCTTGGGCTTCCAGGCAGCCTACTCAGGTGCTGTTAGTGGCAGTGGTGGGCTTCGCAGGTGGGTGTGGCATGGGTGATGGAGGTAGCAGTGGTAGCGCTAACCTCTGGGTCCTAAGCAGTCTGCACTGGTGTTGACAGTGGCTGTGATGGGCTAGGTGGCCTAGTCCCCAGGCCTGGAGGTGGCACATGTGGGGAGGGGGGGATGCCACTCTGGTGGTAGCAGAAGGCTAGGTGATCCCACCCTCAGACCCCCAGAAAGACTGCTCAGGTGCCAAGGATGGTGGATCAGGCTGGGTAGTCCCCAGGCCCCTGGATGGCATATTTGGGCACTGAAAAAATGGAACCAGGCCAGGTAAATCTGTCATCAGGACCACTGGTGGTACATGCAGATGCTGTCTGTGGTAGGCCAGGGTGAGGTCATCCCCAGGCCCAAGGCAAAATGTTTAGGTGGGTGTGGCAGCAGCTGCACTGCAGCCCTGCTACTGGTGAGGGCAGTGTTGCTTTCAGCGGCAGCAATCATATGCCGGCAGCTGGGAAATATGCACTTTATTTATGCTTTGGCCCCAGCTGCTATAGCCTGCAGCAGCAGCTGCTGCAAGTGGGGGAGTTTGTCTTTGAGGCATGTGAAAATGCATGGAAACTTTGCTGCTGGTGGCAGCAGGATCTTTGCCAATGGCTAGTGCTTTAGCTCTGGAGGCAGCAGCCAGCTGCAGCAGTGGCTGCAGGTAAGGAATATAAGTTGGGCTCCAGAGATGTGGAAATGCAGGGGCTACTGGGCCCCTGGACGGGATGCAGTGTTGCGGGGGCTGGGCTTTTAATATGGAACCTTGCTGTAGCTGCTTATGGCTTCATGAGGGAAAGGGTGAGCCCTAGTATGAGCTCCCTCTCCGGAGCAATACCTTCACATGGTCTTTAGGCAGCTTCCTATGTTAGTCACAGGGATTGCGAGGGTCTAGGAGTTTTCCTGTAGCTAAGATGCAGGAGTCCATGGTTGGAATGTACATCACTGGAGGTCACTTGCTTACTCTTTCCCTGCATTAGAGAGCCTCTCCAGGCTCTCAGCCAATCCTACTGAGCAGTCTGCCTTGCTTCCCTCTCTTTTCCGTGCTTTAAGTGTTTTCTGTTACTTCTATATTGAATTCCAGTGCTCTCTCTTTGATGATCTATTTGAAGTGTGATTATCTACTCACTATTTGGTTCTTCTTTGTGGAAAAGGCGTTTACCAGATGCCTCTAGTCAGCCACCTTGAAGCCCCTCAACATTAAATTTTGAAAAAGTTGCAGCGTAGTATATATAGTATGAAAGCAATATATAAAAACACACATGCATGTATACACATATACATGTGTGTATATACATATACATATGCACAAGCACAGTTATAAACTTATATAGAATATATATTACACATTAATATTATTTACTATATAATACACCTAGACTGTTAAAATATATATTTGTATATTTTTATACATCTATATATGTCAAAGTGTGTTCGCGTGTATGTATGTGTATATCTCTGTGTGTGTGTATATTTATATATATATATATACATTTTTTTTTTTCACAGTGATTATCCCTGAGGAGTGGCATTGGGGGGAAGGTGTGCAAAACCAGGAAATTTTTACTCTTTGATTATAAACTTCTCTAGTGTTAGACTTTTTTTTTTTTTACAGTTAGCAAGCATTACTTACATATTTTTTAATTAGAAAATGTGCATGACGCACAGTAGGCAGTGAATAATGGTAGCTCCTATTTGGAGAAGGTAGCATTTACTGAGTTTTGCTATGTGTCAAGAGTTGCTTTAGGTACTTTCACATAAACTGTCTCGTCTAACCCTCTCCTGCTGCTGAACCACACCTCTTGGCCCTTGGCTGAGTCCTCTTCTTGCCACACTAGCTGCATCATCCTGTTCTCCAAGACACACACAAACCCCAGATGCCACCTCTGCTCCAGCAAAAAGGGCCCCTTTGGCGCTGGCCAACTCCAGGATGCAAGTGGAACCAGAGGAGCATCAGAGGACAGAGGTGTGCAGGCAGCATGCCCAGTGCAATTAGAGGCGGATTAAGATGGAAACAGTGTGGGGTCCAGGCGTGATGTGTTTTTGTCATCTTGTCTCGGATTAGTAGTAATATATCTGCTGGTGTGATGGACGCATCTGCTTTCGTTTATTCTGAGCCCTGGTAAGCTCACAGGCTTGGATTAAAGCAAAATCATGCTGAGCGAACATTGCTATTTAGCTACTTTTTCCCCCTCTCTTTTTCTTTTCCATTTTCAAGTTTTAATGTGAATGTAGCAAGAAGCCATTTTCATCCAACATGATGACTTGGAAAAGATGCCTCTACTTCTTATATTCTGAAGGGGAGGAGGCCTGAACCAGAAGGTGGGACCTGAGAGGTCAGGTGTGTATTATAAAGGGCAGAAAAGAGAAAGGAGAGAGATTCTGTGGGTTGTAGAGAAAAATGTGAATTTGTAGGAACAGTTCTGAGATGACTAGATCTGCTACACTTTCCCATTAAAGCAATAAACAGCCACCTCCTCCAACAACAAAGTTGACAGTGCCCTGTATATTTCACTCCACATTTCACACCTCACAGAGGATTGGGCTTCTCCTGTCTTTTCTCTTGAGTCTTGGAGGAAGCGGGCTCTGGACCTCCCTGCCTCCTTACTGCTCTGCCATGCTCATCCAGCCACTTCAAGTGCGAGACAACCTCTCTGGTGTGAGCTCCTCTTCAGGCCAAGCTATAGTTAGATGGATCCATCACAGGTGCATCTCCTCATTTCTGAAACCAGGGGCTCAACAAGCTCATCTGCCTTATTTCACACCTAGTATTCCTTTAGTTGGATGTCTGGTTAACTCCGTCATTTCTTGCTGGCTGCCCAAATTCTGCCTCTCAATGCTGAGTCAAACAACTCCCTTTGCAGCCACCTGAATCCCATCTTAGAAAGTCTGCCTTCCTTGGTTTCAGCCCAGCACCTATTTATCCAAGTCAAAGCTTCAGACACTTTTTGGTGGACTACACAAGATCTTGAGAGTTCCCCTCTCTCTACCTAGTCGGGTTTTTCTGGTCAGACAATATGCTCCTTTACGCCATCCTTGTGTACTTAGCAATTTGCACCAATTCATCCTGCCAGTTCCTCTTGAGTTTCCTGTATTGTTTCAACTTCCTTTTTCTTTTAAACATATTCAGGACAGCAACATCTTTGTTAACCAAGGAGAAAAATTACAAAAACATATTTCTGAAATATTATAACCAAATGTAGACTTTATAAACGAGGCCTAGGAATAAACGTTAGGCTACCGGGTGAGAGAGATTAAGGTAGGAACAGTCTTTAAAAGTGAAATAAAATGATGCTGAAAGTCCTCGGGGTTGCATGGGACAGAGGGAAGGGGTGGCAGTGATTAGGTGAAGTTTAGGAGAATTGGAGGAGAAGATAGAGCTGAATTCAAACCAGAAGAGGTGTAAGGGGTGGTAGGAGGGCAGGACTGTAGCTGCCCTCCCTTGGAGTGAGGCAGGCTTTGGGTCCTAAAAATAGTGGCTGAGGGATTCACTTTCTTTTATCATCTGCATGGCTTGGGACTTCAATATCCTCAGATGACTGCATACCTTCTCCCTGACCCAGTCTACCAGAGCAGGGGCCATTTAACGGGGGCAGTCCCTCTGACTACACTCCATCTCCAGCAAAATAAAAGGCACTTGAAAAGGGCTCAATCAGATTCACCTTCAGAACAGCAGAATCTGGCTAATGTGATTTCAAGCTTCCCCTCACTGCCCCTGGAGCTCTCCACCTTCTTGCTGATGTCTCAGATTCTTTTAACAAGGGAAAAAGACTTTCATGCCACAATTAGGAATAAAAGGCATAAAATGCAAATGCCTGGCTGAGCTCCAGTTGGAGAATAATCAATCAATCCTTGGAATATAAATTACTGATATCAGATTCTTCCCTGCTATGATACAGGGGGGAGGGTTAAAAGAGTTAACACCTGAAATGGGCATTGCCAAGGAGATGGGCGGGGAGGGAGAGCAGTCCCTTTCAGGTGTACACCTTGAGGTTTGAAGTGTGTGTGTGTGTGTGTGTGTATGCTTTGTGTCACTTAGTGTTCACAATTCTGGGAGGCAGGCATTTGTATTCTTCCTGTTGTGCAAAAAAGGAAACTGAGGCTCAGAGCTGTCAAGTAACTATTCCCAGGACCAGTGACTATGAAACAAGAGATATTTAGTTTGAACTTGTACCTGAGGTTCTGACTGCAAGCCCAGTGAACTTGAAAAAATACACCAAAGCTACAGAAAGAAACTGGAGACAAAAGAAATACCCTACAAACTTTTTCAATTTTGTCTTGGCTGAGACTTGTTTACCTTCAAATAGGGGAGGACACATGAATGTGTATGTGGAGCAATTTTAGTATGGAACTGCCAAGGCAGGCAGCCCGCTTTGCATGATTTATGAAGACAACGAAAAAAAGGAAGTTGAGAGTTGACTTTGTAAAAATAACCTCCATTTACTGTGAATTTGCTATTTGAAGTACACCCCTGTTTTCATTAATTTATCCTCCCTTCACAAAGTTCCTTTGACCTTTCCTTTTCAATCCACTTATGCAGCCGAGGGCTTAAACTATTTCTAGTTTATCATGGACATTATGCTTATTTTTCTTTAAAACGTTTTTTCAATTGAAATATAACACTCATACAGAAATACACACAAAACACGAAACTACATAGTTCCACAAATTATCATGCAATAGACACCTAGGAAGCCGTCACCTAGATTGGGAAATAAAACACCTCTAGCATCCAAGATGCTCTCTTCTTGTCCCCTCCTCCCCCTCACTACTCTCTTTCTACTTCTGGAGGCTTATTTTTATCCAGAGGTTACTCTTCTTCTGGCTTCTAAGATTATAGATTAATATTGCCTATTTTGGGACTTTATATAAATAGACTTATACTATATATTATTTTGTATTTGACTTATTTTGATCACTATTATATACATGAGAGTCACCCATCGTTGCATACAGCAGTTTATTTTCATTGCTGTATACTTTACCACTGTACAAATATACCCCATTCATCTGTCTATTCCACTGTTAGAATTTGGATTGTTTTCACTTTGGGGTTATTATAAATAATGTTACTATGAACAACATCCCTGCACAATTTTTTTTTTTTTTTAGACGGAGTCTCACTTTGTCTCACGCCTAGGCTGGAGTGCAGTGGTGTGATCTCAGCTCAGTGCAACCTCTACCTCCTGGGTTCAAGCAATTCTCCTGCCTCAGCCTCCCAGGTTACTGGGATTACAGGCGTGTGCCACCCTGCCCAGCCTGTACGTGTCTTTTGGTGCACATGTGTATATTTCTGCTGGATATTTACTTGGGATTGAAACTGCTGGGTCATAGAATATATGTAAGTTTAAGTTTAGCAGGTAATACCAAGCTGTTTTCCAAGTAATTGTACCAACGTACAGTCCCATCAACAATGTCTGAGTGCTCCAGTGGCTGCGCAACCTTGCCAACACTTGCTATTACCAATCTTGTGAGTTTCAGTTACTCTGGTAGATGTGTAGTGGTGTTTCATTGTGGTTTTAGTTTTCATTTCCTTGATTACTAATAAGGTTGATCACGTTCATATGTTTACCGGCCTCTGAAATATCTTTTCTTATGAAGTCCCCTTTTCACCCACTTTTTAATTAATTGTCTGTGTTTTATTGATTTGTAAGAGCTCTTCATATATTTTAGATTGAATCTTTGCTTACTTTATATGGATGCAAATAACTTCTCTGTCTGAGCACATGTTTTTTTTTTCTACTCATGGTATCTTTTGATAAGTTGAAGTTCTTAGTTTTAGTGTAGTCTAATTTAACAGCCTTTTCTTTCATGATTAGTACTTTTATGTGCTTCTAAATAATTTCTGTTTTTCTCCTAAGTCCATAGAAATAATATCCTATATTATCACATAGAATCTTTATAGTGCTTTCACTTTCAGATATGAATACCAACTGAAATTAATTTTTGTATATGCTCTGGTATAAAGGTCAAGTTTATTTTTTGTATATGGGTATCCGAGGGTTCCAATATTATTTATAGAAAAGATTGTCCTATTCCCACAGTTCCACAGTCTCAGAAGCCAATGTCCATACATGTATGGTATTTTCTAAACTCTCTTCCACCTCATTGGTCTATTTAACTATCATTGTACTAATGTCACACTATCTTAATTATTATAGTTTAGTGGTATATCCTTCTACCTTTTTGTTCTTCTTTAAGGAATGTCTTAGCTTCTTGGCCATTTGTGCTTTTATGTACATTTTAAAATAATACATTTTCAATTTCACAAAGAAAAAAGGAATAAAGAAAAACTATTGACATTTTGATTGATATTAAAGTGAATATATAGCTCAGTTTGGATATAATTGATGTTTTCACAGTATTTAGTTTTTAATGCTTATGAATTTAGATCTTTTAATTTTTCCAATAATGTTTTATAGGGTTTTTTGGGGGTGTATGTATGTGTAGAAGTCTTTCATACCTTTTATCAGATTTATTACTATTTTATATTTTCTGATGCTATTATGACTAGGTTATAATATCTAAAGAATAATCTATTTTCCAGCTCTTTGCTAGTATTATACACTTATATTTGGTTTTTACATATTGACCTTGTTTTCAACAACCTTTCTCAATAATTTTTTAAATTATGATTATTTATCATATATTCTTTTGGATTTTCTATGTTTAATATAATATTATCTGTAAATATTGACAGTGTTCACTATCCCTTTACAATTTTTATTTTTATTTGTTCTCTAATGTGCTGGCTAGAAGCTCCAGTACATGTTTTTCTAACAGAAGTCCATCCTTGTCTTGTTTTCATCTTTGAAGGAAAAGCTTTAATATTTCTCATTAAGACTGTTGTTGGCTGTTTCTTTTTAACTTTTTCTTATAAAATAATTTTCATTTCTATATCACTTAGAGCTTTTACCATGAGTAGGTGTTGGGTTTTATTAATTGCTTTCCATGCTTCGATCAAGAGTATCATATTAGTTTTCTATATTCTCTTAATATTTTGAATTACACTCTTTTTTTATTATTATTACACCTTAAGTTTTAGGGTACATGTGCACAACGTGCAGATTTGTTGCATATGTATACATGTGCCATGTTGGTGTGCTGCACCCATCAACTCATCATTTAGCATTAGGTATATCTCCCAGTGCTATCCCTCCCCACTCACCCCACCCCACAACAGTCCCCGGTGTGTTATGTTCCCCTTCCTGTGTCCATGTGTTCTCATTGTTCAATTCCCACCTATGAGTGAGAACATGCGGTGTTTGGTTTTTTGTCCTTGTGATAGTTTGCTGAGAATGATGGTTTCCAGCTTCATCCATGTCCCTACAAAGGACATGAACTCATCATTTTTTATGGCTGCATAGTATTCCATGGTGTATATGTGCCACATTTTCTTAATCCAGGCTATCACTGTTGGACATTTAGGTTGGTTCCAAGTCTTTGCTGTTGTGAATAGTGCCGCAATAAACATACATGTGCATGTATCTTTATAGCAGCAGGATTTATAGTCCTTTGGGTATATACCCAGTAATGGGATGGCTGGGTCAAATGGTATTTCTACTTCTAGATCCCTGAGGAATCGCCACACTGACTTCCACAATGATTGAACTAGTTTACAGTCCCACCAACAGTGTAAAAGTGTTCCTATTTCTCCACATCCTCTCAAGCACCTGTTGTTTCCTGACTTTTTAATGATCGCCATTCTAACTGGTGTGAGATGGTATCTCATTGTGGTTTTGATTTGCATTTCTCTGATGGCCAGTGATGATGAGCATTTTTTCATGTGTTTTTTGGCTGCATATATGTCTTCTTTTGAGAAGTGTCTGTTCATATCCTTTGCCCACTTTTTGATGGGGTTGTTTGTTTTTTTCCTGTAAATTTGTTTGAGTTCATTGTAGATTCTGGATATTAGCCCTCTGTCAGATGAGTAGGTTGCAAAAATTTTCTCCCATTCTGCAGGTTGCCTGTTCACTCTGATGGTGGTTTCTTTTGCTGTGCAGAAGCTCTTTAGTTTAATTAGACCCCATTTGTCAATTTTGGCTTTTGTTGCCATTGCTTTTGGTGTTTTAGACATGAAGTCCTTGCCCATGCCTATGTCCTGAATGGTATTGCCTAGGTTTTCTTCTAGGGTTTTTATGGTTTTAGGTCTAACATTTAAGTCTTTAATCCATCTTGAATTAATTTTTGTATAAGGTGTCAGGAAGGGATCCAGTTTCAGCTTTCTACATATGGCTAGCCAGTTTTCCCAGCACCATTTATTAAATAGGGAATCCTTTCCCCGTTTCTTGTTTTTGTCAGGTTTGTCAAAGATCAGATAGTTGTAGATATGCGGCATTATTTCTGAGGGCTCTGTTCTGTTCCATTGGTCTATATCTCTGTTTGTTTTTGTACCAGTACCATGCTGTTTTGGTTACTGTAGCCTTGTAGTGTAGTTTGAAGTCAGGTAGCGTGATGCCTCCAGCTTTGTTCTTTTGGCTTAGGATTGACTTGGCAATGCGGGCTCTTTTTTGGTTCCATATGAACTTTAAAGTAGTTTTTTCCAATTCTGTGAAGAAAGTCATTGGTAGCTTGATGGGGATGGCATTGAATCTATAAATTACCTTGGGCAGTGTGGCCATTTTCACGATATTGATTCTTCCTACCCATGAGCATGGAATGTTCTTCTATTTGTTTGTATCCTCTTTTATTTCATTGAGCAGTGGTTTGTAGTTCTTCTTGAAGAGGGCCTTCACATCCCATGTAAGTTGGATTCCTAGGTATTTTATTCTCTTTGAAGCAATTGTGAATGGGAGTTCATTCATGATTTGGCTCTGTTTGTCTGTTCTTGGTGTATAAGAATGCTGGTGACTTTTGCACATTGATTTTGTATCCTGAGACTTTGCTGAAGTTGCTTATCAGCTTAAGGAGATTTTGGGCTGAGACGATGGGATTTTCTAGATATACAATCAAGTCATCTGCAAACAGGGACAATTTGACTTCTTCTTTTCCTAATTGAATACCCTTTATTTCCTTCTCCTGCCTGATTGCCCTGGCCAGAACTTCCAACACTATGTTGAATAGGAGTGGTGAGAGAGGGCATCCCTGTCTTGTGCCAGTTTTCAAAGGGAATGCTTCCAGTTTTTGTCCATTCAGTATGATACTGGCTGTGGGTTTGTCATAGATAGCTCTTATTATTTTGAGATACGTCCCATCAATACCGAATTTATTGAGAGTTTTTAGCATGAAGGGTTGCTGAATTTTGTCAAAGGCCTTTTCTGCATCTATTGAGATAATCATGTGGTTTTTGTCTTTGGTTCTGTTTATATGCTGGATTATGTTTATTGATTTGCATATGTTGAACCAGCCTTACATCCCGGGGATGAAGCCCACTTGATCATGGCGGATAAGCTTTTTGATGTGTTGCTGGATTCGGTTTGCCAGTATTTTATTGAGGATTTTTGCATCAATGTTCATCAAGGATATTGGTCTAAAATTCTCTTGTTTTTGTTGTGTCTCTGCCAGGCTTTGGTATCAGGATGATGCTGGCCTCATAAAATGAGTTAGGGAGGATTCCCTCTTTTTCTATTGATTGGAATAGTTTCAGAAGGAATGGTAAGAGCTCCTCCTTGTACCTCTGGTAGAATTCGGCTGTGAATCCATCGGGTCCTGGACTTTTTTTTGTTGGTAAGCTATTGATTATTGCCTCAATTTCAGAGTTTGTTATTGGTCTATTCAGAGATTCAACTTCTTCCTGGTTTAATCTTGGGAGGGTGTATGTGTCGAGGAATTTATCCATTTCTTCTAGATTTTCTAGTTTATTTGCGTAGAGGTGTTTATAGTATTCTCTGATGGTAGTTTGTATTTCTGTGGGATCGGTGGTGATATCCCCTTTATCATTTTTTATTGCATCTATTTGATTCTTCTCTCTTTTCTTCTTTATTAGTCTTGCTAGTGGTCTATCAATTTTGTTTATCTTTTCAAAAAAACAGCTCCTGAATTCATTGATTTTTTGAAGGGTTTTTTGTGTGTCTATTTCCTTCAGTTCTGCTCTGATCTTAGTTATTTCTTGCCTTCTGCTAGCTTTTGAATGTGTGTGCTCTTGCTTCTCTAGTCTTTTAATTGTGATGTTAGGGTGTCAATTTTAGATCTTTCCTGCTTTCTCTTGTGGGCATTTAGTGCTATAAATTTCCCTCTACACACTGCTTTAAATGTGTCCCAGAGATTCTGGTATGTTGTGTCTTTGTTCTCGTTGGTTTCAAAGACCATCTTTATTTCTGCCTTCATTTCGTTATGTACCCAGTAGTCATTCAGGAGCAGGTTGTTCAGTTTCCATGTAGTTGAGTGGTTTTGAGTGAGTTTCTTAATCCTGAGTTCTAGTTTGATTGCACTGTGGTCTGAGAGACAGTTAGTTTGTTATGATTTCTGTTCTTTTACATTTGCTGAGGAGTGCTTTACTTCCAACTATGTGGTCAATTTTGGAATAGGTATGGTGTGGTGCTGAAAAGAATGTATATTCTGTTGATTTGGGGTGGAGAGTTCTGTAGATGTCTATTAGGTCCACTTGGTGCAGAGCTGAGTTCATTTCCTGGATATCCTTGTTAACTTTCTGTCTCATTGATCTGTCTAATGTTGACAGTGGGGTGTTAAAGTCTCCCATTATTATTGTGTGGGAGTCTAAGTCTCTTTGTAGGTCACTAAGGACTTGCTTTATGAATCTGGGTGCTCCTGTATTGGGTGCATATATATTTAGGATAGTTAGTTCTTCTTGTTGAATTGATCCCTTTACGATTATGTAATGGCCTTCTTTGTCTCTTTTGATCTTTGTTGGTTTAAAGTCTGTTTTATCAGAGACTAGGATTGCAACCTCTGCCTATTTTGTTTTCCATTTGCTTGGTAGATCTTCCTTTATCCCTTTATTTTGAACCTATGTGTGTCTCTGCACATAAGATGGGTTTCCTGAATACAGCACACAGATGGGTCTTGACTCTTTATCCAATTTGCCAGTCTGTGCCTTTTAATTGGAGCATTTAGCCCATTTACATTTAAGGTTAGTATTATTATGTGTGAATTTGATCCAGTTATTATGATGTTAGCTGGTTATTTTGCTCGTTAGTTGATGCGGTTTCTTCCTAGCCTCAATGGTCTTTACAATTTGGCATGTTTTTGCAGTGGCTGGTACCAGTTGTTCCTTTCCATGTTTAGTGCTTCCTTCAGGAGCTCTTTCAGGGCAGGCTAAGCTCCACCCAGTTCGAGCTTCCCAGCCACTCTGTTTACCTACTCAAGCCTGGGCAATGGCGGGTGCCCTGCCCCCAGCCTCACTGCCACCTTGCAGTTTGATCTCAGACTGCAGTGCTAGCAATAAGCGAGGCTCCGTGGGCATAGGACCGTCTGAGCCAGGTGCAGGATATAATCTCCTGGTGTGCCTTTTGTTAAGGCCATTGGAAAAGCACAGTATTAGGGTGGGAGTGATGTGATTTTCCAGGTGCCATCTGTCACCCCTTTCTTTGACTAGGAAAGGTAATTCCCTGACCCCTTGCACTTCCTGGGTGAGGCGATGCCTTGCCCTGCTTCGGCTCATGCATGGTGCACTGCACCCACTGTCCTGCACTCCCCAGTGAGATGAACCCGGTACCTCGGTTGGAAATGCAGAAATCACCCATCTTCTGCATTGCTCACGCTGGGAGCTGTAGACTGGAGCTGTTCCTATTCGGCCATCTTGGCTCCCGGTTTTTCGAATTACACTCTTTTTGTTTGTTTGTTTGTTTTTTTTTTTTTGAGACAGAGTATTGATCTGTCACCCAGGCTGGAGTGCAGTGGCATGATCTCAGCTCACTGCAAGCTCCACCTCCTGGGTTCACCCCTTTCTCCTGCCTCAGCCTCCCGAGTAGCTGGGATTACAGGTGACTGCCACCACGCCTGGCTAATTTTTTGTATTTTTAGTAGAGACAAGGTTTCACTGTGATTGCCAGGATGGTCTTGATCTCCCGACCTCATGATCTGCCCACCTTGGCCTCCCAAAGTGCTGGGATTACAGGCGTGAGCCACTGCGCCCGGCCTGAATTACACTCTTTTTAAATATTAAATCAACCTTGCATTTTTGTGATAAACTTAAGGTATCTTTTTTATATATTCTTTAATTTTATTTGATGATATCAGGCTTATGAATCTTCTGTCTAGGTTTGTGAGTAACTTTGACTTACACTTTTTCTTTCTTGTAATATTCTTGTCAGGTTTTGATATCAAGGTTTCCTAATGCTTTAGATGAACTGGGGAGAATTCCCTCTTTTTCAAAAGTCTTTGGAAAAATTTTTGTAAAAGTTTTGCTATCTCTTCCTTAAATGTAGTAGATTTCACTACAGATGCCATCTAGACCTGAAGTATGTGTATATGTGTGTGTGTGTGTGTGTGAGCATTTGAAACTATAGATTTGTTTCTCCATTATATGTAGGACTATTCAGATTTTCTCTTTCTTTCTGTATCAGTTTTGGTAAGTTGTGGGATTTTTTTTTTTTTTTGAGAAATATGTCCATTAAACCTACAGTTGCAAATGTATTGGTATGGAGTTGTTTATAATAGCTTCATGTTCTTCTTAGTTCTGTGGGATCTGTAGTAGTATCACCTTTTCCATTCCTAATATTAGGTACTTGTTCCTATACTCAATAAGAAGAAATGTATTTCTTTTTCAGATCCTGGGGCTTTATGGATCTAGAAATGCTGGTGTAGATGTCTTTTACCTCTGTGTTACCATTCCTAGCACCTAGCTCTCTCCTCCTACCATCACCTGTAGACACTAAAACCAGGCTAGGGAACCAGGGAGTTCCACTAAATATTACTGGTATAATCACCAGTCTCTTATTTCTACTGCTCTATTTTAGTTGATTTTTAGACTAATATTTATATATTTTAAGTTTTTATTGAAGTATAACATACATACACTATATCATACAGCTCAATGAATTCCCAGAAATGTACCTGTATAATCAGCACCCATAAGAAACAAAACATTACTAGGACTCCAGAAGCCTTCACCATGCTCCCTTCTAGTTATACATTCCACAAGGGTAAGCATCATCCAGACTTCAAATGGCATAGATTGGCTTTGTCTTCCTATAAATGTCTCTATTCTTTCACTTAAAATTATGTGTTTGAGAAGCATTCCTACTATTGCATATAGCTGTAGAATGCTAATTTTCATTGCTGCATCATATTGCACTGTATTAATATATCATAATTTATTTATCTAGTGTACTATTGATGGGCATTAGAATAGTTTCCAGATTGGTATGACTACAAATAGTTATACTGTGAACACTCTACTTATTTCTTGGTCAACATATGTATGCATTTCTTTTGGATATATACTTAAGAGTGGAATTGCTTGGTTGTAGTGTTTGCATATGTTCAGCTATAGTGTACATAAAATATACTAACAAGAAGTTTTACAAAATAATTCTATAAATTTACACTCCTTACAAGCAATGTATGAGAGTTCCATTTTTTTCTACATTCATGCCAACACTTGATATTTTCCATCTTTTTCATTTTATCAGTTGGCTACATGTGTAGTAGCATTGTATAGTGACTTTACATAGCATTTTCTTGATGTCTAATAAAGGTAGGGATCTTTTTATTTATTGGTTACTTGGTTATCTTCTGTGTTTACTCAAGTCTTTTGCGCATTTTTTTAGAGTTAACTTTTTTTCATTATAAAAATTATGTATGTTCATGATAGAAGATTTGAAAAACATAGAAAAGTATATACAAATAAAATTCACCCATGGTTCCATTAATTTTTAAACACTAGAACATTTATAATTTTACCACTTTATATTATGCAATGTAGTTATAGTTGTAAGGTAGTTATAAAATAATACAGTCTTTATGTTTATATTTTCCTAAACAATTATTCACCCCCATTTTTCTTAGGGTCCTCAAAAACACATAAAGAAATAGGGACTTAGGGGAGGTCCTTTTTTCTTTCGACCTTAAAGTCAGTTGAGGATATTAGCCCCTTAATCTCATCTGATCATAGGGTACCCTCTTGCTGGTCACAGGGCCAAGCCTATTTCTGGCTTTTCTGTGTTTGAGAGTAGGCACAGCTGGGAATCATTTGTGCTGAGTTTGTTCCTTCTCCAGGTTAATGACATCACCACCCTCCTTCTTTCCCGAACCAGACACCCAAGTCAGCTCCTACTCCTTTTTTTCACACAGCTCCATTTCACCAAGTCCAAACCTTTCCTTCCCCGAGCCAGTTACCTAATTTGGGCCTCTTCTGTCTTCTGAATTATTCCCCTCTATTGTTACCCCACTCATTCCTCCCCCTCCAGTCCAGTCCATTCTTCATGCCCCAGGAAGCCTTTCTGAAAAGCACATCTAGCCATGTCACCTCCCTGCTTACAGAATTTTAGGGGCTTCCCAGTGTTCTCATGTAAGATCCAGCCCCTTCAGGTAGTCTGCCTGGCCTCTTCCAATCTGGTCCCAGCTTTCTCTAGCTTCACCTGCTGCCACTGATAGATCATAGACCTCTGTGCTTCAGAGCTTTGGTTCAAAGTCCTCTCTGCTTAACATGTCCTCACCTTGTTTCTCTGATGGCAAAATCCTGTGCACATTTTTCAAAGTCTGGTTCAAGTGCCATCCTGAGCTCCTAGACAGAATTAATCTGCTCTCTCCTGGTTGTTGTACAAACCACTTAGCCCAGTGAATTGCTGTTGTTTCTTTGTCACCTTAGTCACACAATGCATTTCTCAAATCTTTATCTCTTGCATCCTGAGCACTTGGCACAAGGTCTGGCATATGATGGGTGTTTCATAAACATTCAAGGGATGCCTAAAAGGATTAACAAAAGGTAAAAAGCAAAGGAAACTAATGTTAGTTAAGAACTTGCTATGTACTGGGCACTTTACTTTTATGTTATCTTTTAAACTTCCTAACAATCCTATGAATTAAGTGGTATCCTTATTACTCCCATTTTTTGTGAATGAGAAAATTAAGGCACAGAGAAATTTAGTAGTTTGCTTGTGGTCGTACAGCTAATAAATGGCAGGGCCAAGATTTAAATCTAAGTCTGGAAACAAACTTAGTTGTTTACCATGAAACCAACTACTCACAGATTATCGTAATAATGATAATGATAACAACCATTAGGATAGTAATAATAAAATGATCACAGTACTTGACATTTGTATATTACTTGTCAGTTCACAAAGCATTTTTTCATCCATTATTGTTGCTTGAGTCTCATCACAAACATGAAGTTGGAAGAATTATCCACCACCTCTAACTGACTAAGAAAATGAAGTTTGAGGATTAAAGTGCTTTGCCTAAGGTCACAGGCTTAGTAAGCAGCAGAGCTGTAACTTAAATCCAGGTCTTCTAGCAATAAGTCCAGCAGCGGATGGAGGGTGGACAAGATCCCAAAGGAAGAAGTGCTTTGACATAATAAGCTGGCTGCCAACTCTGCCTGACATCCTCTCCATTCCCTTTGCAAGTCTTACTGGAGCCATAGCAGCTTCTAGGAGGTGGAAGGAAATCACAGGCTGAAGGTTTCCACCATTTCTGTAGGGTGGGGAATTCTTTGCCTAAGAGCTATTGTTTGTCTTGTCAGGAAAAAAAATTAAAAAATAAAAGGAAGAGAAACCAGCATATATAAACATTTTTTAAAGTTCCACGGCACCCAGATTAACGTAAGAAACAAAAAGCTCTCTTGGGCGGCTGCCCTGTGTTAGCCACCCCCAGGCAACCCCCTGTAGGCACTGCCCACCAGGGCTGCCTAGGGAATCTCCAGTCTCAGTGAAGAAAAGGATAAAACAACACAAATTCTCTAGGAGCCTCATTATTCAAACAGTTCCAGAGGCAGTGAGAAGACAGCAGTGACTTTGGGAGAAGCACAATCTTATCTCCAGGGTGAATAGGACCATTTGTTGTTTATGTCCAGGAAAGCAGGGCAGCACAAAAAGAACGGGAGAACTCACAGGAGAAGGGCACCAGAAGCCAGCAGCTGATCTAAAAATCCTCTGCAGAAACAATGGCTTCTCCCGGGATGAGCTGCGGCCCCTTCTGAAAACAAAAGCTCTCACTGAGGAAATTGGTCTTTTGTGGTTCTGGCAAGAAGCAATCCAGATAAAGCCTGGCCTGACCCTCTCCCCTTATGCAAAGGAGACATAGGACTAGTCGGGAAGTGGGGGAAGTTTGGGGGTACTGATCTTCCAGTTCCCCTGAACACTCCACAGAGGCCACTGCTCTTCTCCCAGGGAGGCTCCAGGGCATCCTGGTGACCGGCCTCTGAGTCCTCTTTCAGAGTTGCTCTGTGGCCTGTGGTCTGTCCCTTTCTTGTTCCAGCCAAAACCCAAAGCTGCTGTTGGACTAGAGGCCTCTGAAGTTTTTCTGACAATTTTTGAACTTGGGCTAAAAATAAAAACTGGTCTGGGACTTTGAAGCAGGCCCAAGCTTTGCCCTTACTCTTGAACCCTGCCAGCAAAAGCCCACAAATTTCAAAGCACGCACAGTTGGACAGGGAGCGGGCTGCCAGTCAGCAGCTGCCCCTCCTGCCAGATCACCATGGGTCCCTCGGATGGCCCCCAGGTCCCCTTCATTCTCTGGGGCCTGAGCTAGGGATGCAATTGAAGCTGACAACAGAGACTTGTTTTTCTTGGCAGCTCCCAGATTTGTATTTAGGAGGGACTTGGGAGGGGTAATTTGGTGGAAAAGGGTCCTGGGGGAACCTCGTCTTGAGCATGTGTTTGCATAGCAGGGGAGTGGTTTTTGTTCAGATTGCAGGTTTAATTGGGGTGGTCTGTAGGAGGGTGGTGGGGGTGGAGGTACTAGAGCCTCTTCAAGCAACCCTTATGCAGTGGTTTCCTTTAATGAGCACTTCAGTGGCATGAGAGAGGGATAACACCCAGGATCAGAGCAGAATTAACTCTACCCACAGTCTCGGGGGCAGGGGGAGCCAGGCTATTCTTAAGGCTTCCGCTGGAAAGCGCTCAAGTACCTGCAGCATAAGACACCCTAGGCCAGCCTTGGAGAGGGGAGGTGGAATCATTCCTTAGAGGAGCTATCTGAGGATTCCTCTGCAGTGCTGATGTGGGAGAGGAAGCCACAATGGGGACGGCAGCTCATGTGTGTGTCCTTCCTGTGCAAACAAGACAGTGACCAGGCTTAATCAGTGTTTGTTAATAGCAATAACCGACCTGTATCTTGTTCTGGAGCTAACCAAATGCTTCCATATACCTTCTCTTATATAGTCCTCCAAACAAGAATATAAAGTATTCATAATATTAATAAAAACTAAATTTTGTTGAGTGCCTTCTATGTGCCAGGCAAAGTGCTCAGTGCTTTACACAACAGGGAGCTTTTTGCATAGAGGTCTACAGATCTCCCACAGAGGTAGAATGAAAATTTGGGGTCTCTGTGGACTGTTGAAATTCCAGGAATGATTTTGCATGTAGGCATGAAGGAGCTCGTTCCTGAAGTGAAAGGCTGTGACTTTCATCCAGTCCTTAAAGGCATTTAGAAACTACGAAACGTTTTTTTAAAAAAAAAACTACTTTAAAAGTAGAATTTCATTTTCTAGATTGTTTTGATATCAGGGTTATTCTTCACTCCAGCAGGTCTGGATACCTTATTCCTGTTCTCATATTGCACCTAATAGATACCTTCATTGGAGCAATTATAAAACTCTATTGTATTGTAAAGGACTCTTAAAATTATTTCCCCCTCATTCATCAGATTATAAACTCTTTGAAGACAGGTATTAAGCTTTATTTGCAATTGCATGCACGAACGAACAAATTTAAGTCTTCCTATGGTGAAACTGATCCTATTTAAGTGCTTGAGTGTGTAAGAGAGAGTGTGTGTGTGCTTGGGGAAGGTGGGCCTCGCTGAGGTAGTGGTGAGAAGGTGGCTGTGTGGAGAGATTCGGGGCTGGTTTGCAGGAAAGCAGAGACAGCGAGTGGCGGGCGCAGAGCCAAGGGAAGCCATGTCCTCGCATCCTGGTGGCACGCAGGTTTGGCTCAGGACCGGAACATCTCCTGCATGCCTCTCCCTGCCAGCGCCCCTGTGCCTCCACTTTCCATGGCATCTATTAATGATAAAAGTCCCCGTGGTTTATAATTACCAGTTTGACAAGTTCAGGAGTTCTCTGTTAATTATTATAATTAGCTTTCACTCAGCGAGGCTTCGGGAGTTTAACAACAATATTAACAACGAGAGGACGATGATCAGGAATTGACTACAAAGAATTGACTGGAAAGACTTCCTTCTGCTGTCAGGGAAACTTATTAATGAAGGCAAAACCTGCACAGTGGCTCCCCTCCCTGTTTCTGCCTGAACTCGGCGATTGGTTCTAAATTTGCCTTGGGGAATTGAAAACAACTGTTGCGGCTAGCGCTTGCAAACCCCAAGCTTAAAATCAACCAGGGAAGAAAGAAGCAGCCACTAAACGGACAGCTGTGGGTCCTCCTTGACCAGAAATTGGGTGGAGGCAGCAGCCAGGGAAGAAAACACGAACCAAAGTTGCCAGCCATGGCCCCATACCTGGTTCTTAGGGAGTGAAGCCATGCACAAGGTGTTAGGAGCAGGAAAGAGGCAAAGGAGGCCTGGGCCGTCACTGGGAGCAGCCAGCAAATGCACCGATTGCAAGGCAGATTGCGACTGCTTTCTGCCCACCTCTCAATGCTGTCATTCCCTTGGTTGTTCCCTGCCTGATGGCCCTCTACATCTCTCACCTGAGCACTGCTGGACCTCCCTGGACTCTTGGCCTCCATTCCCTTTTCCAACTCCACTCCAAACTCACAGACCTGCGAGATTACCCTTCCTGAGGGCCAGCTCTGATGACCTCACCCCTCCCCTCAAAACCCTTCAACGGTTCCCCATTGCTTATGGCATACAATTCAGAGTCCCCATTTTGGCACCCAAGGCCACTCAGTCTGGGCCCCAACTTGTCTTTCCAATATTGTCTTCTACTAATCATTCTTTCAGTCCTTCACTCAGATGATAAATATGTGCCAGACATTGTTTCAGATGTTACTGCATCTGCAGTCAACAAGACAGACAAGCTCCCTGCCTTCCAGGGGCTTTAACTCTAGCGGAAGAAATCAGAAAATGGACCCATAGGTTAATACATAATATCATCAGAGAAGACGATGAGTTCTCCATGGTCATGATATCCCAAAACATGCCAAAGGCACAGAGAATGACAAACAAGGCTTTCTAGGAGGTGGCCCAAGGCAAGCACTGCAGGATGAGGTGCCAGGCTCCTGAAGAGCGTTCTAATCAGAAGGAATGGCAAGTACAGCATCCCTTGGCAGGCAGCCGATAATGTGAGGTAGAGAAGGAAGGCTGGGGGACTTGAACTAGGGCAAAGTGATCAGAGAGGCTGGCAGGGCAGATTATGGAGATGCACAGGGAAATAAGGTATCAGGTGACTGCTATATTCTGAACTCCTCCCTTGCTACTGCTCTTCTGCATTCTTGCAACTCTGCCAGCCTGCTCATATTCCCACAGACAGGAGGCTGAGGTTGTTCTCTGGAGAAGAAGATCACAGAAAAAAGACTTCAAGGTGTGGACATTGGGGGATCCCCAAGGACATGGCTGGGCCCTGCTCTATAGGCTATTGGGTCCCAACAGTTGATAAGCCCTTACAGGGAATTTCCCGTAAGGCTTTTATACCTCATGCTGAAGGGCCACCCAAGATCACCAGACACTTAGAGAAACCCTAAAAGCAATGCCCAAATTATCAGGGAAAAAAAATTGAGAGGAAAAGAAAGCAACCCAGGAAGCAGAAGAAAAACGTGAGAAGAAATAAATCCCCATAAAATATGTGGAAAGAAACAAGAACAGGATGTTATCATTATTATCAATCAATCATTTTTAAGGAACAATGAGAAAATAAGAAAGAGCTCTTGGAAATTAAAGCTATAGTGGCTAACATTTTTTAAAAAATCAATGGAAGATTTGTAAGACAAAGGGAAGTAAATCTCCCAAAAACTGAAAACAAAACAATGAAAAATTATCTGATGGGAAATGGAAGGGAAAGGACAAACATATGAAGTAAGTAAGTTACTGTGTTTTATTGAATCAATGAAATAATAGTACGTGATAGCTGCAAGTCTTTTTCTATTTTAATGTGGAGAAAACTGAGGCTCCAGGGAGCTTAAGTAATCTTCCCAACATCATGCATAGTGTAATAGCAAAGCCAGAGTTTGAACCCACGTCCGGATGACTCCAAAGCCATGTTGTTTCTGCTCAGTTGTGCCCCAAGAAAAGCAGGCTCAGCCTAGCTTTGCTGGAAGATGCAGAGTGGGAGGGAGCTGAGAACGCAGGTTCATTTGAGAGCATCATATTTTCACCTTCACTGCACATGAGTGAGTATAACGCACATGCTTTCCATCTTCAAAAGCTTTCTGTGATTATATACAAAAGAGAACGCACATGGCTTCAATATAGGGTTCTTTTCTCTCCTAGTCTGGAACTGGCCTGAAATCCCAGTAATTCTTTATACTGGGATTTTATCTGATAAAGTCATAAGCATTCAAAACATAAAGCTGCCCTTTTATCGGACTTAGTGGAGCATTTTCATAAAGTGTCAGTGGGATTGAGGAGACGGTTGTACATCAGACCATTCATCCTGGTGGATTAAATCATGACATATATTTCAAGTCGGGGAAAATGTAGTGTCAGAGGAAACATAAGCAATAACAACTGGGACTGGCAGAACTGCTGATGAATGGGCCTATTCTCAGCTGCTGGTCATAGACAGTGGAAGGAAAGAGACAGGAACCCCAGAAGACTGGCTCTTGTTCCCTGGGAAAGAGGAGAAAAGAAGAGAAAGATTAGGGGACAGTGACTTCCTGTGGATCAAATTAGGCCTATCGGAATAGAGGTGAGGTTCTACAGCCCACAAAATATTCCCTCTCTTCCAACCTCACTCTCTTCCTTCCAGGAGACAGAAGACAAAGGTCAAACCTATCACCTTGATTATTGGTAAGGGTTACTTTGAGGATATGACTTCAATAAATATGCGATAACAATGGGCCTCCAGATATTGCTTGAATCAGAGAGGTTTGATCGTAGGTGTCAGGCATCAACTCTTCCCTGTCAGCTCCCAAGGCAGAGACTTTCCCCACTATGCTTTTATGAGGGTTGAAAGCAGAACAGAGAATGCATTGGTCAGAACAATTCATATTTGTGTTCTGCCAGATGATTCAGAAGATAGTGCCTTTTCTCGGGAGTTGTGGGGAGACTGTTCTTAACACCTGAGAACACTTACCTTCTAAAGTTCTGTGGCACCCAGATTAGCATTTCGCACATGGTAGAACTTCAACGAGTGCTTTTTAGATGGATGGGTGGATGGATGGATGGATGGATAAATGGATAGATGGATAAATGGATGGATGGATACATGGATGGATGGGTGAATGGATGGATGGATGGATAGGTGGATAAGTGGGTGGATGAATAGATGGACGGATGGACAGATGAACAAAGAGATGGATGAATGGGAAGAAGGAAAGAAAGATGAAATGATAAATAGACAAGCAGTGACTTGGTAAGTCGAATGATGGATATGTGAATGGACAAATTGAGGAATTATAGAAGAATCATAGTGATTAAAATAATAAAGCTATAAAGAGGAAATCATAAGATGAATGGAAAAATTACATATAAAATGTAGTTTCATTTTCGATGATTTTTTGAGTCTGACATTGTAACATTGTCTTCCTACAGACAGATTATATAATCACACCATGTCTCCCCATGACACACTCCATGGTTACCAACACTTCCTTACCCCAAACTCCTCTACTCTCTTCCCTCTACCTCCTTCAATTTTTTAGATGAAACTTGAGTTTTCATTCAATCAGACCCACTAATGCTATGTGACACTGGGCATGTCACATCAGCCCCTATAGCCCTAGTAACTTTGCCTGGATAAATGAGAGGGTTGATTCAGGTAATGCTTGGAGACCCTGTTATGCTGGGATCATTGTCCTCATTATTTTTAAAATGTGAAGAAATATCAGATGGTTATATAGCACAAGAATGATATTTTGGGACTATCTAACATTTCCAGTTTGGGAACCAATGAAATAACCTGTATTTTTTATACATCTGAGGACATGGCTCCTTTTCTTCTCATGTGAGAGAGAGATAGAAGGTTAGAAAGAAGTATGGGGGAAGACTAACCTCTTGGTGCTGGCCATAGGACCGTTGCACCCAGCTTTCTTGAGCTGGCAAACTCATTGAAAATAGGAAGGAAGTAAGAGGAGCTGAGCTCCACAGAGCTAGTTCCTCCCCTAAAATCACCAAGTGGATAAGCAGCTAATCCTCTCTGGGGAAGAGTGGGTGAGAATGGAGAGGGGCCAGGTGTGTTCTGCTAAGTAACACTCCTCCACTGGGAGGAATCATGAGGAGTGGGGTCTATGCTCTCTTTAGATCACAAGCAAATGCTGGCATACAGTAGGTTTTGTGGGGTAGGGATGGCACTTATGGAGTACCAGGGAGATAATCCCTTTGCAGAGTGTGAGAGAGAATGGCATGTTCGTTTTCTTTTTGTCCTCTTTGTATAGTATGTTTTGATAAGCATTTGGCTACTTCGAAGTGATTCATTTCTAGTTTTTCTTACTAGTTGGGAATCTTGTGGTCTGGAGATATCACTATGCCACCCCCAGCAATGCACTTCATCTTCTTGGGTTTCAGTTGGTCTGTCTGTGAGCTGGGCATAATACCAACAGCCTTATTCACCTTACAGGGTTGCTGCAGGGATCAAAATGCAACATGGTAGGTTAAAAAGAAATCACAAGTGCTAAATATCACAGAGGATTGTTCCCATGACTCCCAGTATGGCAACTATTCAACCCTAAGGCCCTTTCCTTCCATGGGCTGTCCTCCTGATCCCTCTCCCCATAGGGCACCTCCTTGCCTCTGACCCACAGAGATGCTCAGGAGAGAACTTCCATGGCCAGAATTCTGCCCTCTTCTGTGTTTCTGCCCCTACCCCTATCTCTTAGTACCTGTGCCCAGCCACAACCAAAAAGAAAGAAAAGAAAAGAAGATAGATATTTAAAAAATCTCTACACCTTTTGCTCAGAAATGGCACTGCCGGGGAGGTCTTAAGACATAGTGATTAACTTTCTCCGAAAGCCAGTGCACCTGGGAATACACAGCGAGACACAATAAGCCGAGCAAATATTAGACAAATATCACTTTTCTGCATTGCCCACTTTGCTGGAGATGAATGGATTGACTTTTCAAACACTACAAGAGCGAACCAGCCAGCCTGGATTCAAGATCAACATCACTTGCCTTTTTTTCCTTTGTACCCCTCCCTCCTTTTCTAATTTCTAGAGTAAATGTATACAAAATATTTATCTAAAATAGAGGCACTCAGGAAAGCAAGCTGTGCAAATAATTAGCGATCTGCAGCCCTTGTGTGCCTAACATGGGTGACTCCAGTCTCTATTTTTCGGCGGCCAGGCACTCATGTTGACCCCACCTTGCCTTGCAACCCAGGAATACTTGGGGAAGCCTCACTTGGCTCAAAGCTGATGTTCTCTGGAGCTCTTCTCCTCCTCCAGTGAGTGATGGGTTGGAGGGGCAATGGCATGGTGCTGTGCATTGACAGGACCTCTAGAGGCATAGAGACACATATTCTCTCAAGAAAGAGCTAGGCATCTGTAAGTGGGCTTAGGTTAGATTTGAGAAAACATGTTAGAGTGGGTCCTGTTTGAATGTGAAATAAAGGGAATAAAGAAGGCTATGGAATTGCTGCCTAAGGTGCAACAGGAACACGCAGAGTGGAAGGGTTGTAGGTCAGGTGATGCCTGTGAATGAAAGGAAGATTGTCTTGAGGCAGAAAGATGCTTGAGGTGACCTTTCAGTGTTCCTGCCTGCTGGAACCAGAATCCTAAGGAGCCAATGCTGGATGGTAGCTCTGAGGTCATGGCGCTTTATCAGTAGTTGAGGGAATGAGGTCTGACAGGGTGGAGGGGCTTTCCCGATGTCATACAGTAAGGCAGTGGCAAAGATGAGATTGCAGGCTTACCCTGAGCCGTAGCCTGCCTAGCTGGGACTTCATCTCCTATGCCTTCTTTTGTGCTTAGCTGTCTCTGAGTCCCTGGCACAGGCTGGCCATGTGCTGAACAGACTGGTCTCCTGGGTCATGAACTACTCATTCTCTCACTTGGAGCATCACTGTGGCCCTGACCCCCTGACTGATGCCCTACCTCACGGCGTGATGTCACTGTATGCATTACACATTGCATACATTACACATCTCTGCATGGGCTGAGATGCTAGCTCATTCCATATTGTCACTCAGTGCCCCCAGTATTGGTCTTACACAGTCTCAGCTTCTTTTCTTTACCCACTGCCTAAGGCAAAGGTCTTGGCATGCCTTTCTGATGAGTCTGTTTGCATTAGGGTAAAATTGGTGAAAGTAGGATTTTTCTCATTGCTCCAGGCCCCAACTGATGGTGGTCACCAGGATGTGACATTCTCATTTTTCTTGCAGGAGGAAGAAAGATTGTTATCTTCTCTCTAGAAGAGGGAATGACAGGAAAGCTGCAGCAGCCAGGGTTGGAAGACAGACTGTGGTTTCTCATCATTAGAAAAATTAAAGTATACAGACAGAAATGTGGTTTTGCTTCATAACTGTATCCTGTCAACTAAATATTTCATTTAGACCTAATGCCTGAGCCAAATGAGAATCTCGAGCAAAACTGCACTATTAGAATACACTTAATTATTGATTCAGCCAGGCAAAAAATAAAAAATAAAGAAACCGGGCGGTACTCTAATTCCTCTTATCAAGCATCTCGAGTGCTAATATGCACTTGAACAGCTGCTATTATCCTGGGGAGCCCACTGCCTTCAGCTGCAAAATGTACAACTTTACACCAGCCACATGGAGCCAGAGTGGAAGCAATGACTGAAACACATCCTCTTTCCAGCTCAGGGAGGCTGGGAGCAGAGGTCCTGTAGCCAGCACCGTGAGGAAAGCCTCTCCCCATACTTCTTTCTAACCCCCTATCTCTCTCTCACATGAGAAGAAACGGAGACATTTCATCATGTATATAGAAAGTAGCAGATTATTTTATTGGCTCCCAATCCGGAAATTTTGAATATTCTCAAAATATCATTCTTGTGCTATCTGCCATATTTCTTCATGTTTTAAAAATAAGGATGATGATCCAAGCACTAGGTTCTCCAGGCATTATCTGAATCAACTCTCTCATTTATCCGGACAGTTACTAAGGCTCTAGGGGCTGATGTGACGTGCTTACAGTCACATAGCATTAGTGGGTCTGATTGAATTAAAACTAAAGTTTAATCTAAACAAATTGGAAGAGAAAGAGGAGGGAAGAGAGTAGAGGAGTTTTGGGTAAGGAAGTGTTGGTAACCATGGAGTGTATAGTGGGGACATGTGGAGCGATTATATAATCTGTCTGTAGGAAGACAATGTTAGAATGTCAGACTCACAAAATTATTGAAAATGCAACTCTGTTTTATTTGTAATTTTTTTCTACTTATATGATTTCCCCTTTATAGCTTTATTACTTTAACCACCATGATTCATCTATAATTGCTCAATTTATCCATTCATCTATCCATCATTTCACTCACCAGGCCACTGTTCCACTTGTCTATTTATCATTTCATCTTTCTTTCCTTCCTCCCATTCATACAACTGTTCATCTATCCATCTGTTCATATATTCATCCATCTATTCATCCATCTGTCCATCCATTCTTCCATCCATCCATTCATCCACCACTCATTTATCCATCCATCCACCCATTCACTTATCCATCCATCCATCCATCCATCCATCCATCCATCCATAATTCACCTATCCAGGAAGCACTCATTGAGGTCCTACCAGGTGTAAGGTGCAGTAAGGTAAGTGTTCGCAAGTGAAATGACTGTGTTGCATTAAGACAGTCTTCCCACAAGCTCTTGAGGAAAAGTACTGTCTTCTGAGTCACCTGACAGAATCAAAATATAAACTTTTCTGACCAATGTGTGCTCAGTGAGGCATTTATCATCAAAATTAAGGAAGTTTCCTTAACTTTCTGCAGACAGAGGTGATAGCATTAGCAGATTGGGAGAAGCCTTTAGAGGCCATCTTGTCCCCACCTCCACTCTCAAGGTAGTCCTTGAACTAGATCCTACTATCTTGTCAAAATTTGTTCCCACAAATGATGCTGATTGATTTATGGCTCTCTTTTGGATGACTAATCATGCAAATTTCCCCAGGACTGAGGAGATGCCCCAGCAAATTGGGATGAGTTAGTCACCTTACTGCCTTTGTTTGCACAGCTCCTTCTACCTGGATTGTAATTTTCTTGCTTCTGTCTGTGTAACTCCCGCTTAGTTCAAGTCCTACTGCTTCTACAAAGATTTACCTAGATATTTTTCCTTCTTTAAAATTTCATTGCAATTAGAGTCACTGCCAGATCACTACTGTGTGTACAGTGACGTTGTGTGAGTCTATTGTCTTTATTAGCTTATGTGCATTACTCTGGAAGCTCTAACAACATTGGAAACTTCTTGAGGGCAGAGACAGTGTCTAACTCTTGCCTCATGTTGTGTTTACTACATCTCTTACAAACAGAAGGTTCTCCACTCCATCTAACCTGATTCCCTCATGCTGAATTTTAAAGCGTGTATTTATTTCACACTCTTCTCTCAGAAAAGATAGACAGGAAGTCATGTTCCTACCAGTACTAGACTAGTTCTCTAAAACATGAAACCAATGACTAAAATCACTCCCAGCCTTTTCTCTCTCTGTCTCTCTCTCTCTCTTTCTATCTCCCTCTCCTCTCTCTTCCCAATGAGGATCTTCCCTTTGGTCTATCCTGCAAGGCACCATTTCTCTTTTCTATTATCCCTTTCTTTTCTTTCCATTATTCTTCAAATGCAGAGTCCAGACTGGACACGGTGTCTAAAGGGAGTCTGGCCATACTTGACATCCATGTCTGCCTTGAGAGTGTGGTGGCCGCTGCAAGCCTGGGAGGCCCATTGGCCAGGTTCTGACAAGCTGTATCACACCGTCCTGTATCCACAGGAAGAGGCCTGGGAGGTCTAGGAGGCAGCATTCTATCTTTCAGAAGGAATGGTGAGCAAGGGCCCAGCTTTTCTTTGGAAATCCCTACCTCCTGTCACCAGCAGGGCCTGTGATCACTGGCCTTGCCCTGACACCTTGGCTGCCTGGGGGAGTGCTGCAGCTTCTTTGTGCACTGATGTAAAAGAAAATGCCCGCAGAGGCCTGAGGGATGCACAAAGCAACCAACAGTTTGTGGTGTTAAGGAAAACAACATTGGAGACGCAGAGGATGGGAAATAGGAAATCGATGGCAAGTGAAGACTGGACAGAGCAATTAGGACTGGCAGCCTGGCTCTTGCCTGTGGCTTGTTGGTCAGTATGAGCTGTGGCCTGAATTAGTGTTCACCTGAAAAATAGCATGTCCCTGAGCCCCCTCCCACTTCCAAACCATGGGAAATCTATGGAGACAGTGAGGGTTATGGAGGTACGGCAGATCAACTGCAAATATGTGCTGCAATTATTTTTTGCCTTCCTGTATCCATATACCTTGCACTGTGACTTTGCTGACCCTCCTAGCATGAGGAAGAGTTTGCTTTTCTATCCCTTAAATCTGGAATGATGTGTTTTTAACTTGCTTTGGCTAATAAAATGCAGCAGAAGTGATAGTGTGTCAGCTAAGAACCAAGAAACCAAGAATCCAAGAGCTCCTGTGTACTTCTGTGTCTTGGAGAAGGCATTGCCATGTGAAAGCCTGAGCTAGCCTACTGGGTGATAAGAGATGAATGGCCCAGTCACTCTGTTGCCACAGCCAGTAGCTAATGATCAGGTACAGGAATGATGCATTTTAGAGCAGCCAGCCCCCAGCCAATCCACCAGCAGACAACAATCATACCCTTGAGCCCAGTCAAGATCAGCTATGCCTGGCCCAAGTCAGTGGAACCACCCAAAAGGCTTACAGGCTTGTGAACAATAATACGTGTCCATTGCTTTAAGCTGTTGAGTTTTAGGATAGCTTGCTATGCAGTAATTGTTAACTAATGCAGAGACTGAAATGGTGGAGGGAAGTCATGTTGCCTGCCAGAGCTCGAGGGTGTTGGGATGAATCCAGTTCATCATTTATTGCACACAGGACTCTACATGATCTGGACTTCTCTTATCTCTTTGGTTTCACATATTGCCATGGGTACAAACATCCCCGCCCACCCTACCCCTTCCCCCAAAACTACCAAGTTCTAACCTTACTGAGCTCCTTGTACAGTTTGAACTCTTGCTTTGACTTCTGCTTTTCCTCTTCTGAGGACATTGTCCCATATCTCCTTTCCCATTGCTTGGCTAACTTCTACTCAATCCCCAGGCTTTCAGTTTAGCTGTCACTCCCATCTACCGTTACCTCATCTCTGTTCTTTAGTTCTCTTTATTTATGCCTCGTTGACACTTACCACATTATATTGAGGTCGAATATCCCTCCAAGGTCATGTTCTCTGGCTCAAAAAATACTGATGGCTGGGTCTTAACTGGACAATGAAATCCTGGGGTTGGATGTCCACAGGTCTTAAGGCACACAGATGATTCTTCTGTGCAGTCAGGAGTGAACCACTTCAGGTCAAGTCTATCTGGGCAGAAATGGATGTGTGTGTGTGTGTGTGTGTGTGTGTGTGTGTGTGTGTGTGTGTGTGTGTTTGGGGGGGTGTCCTGACATGAACATCTGCAGCTACTTCTCTATTCCCCTCAGCTCTGCTCAACACTACTGCTCCGTTTGTTATTGACCACTGCCTGGAACTCCAGGGTCGCTCCCTCCCTCAGTGTCATATTCTCCTGTCACTCTGTTCTCAATCGAAAAGGGGTGTAAAGAGGCTGAAATTTCTCTATGTTGCCCTATTCAACAATTTCCACAAAACCACTAACGACAGCTATTTTGTATGACATATTTTACTTAAGTGATATAAGGAAAGGCAGAGGGGTAGCACACAGCAAAGAACTTAAAACAAATACTAGCTTGGTCTTAAAAGTCCTTTGGATATTCCCATCACCATCAACTTCTCTAACTTTTGCCTCTTCTGGGTAATGGGTTCTTTCATTTTCCCCAATTCTCATGATGTTCTCTATTTATATCCATTACTGCCTCTTGACTCTTCCTAGTAAGTCTACTCAAGGGAATTAACATTTCCTTTTTACAATGAAAAGCAATACCTTGACTCACTCTCCTCCTGGCAGGCCAGGCCCTGAGCCTTATCTTTTCATCATATGCCCATCAAGGTATATTGCTAAAGAGAAGAGAGCTCTCCAATTTCAGAAGTTCTGCCTAAGCTTTAACGTAAGTTATTTTTCCCCCGCTCCCTGTAATTTTTGCCTATTTACTTATCAGCTCCCCATACCCCATAGTAGATAGTGAGCAATTTGAGTGCTAGTTCTATATTGGTTATGTTCACCAGTGTGTTCTAGGGTTGAGCAGAGACACATAGTAGTTGCCCAATTAATATCTGCTAGACAAATGATTCATGAATGAAAGAATACAGGGATCCTATGTGCCAGTATGAAGCTGTGCAAGGTCTGTGCCTTAACCTGCCAGGAGGAAAAAACCTCAATGAAGGAGTCCTTGGAGAATGACAAGGGTCAAAAAATGGGGGAAGTCCAGTTCCATTGTTAAATCTACAAGGTGAAAGTTCAGTTTGAAACAAGGCAATCTAAAGGATCCTACACCGAATGACTGAGAATGAAGTGGGGAGTAGTAGGGCTGAGGACCAGGGACTGGGGGTTTAGGGGGTCATGTGTCACCATGTGCCACATGGTATGTGGCTGGGCAGGGTTTCATAAAGCAGAGCTGAGGAGGGAACATGGGTGTTTTGTCCCCCAACCCATTTCAGAATCATTTCCCTCTCCCTTAGTATGAACTTGGGTGTGTATGTATTTGCACGCAGGCACACACACAATCACAGGTATTTATGTATGGAGCATTTGGATCAGACTTTTAAGAGCAGATGTGAAAATGCCAGTGACTTTAAAACATGGCTGATGGTAAGAACAATTTTTTTTTCCTTTAAGGAAATAGTATAATAGGGTGCCTAAGACGACTGGGTTTTGGAGTCAGGCAGTCTGTAATGCTGGCTCCACCTCTCAGAAGTGGTGTGACTTCAGGATGAGGAAACTGCAGGGGCCTTAGTTTCCTGAACTCTAATAGTAAAATAACAATACCTAATGCATAGGCTTACTAGGAGCATTAAGTAAAATAAAATTATCTAATATGTGTGAAGTACTTAGCATAGTCTCTGGCATGCAATAAAATAAAACTATTGTTAGTGTTAATAGTCAACAAATACTTCCTGACTGTCGACTCTGTGTCTGATGCTTTGCTAGGATAGATGACTATGAAGAATAAGGCTGTTTTCACAGATGTTCCTGGGTAAAGATACGCTTTAAGTATTTCCCTTGCATATACTATCTAAGGGCAGCAGGTAGCAATTGGGGTTTATCCTGAGTGTTCGATCCAGGTATCTAAAGACTTGGCCTTTTGAATGCACTGGTGACTCTGGGCTGAGAGAAGGAAAAGGCACCACCTTCCAGGAGAGAGATTATCTATGGAGCAGCCCATTCGGCCGCATCCTAGGTTTTCCTAGGAGATTTCCCCATCGTCCAAAAACCAATGAGGTCTGACCTTGCAAGATGGATGAGCTCCCAGCCCAGAGCCATGTGACTGCAGCTGAGGACGAGCCCATTCATAACCCAGGCACAGACAGACCCGTTAGCGACATTGCTGCGGGCGAGCTATTACTTACAATGTAGTTAGTGTCGTTTAACCAGAATGGATGGGACACAATGTTTGAAAGAAGAGCCCTGAATCTGACCAAGAGGAAAATAAGTTAGAGCAGCAGCGGGCTGGTCTAGGGAAAGAGGGGGCAGAAACAGGGGTTTCCACTGAAGACAGGTCCTCTCTACTCAATACAATTGTTTTTCTTTATTAATAAAATGTTCAAGATTAAAGCTCCCACTGAAGGATCTGATGTGAGGTTAAATCATTGGGGAAAAGTGGACATGGCTGCAGAAAGAGAAAATACAAATTATATGGGAGAAAGAATAGCAGGGCTTAGGGACGGTGGTAACCATGACCATAGGGATGGAGCAGTGGAAATTGTAACTGTTTGGAATTTTTTCTAAGGCCTGATGTCTGGGAGCTCGTCTAATTCTGCCACTTTAAGGGTCTACTCTGCAGTCCTCAAAGTTCAGATGATTCTTCCCCAAACCATCAAAGACAGCCCTGGCTGTCTCTGGTGAGTATGTGTGTGTGTGTTTGTGTGTGTGTGTGTAAGCATCAAGTTCTCAGCCCAACAATGATTTATTTTCCCTTACAGAGTTCTTATGCCCATGAGGATGACCTATGAATCCCAGAAAGATACAGGTAGATAAATTTTCCATTCTCCCCCAACCTTGCTCCCTTTCTAGATTCCTTGGAGATTATCAGCAATGGCAAAGGCACAAGAAAATATATGTGAACTCTTGCTCCTCAGAAATATGTTGTGGCCAGTTTCCTGATAGGACACACCAGTGGATCCTATAATTCCAGCAGCCAGCTTGAGTCCCATCTCCCCAGTGAAGTCTTTCATGAACTACCCTGACCCCCATTGCTTTCTTCTGCACCTGGCAGGAAGCTAGTAGCTATAGAGCAGAAGAGTATAAGGTTTGGGTGAGACAAATGGGCTCCAACCCAAGATCTACAACCTTTGAGCTGTGTAAACTTACCCTTTTAAGTATCTGATTCTTGCTATAAAATGGATTAATCATAGTGCCTACTTCACAGAGTTGCTGTGATTATTGAGAAGATGTATATAAAGTACTTAGCATTGCAAGCATTCAATAAAGACTACTATTTCTCTCTGGCAACCTCCCATCATCCTTTTCTGTTTCCAGAATTGAGAATCACCAGAGAACTCTGTTCCAGGAATCAAGTGATTAAAGTTACAGTTCCAGTGTCATCACTAAATAGCAAGGTGACCTTGGATGCCTCATTTTATCAAATCTCTCCATTTTTCAACCTCTAAAAGTAGGATAATTTCACAGATTTGTTATAAGGATGAAAAGAGAAAATGGATGGGAAAAGTTTGTGAAAGCCTTTGAGATGTAGGACAATAAAAATGGGAAGAGATCTGCTGGGATGTTATCTAGCCCAACCTTCCACCAGGGGCTCACTGAGACTCTGCATGGAACTTTCACTAATGGAAAAATCACTCCCTCGCAGCAAGGTTTCATTGTTGGCAGACACAAAAAGGACTTTCAAAAATTATTTTTAAAATTTAAGAGATATTATGTCTCTAGGATGATATACATGTTTCAAGTAGTATTAAAAGCCACACTGATGGATATGTAATAATAAACGTATCTGTTATTAATTTTTAAAAAGAAAGAAACATTATGTAGTACCAATTTGCTTGCCAATCACCAAGTTTTTTCCTGGGACATAGCAGGCAACTAGACAATGCACGGAGCATACATAGGGTGCAGACTTAGAAAGGTTTTCCATGCATTGAAGTGAGTTGGATTTCCTGTAGCTTCTTACCTATTGAGTAGTGCTGCCCCCTATGTCAATGACCATCACCGTCTCCCCAAACACACACACATATACACAGCAGGGTTCTTAATTCCAGCTTTCTTCAATGGTTCCTCATTAGATATATGACCCAGTATGAGCAAAGTGTCCTCCTTCACTTTTACCCCTCACCTAGAGATTAGAGAAGCAAACAATTTGCATATGGTTCCAGAGTTATTTCTTCCAAAGAAATCATGTAATAGGATAACACTAGCTGCTGAAACAAATAAGCCCCTCAGTCTGGCTTTAGCACAACAGATATGTGTTTTCTCATTTACCTAATGGTTTTATGCTAGAAGCCCTCCAGATGGTAATTAGGCTTCAGAACCCTTCAATATTGCCTCTTTATTCTCACCTATGGCTGCAAAATCTTCTGCGTTTAGCTAGTAGATGGGAAGAGACTGTGGAAGATACACCTATTTCTTAAGCTCCATTATTTGAAGGTGATGTACACCACTCCTGCTCACACTCCATTGACAAGAATTCTAGTCCTATGGCCCTTCCTGGCTTCAAGAGAGACCAAGAAATTATAGTCCCTAATTGGGCGGCTAGTTGCCATCATCAAGTCTCCAATATAGAAGCTAGCTATCCCTGTCATGAAAAGGGCCAATTTTATAATAGTAAGAGTAACAGGCATTTGCGAGCGACACAGGTAGTCTTTGGAAGGAAATTGCCACTGTGGTACTTTCTATTTCATTTTCAAGACCTCTTCCCAGCCTTCTTCCACCAAATTTGCTGCATAGAATTTATCTTTCTCCCCACATTGTGGAGACAGCAGGAACTGAGCAGAGAAGAATTTCTGAGGCAGCAGATTTAAGAGCCAAGAATAAAGTGGGGACTGACTCTTTTTTCTAGGATAGGCATGTGGGGACAGAAACAACAGGTCAGGGAGGAGTTAAATGACAAGGACTGTGAGAAAGCAGATGAGTGAAGAGGTGAAAGCAGGAAACTGAGAGCACCCACATGGGATGTGTGGGGCCACATCCTTCTGTGTGGTGCTACATCCTTCTGTGTGGTGCTGGCAAACAGGTAAGCTTAGATGAACCTATGCTCTATTTCCCTTTTTCTCTCTACTCCTTCCCTTTCTATTTTATGGTTTTGGGGCTGATCACCTGAACATTTTACAAAAGAACTATTTAAATGCCAATGGGATTAGTGTCTTTTGCATAAGAAAAGTGGGCTAGATGGTATTCAGAATGGATCAAAATGAGTCATTCTTTGGTCTTATGATAAGCATTAGCCCACAACCTCAATTTGGAATAATCAAAAGTGAGGAATAACCACCAGGAGATGATGACCCCGCATGAGAGATATTCAGTCAGTTCTCTCGTTGCTTATCTCCCCAAAGCAATAGCTAAAGATACATCCTGAAAGCCATGAGAGTTTCAAGCACCTTCCCGTTGATGCTCACTGCGATTTCAAATACAGCACTGGAAATGAGCATAATTATCCTGATATGTGTGGACAGTTCAGTGCACAATAGGTTGAGATGATTAACTCTCTTATTCAGGACACTACATTTCTATTATGTTACATTAGTCTTGTTGAAAGTCATGTACCATGCTATTCCATAATGAGCTTACAGTCAACTAATCCCCTATGGCTTTGTTTTACACGAATTTCTAGAAAACTAAGACTTCTCCCATTCTATATTTGCACAGTTCATTTTGGAACTAAGGGTGGGACCCAAAATGTATCTCTGATAAAATTCATCTTGTGTATTCTATCCCCTCCTTCTAGCCTGCCTTCTGAATCTAGATTTTGTCATACAGCGTTATTAACTATCCCTCCCAGCTGGGTGCCATCTGCAACTTTGATAGCAAGCTTTCTCCATGATTTAGGCAGACATTTGTGATGGTCAAGTTTCAGCAGACTACTGTTTTGCATAGGCTATTGTTAAAATGAGCTTGTATCCCTTTGCATATATTATTCAATGAAAGGAAATTAGTAGGCCAGTGAACCAATGGTTGAGCTACCAACTGCAGAGAAGGTGACATGTTAAAACTTTGAATTGGCTCTATTTTACTTTTTGTATTGCTCCTGAAAGGTGAAAGGGGATAGCAGAAAAATCCTTTCTTGGTGCTGGAGAAATTGTTTGTTCTTGTTTGAGGACTAATAGATGTCTAACAGGTATCATTGGAACTTGCACATAACCAAAGCAAAACTTTTATTTTCCCTCCCAATCAGCTTCTCCCTAAGCTGCCTCATCTCAGAAAATGACACTTTCATTCTTCCATTTGCTCAGTCCATAAAACCTTGGTGTCATTTTCACTCTACTTTTTTTTTTCCCACTCCAAATGCAAATTATTAGCAAATTTTTTCAGCTCAACCTTCAGAAAATATCCAGGACTTCATCATGTTTTCATCACCCCAACTGCCACCACCCTTCTTCACCCTGACATCTTCTCTTGCCTGGATTATAGCCACAGCCTCCGAAGAGGTGAACCTGTCTCCTGATTTCCATTGTTGTCCAACCATAGCCCCCTTAGCAGCCAAAGCCATCCTTTAGAAAAACTAAGTCAGATCATGCCACTCTTCCGCTTAAAGCTCTCCGACGGCTCACTCAGAACGACCTATGCCAGCCTAAAGCGTCCTAGATGATCAGGCCCTTCTGATCCCTCTGACCCCTCTGACCTCCTCTCTCAGTCCTCCCGCTTGTTCACTGCACTTCGGCCACAGCTTTGGCTGTGCCCTTTCTATTTTACATTTTTTCCTGCTAAAATGCTCCTTTCCTGGTTATATGCATAGCAAGGTTTTGTTACCTTTTCATAAGGCCTTCTCTAACCATCCTATATAAAATAGCACACCTCTCCCACCTCGAGTGTTTTTTTCTGTCTTTTTATTCCATTTTATTTTTCTCCATAGCCTTTAGCACTACCTGGGCACAATATTCACTGATTTCTGGCTTATTGTCTCTCTCTTTCCACTAGAATATAAACTCCATAAGGGCAAGGGCTTTGTTTTGTTCACTACTATACTCTAGTGCTTAGAACAAGCCTGACACATAAAAAGCTTGCAATAAATATGTGTGGAATAAATGAGCCAGTGGCATTGAGTTCAACATGGTGTTATCTGGTCTCAGTTGCTTCAGATGTAATGTGATATTCGTTCAACAGATTTCAATCCATTTTTTCTCCCAATGCTAAGGAATTCTTCCTTTAAGTGAATATATAAGCAGAAATCAAACCATTTCAACCAGAAAAGCTCCACTTCTAATTAATTAATTATATTAAGTGAGCTTTTCTGGTTTACATGAGGGTAGAAAATAAATCAAGAACTGCCCCCCACTCCCCCAGTCATCATGTCTGCTCCAAAGTTTCCTCAGGGAGAATGTTTAAAAACCACAAAACCTAAATATTTCTATGACTTGATCAGTATGATGACTAGGAGTTACCAGAATTCATTACTAAGAATCATTGTGGTATATCATCATTTATGAGATTTTTTTAAAGGGGAAGCAATTATTTTTTAAACCTTATTTGAGCTTAGCTCTTACATCTTCCCTCCCAGTACTGAGGTGGGGGATAGATTAGATGACCTCTGAAGGTCTTGTTTCAGGATGAAGATTGTATGATGAAACATGAGCAGCCAGTGCTGCCATAATGTGTGTTCCTGCCTGAGATAGGAGAAAGGAGCTGTGGATTTTAGGGGAAGATGAAACTGAAATTTCAAATGCGACTCAACCCATTGCTGAAATGGAGGAACATTAAGTCTTCAAAGTTAAATGCAGATTCAATTAGAAATTTCACTGAAATTTCAAATTACAACCATTTTTCCCTCTAAACGACAGAATTATATGGCGTCAAGGAGAAACTGACAGGTAATTTGGGAAACTAAAGGTTCCTTGGACTCCGTAGTTAATGGAGAGTTTAGCACCAATTCCTGCGTAATTTGCACTTCTGAGAAGCAGAATTATTATAAAGTCAGACATCTCCAGCACTTTCAACTCTTGGATCTGCCGGGCTCTAAGATGACCAGGAATGTGGAAGGACCGAGGTCAGAGGTTGCCATTTCAATATCTGAGGCTGCCCAGCTCCCCCAAACTGGCATTTGAACTGAAGAGTTGAAAATTGGAGGTGACATTCAGAAGTCTCTGAAAATTATAACCCCGACTTCCTCCTTGAAAAGCTTATCTGAATCCTAGCTTATCCTTTGATGGGGTTACTGAAAAAGCACTCTGCTCTGAGCTCTTGAAAGATAACATTCAGCGCAAGTGAGGCCTGGCTGTATCCCTTGGGGGAAAACAGTGGCAGATGTAACAAGCTGGGGACGCTAATTAAAGGGTCTGGGCAACTTTCTGGGGATGAAGGAGTCTGCCCCTTCAGTCTCTGCTCCTCATGCTCATCAGGGAGTAACACCCTGAGTGCATGGGGCCCCATTAATAGAGGGGCCCTCCACTGCTGCCCCAGGAGGCAGCCTTCGTGCCTAAAACGGGGGTCACTCGGGAGAGGATGACTTCTCCTGCTGCTCAGGTGGCTTCTCTGCCTGTCTTTCTGTGGAACAGGGATGAGAAGGGAGTGAAGAGCTGCAAGGCCAAAGATCCCTTCTTTCCCAGGCATCAGGTAAGTCTCAGCAGTCCTGCAGACTGAACCACGGTCAGTGTTGGAATCAATGCTCCCGACTCCTTTGAGATGCAACTAGAACCATCCCTCATTTACTGCCACCAGTGCCGGTCTACTCTCTTTCTGAGCTCCACACTGCTCAGGGTCTCTCATGTTTGTTTTTGCCCTTCTCATTCTCTGCCTTACATGGCTATTTAAACATTTGCTGTGGGTTCCAGGACCTTCCAGCCAGGTGATAAGGTCCGTGAAAGCAGGAACTGTGTCTTATAATTGTAGCGCTCCCAAAGCTTCCTATAAGTTGCTGAGTACATAATAGGTGCCCATAAAATACTCTGCTCATCATCCGTCAAGTATCCAGTGAGCATGTTCGTTTTGTAGGACATGGCCCACTAAGTAGGAACCTGCTGCCTCCTCCTGCCCCCTGCCTCTGCCTCCAGCTGGCTGTGTGGCTTTGGACAAATAAACTCACTCTTGTAGCCTCCGTTTTTTACCTATCGTGAAGGGTAGAAAAGCCAGCCTTGTCTATTTCATAGCATAGTTGTAAAGGTTAAAGCAGTAAATTAATATGCTTGGTTTTTGGTCAAAATTATAATTTTTGTTTATAAGCACATGGGATTTAGGCTAGAGTTTTAGACACCTCTCTGGGTGTCAGTTTTTTAAGTAACATTTTTCATTCTTTATATTTTTAAAATGTATCCATTGTTCAATAAATATGCAATGAGTACTCACTATATGCAGAATATTGTGCTACCTGCTAGGAATAAAAGGATGCATCTAAGCCATGTCTCCTTTCCTACCATCTTACATTTCAGTGAGAGAGATAAGATTGGCAAACAACTAATAGATAAAACAAATGTTTCCTTATGTAAGAGACGATTATTACATATTGTTGTATATTCCCTATGATTATGCATATTACTCAAGTTGTATTAATTCTGCAAACATGTACCTATATGATTCTAAAAATGTCAGATGAACCACAAAAAAAATCCATTCCTGGACTTTGTAAAACACAAATCCACTTGATTTGTAGAGGTTTCTTTATAAAAATAAGCACTGGTTATGGAAAGAAACAGCAAAACCTTTTTTAAGTGAGTATCTAGGTGGGAAAAGAATGGTTTTAGAAGACATACAGCCAAGTGTACAGGTCAGCGGGCAGCTCAAATAATACCCTCAGCCCCAATGCCAGTCCTGAAACAAAACCAGTGGAGGCTGAGCAGCCTCTGCAGCAGATAAACCACCAGACACATGGCCATGGAAGAGTCAGTGCTAAGGAAGGGACTTGGGAAAGTGGGAAGCACCATCTGGGGCTGTTCTGGAGCAAAGAGTTCTCTGAGCTGACAGTCCAAGTTAAGCAGTAAACAATCATTGATTTTGCAAACAGAGCGTTCTTTCCTAAACCAAAGAGTAATCTTCTTATGTGCACAATGTGGAAAGGACAGTTGGTCCCAGGATGGTCTTTTTCATCTACGGCCGCACACACAGATAACAGTTATTGTCAGTATCACCATTCCCTAAAATAAATGACAGATAAATACAAATCTGGGAAGCTCACACATAGATGTACTATCTTCATAAAGTCCTTGTGTAACATAAAAATTTAATAACCCAGGTCATAGGTGTGGTAAAAAAAAAATCTGTAAGTAGTGTTTTAAAACAAATGTACTAAAGTTTGTGACAACTGTGCTACTCAGTCCCATCAGGTAAATTTTGATGTCTTTGTGTATATAATCTATCTTGTTCTCCCCAAAATGCCTAGAAGAGCATCTGGAAATAGTAGATGTCAACAAATTCATTTTTTAAAAGTTGTACTTAAGTGTTGCTAGAATAGCTAAATCAGTAGTGAAATAGTCAGTCATCTTATTCTGTTAAAAGCCCATCAATCAGATTGGCCCATTTGTTTTCCCTCTTTTAGAAAGTTAGCCCCATAAGAGCAGATCTTGTCTTTTGTATTCACTGATAAACTCTCAGTTCCTAGAACAGTGTTTGGCATATGGTAGGTGCCCAATAAACATTTCTTCAGTGAATGATCCAGTAGGCAAACTTGTTGACTGAATACATTGGTTTCAAGTCCCTGTTAACAAGTAAGGGACCTTCTGTACTAGTTGAACTGAAATCATATTAGCTATGCAACAAAAGTTCATTCGTTTATTCATTTATTCTCCATTTATTTACTTATTTATTCATTCATTCAAAAAGAAGCTATTTAGCATTGAGTATGTTCAAGTGACTGTGATGGAAGACACAAAGTCACATTATGGGAGGCACGAAGATGGACAAGAAATATTTTCCACCACTAGAAAAGTTATAATCATGTTTGTATCATGGAGAGAAACGTAACCAAATAGAACAATTGGATTAGGGTTGAATTGGAAAGATAACCTCTCAAGTTTCCTTAATTCTGAGATTCTGTGATACTGTGATTGAAGTGCTAATTTCAGATATCTATGATACATGCAACCTGATGTTATTGAGATTAAAAAATTAAACTCTTTTAATGGCAAGGGATTTATGAAGAATGTGTATTTTGAGTGAATTGGTATTTGAGAGCTAGAGGATCACTAGATTGCCCTGGGTTCTGAGCAGCCTCCACATCACTGGGTCGGATAGTGTACTATCCATGCCTTCCATGCCTTCCATGGAGTGTATTGCCTGCAGCCCGAATTCAGAATGACCTTGGCCCCAGCCAGTAGCCCTCCTACAGAACAAGTCACCCTCTTATGTACCATACCTCCACGGAGTCACCGTGGATCTGCTGCTAAAACATGGAGGGAGTGTGTAAAAGTCACAGCCACATTAAATTTGAAGAGGATGACAGATATAACTTGAAAGTCATAGAAATCAGCTTCAAGCAGAATAATCCCTTCCATTATATAGACTTTAGTTTCTGAAATGTTTTTCTTATACGTTGTCTCATTGGGTCTTTTACAATACCTGTTTTTTTTTTTTAACTTTCTCCACTCATTTTATTGAAGAGGGCACTCAGTCTCTAAGTGGGAATGTCGTTTGCTCAAGCCAACATGATTAATCAGTGGTAGAACTAGAATATGCTTTTTCCTCCACACCATGAAGCCTCCCACATTGGATACTATGATTCTGTGGGAGGACCAACTATCCTTTCTTTGCACAGGGAGAGGCTCTCTCTGCCCAAAGGTGAGGTTATAAAATAATGCAGTCCCTATGCCCCAAGACCCTCTGTGATGCCAGCACCAGACAACATTTCTCCTGATTCACTAGTGTAGTATGACCCACTGGCTCCCAGCAGGCCAATCAGCTGACAGCTGGAGGAGAGGTACTCCATCTTTTATGCTTGTCAACTCCATGAATGTATTAAGGTATCAAGAGAAGACAGCACCAGGGAGACTTTGGGCCACAGCCAGGACCAAAAGCATAAAGTGAAGGGGCAGACAGAGTTGGAAGATAAGCTCCCTGCCTCAGTTGTCTGGAAGGGGGTAGCAAGGGCAGTCTTTCTGCGTGGGCTACTCTGGAGTACCTAGGTCTAATGATGCCATTTATCTTTTGAAGCCACCACTATGAAGGGCCATTTCAAAGGATATTGGGGGTCATAGGCCTAGAGGTTTTTGCAGTGGAGTCAAAAATCCTGGATTCAAGTTTCACTTCTATCCTTCATAGTATATACAGTCTTGGGCAGAACACCAGAAACTATCCATAAAATGGAGATAAAATGATACCATACCATCTATACCACCAGCTTTTTAGGATGATCAAATAAAACAGCATTTATGGAAATTCCTTGGAAATATTCATATTCTGTACAAACATGAGTACATTTCCCGGTGCAGGGGAGTATGATGAGTCATCCTCCAACAACCCCTACCCTCCAGGGCCTGGTGCTCCTACCCTAGCCAGTAACAGTAGCTCAGCTAGTTCCTGCTGACAGCAGCATTTTTAGGCTTACCAACACTGGCTTACAACCCACAGGGAAGAACAAGGACCAAGATGTGCAAATTGCAGAAAAACAAAGTTTGGCTTCACATAAATTGCTATAATAATAACAACTAACCTATATTGAATGTTTGCTCTGTGTCAAGTCCTCTGCTAAGTTCTTTGCTTATATGAACTTATTTAATATGTTAAACAAAATTATGACCAATCATTTAATACATATTCATTCATTCATTCATTTGAGACAGGGTCTGGCTCTTTCACCCAGGTCAGAATGCCGTGGCACAATCTCAGCTCACTGCAACCTCTGCCTCCCAGGTTCAAGAGACCTCCTACCTCAGCCTCTCGAGTAGCTGAGACAACAGGTGTGCACCACCACATCTGGCTAGTTTTTGTATTTTTTGTGGAGATGGTGTCTCACTTTGTTGACCAGGCTGATCTTAAACTCCGGAGCTCAAGCAATCCACTGCCTCCGTGTCCCAAAGTTCTGGGATTAGAGGCATGAGTCACTGCACCCAGGCAATAAATATTTACTGAGCACATACAATGTGTGAGGCTCTGAAATAGGGACAAAATCTATACAGAAGAGAAGATATAATTTCTGTCCTCAAAAACTCATGGTCTTATGGGGAGACAAATACAAAAAAGCAATGTATTGAGATCTATAATGAGAATATATGTTAAAAACAAAAGTCAGGAAGATGGAGGGTCCAGGTTTGCTAGGAGGTGTCAGGCAAAGTCAATAGAGATGGCCAGGGAGCTAAGACTTGAAGGATGTGTTTGTGATCAAGGCTTGATTTGCCCATATGTGCAACATGGTAGAAAGAGTGCCCCTCAAATAATCAGTAGGAAAATAAATATTGCTCTTTATCATGTGGGCTAAATTAGCTGCTTGAGGGGCCAGATAATGACACAAATATGATTGTGCAAAGCGAGACATTATAACATATTTCATAAGCTGCAGCAATCTTTTTTCAGCTCATGAAAAACAAGATAATGCCCACAAAAATAAGATATTATGGCAAAATTGGTATTAATTACTAGGAGCCAAAGTGCGCTGCTTGAGGCTGTAAAACTTTTAATATTCCAGAAGAAAGCAGTTCAAGTAACAGGCTAACCATGATCGCTTAATCTCTTGGCAGCTTCCCAGCCTATGTTGGTGAACAACAGAGCAGAGGCAGCAGAATCAGTCCCAAACAAACAGCCCCGTGAAGCGTTGCTAATTTGGCTGAGATGACTGGGTGGGGTGAGGAGGGCTGAGAGCACAAAAGTGCTCTCCTTGCAATTTACCTTCTTACTATTGACAAACTGGGCTCTGCAAAAAGCCACCGGGTTTGCCTCGTTGGGGCTTTTGAGATGCAACGGGCCATTGGTTCCTTAAGATCTGGTTTTCCAGTTGTCGTTTGTACCGATGAACTACATGGGTCCTTGGTGGGGGGTTGGCAATTATATCCTCTTTCCTGCCTCTTCCCTTCTTTCAGGCATAAACGTACACACACATGCACTCAATGCACAAAGCTCCTAACTTACATAAAGGTCAGGATCTAACTGCTTCTATTTCCACACTTTGAATGCGAGACCAATTTGGTGACAGCCTCTCGTGCCATTAACGAAATAGAAACATATGCACATGCAGCGATAAAACAGATCTGAAACAACATCCCTGCCACCTGTTGGGTGGCAGCTGAAATCAGACATCTTAATGTATGATATTATGGGAATTACCCACATTAAGATAAAATATCTGGATTTAAGTAACTGTCTTTTGCTCTGAATTAACTTGAAGGTTGAACTCAGAAAACAAAGGCAAACGACTTGGGGCTAAGCAACTTACTCCACAGCCATCGTGCCCGGCTGCCGCTCTGGTGGGGGCACTATGTAGAAATGTTGGTGGCAGTTTTCACTTCTCCTAATTGACAGCAGAAGATCTAGCTGTGCTCCAGCATTCTGGACATGAAGGGAAATGAGAAGGCTAGCCTGTACCCAAGATGTGAGCTTCTAAAAGAAACAGGAACTAGGGTCTGCTTCATTCCTGAGTCTTCAGCACTTAGCAGAGTCCCTGATATATAGCGGATCTTTACAAGTATTTGTTGAGTGAAAGAAGAGGTATGGTAAGTCCTTTCTCAACCACCAAGTACATTCTCTGTTCCTTCTGCTTCCCCCTTCCTTTTCTTGTACATTTTACACCAGTATAAACCTCCACTTCCCTCACCTGGCTGGAATCTATATTGCAGCATCACCAGCATCAGCTAGTGCCAGGAAGGTTTCCTCTCTTCAGGAGCTTTGCAAGACTTCACTGTGTCAGTTCTATTCCTAGCTGCAGGAAGTCCCTTTTCTGGTAGCCTCCTTTGCTGGCTCATGATGCAGACCTGACTAGGAAGACTAAGGCAGTTTTGTAAATTGGTGTGGGGGCAGCAAGTACAAGACTCCAAGCATCCCCTCTGGTGGTTGGCAGAGGATTTCAGTCTGCTGGGCTGACGAAGTGGAGAGGCTGCCCTGGGCTTCAAACTGGACCTGGTACTACCTCCAACCCTGTGGATGTTTGCTCCTGTAGCATATGGCCCAATGCACCTGATTGCCTTAGTTTTCCATGGAAAAGACAAGAAGGTGGTTTTCACTCCTCTACCATGTTTATTCAGCCTCGTTAACTCCACTGAGTTTGCTCTGATAGGCCAGAAAAAAAATAAGTTATGGTTAAGGTGTAATGTGTCCAGAAGTGCCCAAATTGTTGTTTTTTGCCAGGATGGGGAAGTCCACTGAGATGTAAAGATCTAAGCTGAGATTGACCTTTGAATCTTTTCAACAGGTATTCATTGAATCTATAGGAAGTCTGGTACTATGTGAGGTTTTAGGGATGGGTTTGGAGCTGAACAGAGAAAAAAAGAAGTAAAAGAAATAATCCCTGTTCACAGGAGTTAGTGTGTGAGACAGAGATATATGCACATGACACTATGTAATAAATTGTAAATAAATGATAGAGGTAAAGATCAAAGAAGGGGAAGAGAGAGAGGACTGGCTGATAGAGGATTATGGAAGAATTCCTAGAGGGGTTAGGTCTTGAGGACTGGATTGGACTAGAGAGTCATTGGGGAGAAGTCAGTAAACAGAAAGAGGAGATTTTCCTGAAGACCAGGGGTCCCCAACCCTTGGGCTGTGGATCAGTACCAGTCTGTGGCCTGTTAGGAACTGGGCTGCACAGCAGGAGGTGAGTGGCCAGCAAGCATTACTGCCTGAGCTCTGCCTCCTGTCAGATCAGCGGTGGCACTGGATTCTCATAAGCGCGCGAACCCTATTGCGAACTGCACATACAAGGGATCCAGGTTGCATGCTCCTTAGGAGAATCTAACTAGTGCCTGGTGATCTAAGGTGGAACAGTTTCATCCCGAAATCATCACCTGCCCTGCACGTCCATGGAAAAATTGTCTTCCGCTGATCCAGTCCCTGATGCCAAAAATGTTGGGGACCACTGCTGTAGATGTTTAAGATACCGTGGTACTATAGCTGAATGCAGTGGCTCACAGCTGTAATCTCAGCACCTTGGGTGGCTGAGGTGGGAGAAAAGCTTGAGGCCAGGAGTTGGAGGCTAGCCTGTCTAACATAGCAAGACCCTGTCTCTATTTAAAAAAAAAAAAAAAGATATTGTGGTATTAGCACAGGGATAGACTAATTGACCAATATATCAGAATACAGTGCTAGCGACATATCCACAGAAACTTATATGACTGGTGGCCTTGCAGGTCACTGGGGAGATAAGGGACAACTTAACACCGGGGCTGGGACAATTGCCTGTACTTATACAGAATAACTGAAATTGGATCCTAATGCACAAATCCTAAAAATAATTTCTTGAAAAACTAGACTTAAATGTAAAAGGCCAAGCTGTTAAACATTTAGAAGTAAATAAAGGAGGCTCTCTTTGTAACTATGAGGGGTGGAAGATTTCTTCAACATAACACAAAAAGTATTAATAATGAATTCAAAAGTTGATAAATGTAAATACATTAAAATTGAGAATGTATGTTCACCAAAACAATGGCATGAAGAAAGAGAAGAGACAAAGCACAGATGGGAAGAAATATATTTGTAACAAATAGATTCAGTAAAGGATTAGTACAAATAGATTCAATAAAATATAAAGAATTCAGAAAAGCCATTAAGAAAAAGACAAGTAGTCCAACAGTTAAGTGGAGTAGGGGGAGATGTGAAAAGACCTTCTATAGTAAAGAGAATAAAGACTGACAAGGGGCCAAGAGCTGGGTAGAAACTGGGAAGGTTAAAGGGTCATAGAGTAAGGAAAGGGGCCAAGATGTAGACTTGTAGGCAGGAGAGTCACTATACTCTTAAAAGCAGGGGCAGGTACAGAAATTAGCAGCAACCTCCACCTTTTGAAACTCTCACCAATAGCCTTGCATTAAAAGCATGGGCTCAGTCGGCCACTGGCAGGTCACTGAGGAAGGTCAGAGCATGGAATGAATAGCTCATAGACAATACACAAAGTCGTATGTCAATAAGTCCCTACTCTGGAACCCTCATCTTGGGCACTTCTGCAATAGATCTGAAGCCTGTGAACTTCGTGGAGACCTGATCTGAAACCTGCAGCAGCAAGGGGCTGGATTTGGCTGGATCTGGCAGTTGTCTCCATTCCTCACCCTCATTGGACCTCATAACTCCTTCTGGGGCCCCTGCACCATGGGGTTGCCTGTTATTTTCCTGTGGTGGCACAGTGGCTGATGAAGTGCTGTTCCTCAGCTATGGCAGCCAACACTACTAGATAGAAGCTGCTTGTCAAGAAAATCCTTCAAAGGCCCTATTGCCTTGAAATGATATGCACTATTTCTATGGGCTCTTAAACAGAATAATTCATTAGTCAGTTAAGAACAATCAATATCTCACTCCGACAATTTACACACTGACTCTGTTTACCCAGTGGACCCTCTCTGATAATATTATTTATGATCCTAAATAACTCCATCGGTGTTCAATAGAGCTGGAGGTGCCTCTGGGACCAGGACACAATCAAATTATGAAGACATATGGTTTGCTCAGCTCTGGAAATGTTCAGACGCATTTCATTGATGTTAGTCTCACAGTGGTACCTCCCTGCTCAGTTCTACAATCTTCCTAATGGTGTCTGTAGGATGGCCCTCCTCTTTAGGAAGGGACTGCCAAGGGAATTTTATGGTGGCTATTTCAGGATTCTCCAAAGTGAAGGACACATAGAATAGTTCAGTGGATTCTAGACCAGGCTGGCAATTATGATGTACTAGGCTTTGCCTATAGAAGGGTATGGAACAAATTAGCCTGGGAGAGATTTGTGAGGCAGCAGAGAGACAAGGATGTGGGGTGTGTGTGTGTAGGAGAACACAGGAGGGGTGAGGTTAGGTGAGAAGCAGAGGATTTGTGGGGTCAAATAAGTACGTTGGAGTTCATAAGATTTCAGGGAGATCCCCAGACTTACTTCAAGATAGAAGGAGAGAGGTAAGGTGAGACCATTCACTTAAAAACACATCCCTTTATTATGGGACTTCTTACAATGAACATGTATTATTTATGTAATTAAAAATACAGAGAGATGGTAAGTCTCCCTCTTTTTCCTCTCCCTCCCTCTCTTTATTTTCCTCCCTCCCTGTTACCCCCTCGCTCCTCCTCCTCCTCCTCCTCCTCCTCCTCCCTTTTCTTTTTCTTTCTTTGTCTCTGTCTCATATGCACACCACAGTTTAGAGAAGCAGCATCAAGAGAGGCTCTGATGTGGCTTCATCACTAACTGCAGCAGGACAACATCAGTGCACATTCGGAGCCCGTTTTATAGAATGGACTGTGAAGGCAAAGTGTCAAAGAGGGAAAAGGCAGCATTGCAAAGACAGAGCAGGCACTAAAATCTCTCTTATTTTCCTACTCATTAACCCTTTAGTCCTCAGGAGAGCAGGCGAAATGGGGAGGGCTGCAGTCATGAAGAGAGGAAGGGCCCGGCCCAGGATCTCCTAAGCTGTCTACATTGTAGTGTTCTGATCCCAGCCTGAGAGGGAAGCCCCCAGGGCCCAGCCTATGTGGGTTATGACAGCCTCTCAAAGGGCAGCTGAAATCTGGGGCAGGTGCCAGCACCTGGCAATCACTTTTGAAACCTGCTCTTTCCAAATACTCTACATAATAACCCTGACCGCTTAGCAGAGGAGACATTGCCATCCCCACTTACTAGATGAGGCAATGAAGAGTTCCGGGCATGAATGCCCAGACCCAGTACCAGGAACTCTGGACTCCTAGCCAGCAATCTCTAGACTAGCCCAGCAGCATTTCTGCTCATCTGACCTGTGACTAATGGCCAGCAGTGAGTGGCTATGTGCAGTTCTGGACCAGAGGGTAATCTGTGGCAAAAGCTTCAAAGACAAAAAATACATGGCAGCATGTGGGGAAGATGCCCATCAATTTCTAGCCCCATAGTACTCTGGTTCTATTGATGAACTGATCTTTGCTGCACAAGAGTCTCACGGATGCTCTGACTCTCTCATTTCTCTCTCTCTCTCTCTCTCTCTCTCTCTGTCACTCTCTCTGTCTCTCCCATCCTCCCTTCCTTTCTGTTTTCGTTTTATCCTCAGATATTTACTGAATACATGCCATGTTCCAAACATTCAGAAAGGAGTTGTAATCGATAAAGAAGACACCTGTCTACAAGAAGCTTACAGTCTACTGGCCAGAGATGAGATGTGTCCACAGATAACCATGCTGCAAGTTAAGTAAAGAAGAATCTGTAAGAGTGCTATGCCACTGTGACCTGTTCTTTGAAAAAGCTTGAAATGAAATCACAAAGCAACTTTCTTGATTTCCCACTATTTACATTTACTTAAGGAGGAAAGTTCTACTAACCCCAAATATGTACATGGAAAGATCCATGACCTTTAGGAATATTTTGGGGGAAATAAAATGTTCAATGATACCTGAAATCATATCTAGATTGAACTCATATTTAGAATGCCTGATCCCATGTAATGGTCAAAGCTTCCAACTTCATACAAAGTTATAGCTGGTTTCTCTCTCCCCAGCCAGTGCCTGCAACAGGGCAGGGGTTGAATGGTCAGCTTGTATCGGCAGAGGTCCCATTGTTCCTGCATGCGGCCCAGTGGGCAGGGCCTAACTTTGTACCATCCCAGCTCTCTTGCTTGCAAAGCCCATATGAAAACCCTAGGAAACACTTAGGCATCTTTGCCTGAGCAGATACTGGGAGAGCAACTCACCCATGTGCCACCTCCTCTGCTTTCCTCCCTTCTGTCACCCAGATTTTACAGGTGAAGGTCACATGTCAGGCACTCATTCTCCCACACTACAGGGGACATACACTCTGCTGTCTGAGTGGTCCCATTGAAGACCCCCTAGCAGACTGGAGATAAGGTACAGTTACACCTGCCTCTCCCCTTAGGGAGGTGGAACTCACAGCTCACCTGTCTCTAAAGAAGCCCTCTTCACAAATACCTTCCTGTCAACCTCCCACACACTTATTTTTTTAATACCCTTGACAAGAGTGAGGGTTTTGAGCTGTGAAACCAGTTTCTGGATATTTCCTTTGAAATTTCCATCCCAGTCTGGCTCCTTGCTGGAGCAGCCAATATTCTGCCATTTCAGGTGCTGAGCCCTGGCCTGGGAGGTGCCAGCAGGGAGAGGCCAATTCCAGCAGAGGAGAGTCCAGGCATGTGGGGATATGGTGGTGTTCTCCATGGAGGGAGAAACAGGGCATTAATAAAACAGTGCCAGGAATAACCCTGTGATTGATGGGTAAAGGTCATGGACTCTGGGATACTGGCAGGCACTGATGGGAACCTGTTAGGGCTGGACCGGGACCATCTCTGGCTTCCTGCTTCCCTCAGGTACCAGGATGCTCTGCTATGGTCTCTGGCAAAACTGAGCACTGGGGCTGGGCACATAATTTTGCCTGGGACAACTGCTGTAGGGGCTTCAGAATGCCTGGTTTTCTAAATTTTATTGGTGTCAGGAGAGAGCTTTGATAAGCTTTAATGTGCTATTAATTATTTGGGCTGTTAAAAAAGGGAGTGCATGAGAGGCTTGGAGTTGAATGATCTCATTTCTGAGGTTCTGAGGAGGTACACACATACACCCCAGTGGAAGCCAACTCAGGATCCAGCTGCTCACGGAGTTCCTCCCTCTGCTCAGACACCAAGAGTGCTGCTGCCTGAGACTGAGCAGAGTAGGGAACTGGGGAGGATCTCCACTGCTTTAAACTTAAATGTAACTTGGGCAATTTGGACTTTCTTTGGGCTTTAATTCGCAAGGGCTAAATACTTTGATTTTGGACTTTAATCTCTTTGGGATTTTAATCTCTAAATTTTTCCCTAGGAATTTGATAATGGGAAGGGTTTATATCCAAATTTGGGACATCTTATTTTCCCATTTATTATTGAAGAAATCTTTATGCATTTTTTATTAGCTCTTTATGCATTTTATTATTGAAGTATCTTCACTCTGCTATTAAACCTCATTACAGAACCTCTGATGAGGTTAGTGGTCCATGTGGCTGGACATCAATTTGGATTGGAAATAGAACAGGCTCTGAACTTGCAGTCTTAGACACAACATAGCCTTGGACTGGATTTTATTAACACACTGTTCTGGCTCATCTCAGAGGCTTATGGAAGTGAAATCAACAGTGTCTTAGGATGGTCCCAGGAAGGCACAGGAAGGAACAGAAGTTGATGCTGGGGGAGCGACCTCCTGCTCAGATAGTTAGCTCATCCCCTCCTGGAGCCAGATGACCACATACCTGGTTGTCCAGGGGTTAAACATTAAGCCCAGCTGGTTAAGATAACAAAAATCTGGGGAATTTTTATCCCCTTCCTTCTCTAGTTTTCATATAGAGGGACTTCCCTGACCCCACACACTTGGCCCCTCTCTACTCCCTTTTTGACCCAGCTAGGAGTGATTTGTCACTTGAGTTTATGTATGACTCACTCTCTTCCCCTCCCTCTCCCTCTCTTTTGGTATATGCCTGCCCTGGGAGAACACACAAGCTCTGCTGTCAGCCATGTGGTAAGATTCGTGGGGCTGGCTCTGCCCCGACTGGGGAAGCCTGAAGTTTTGGGGGATCAGATCAGCTCAGGGGTAGAGTAGCAGGTCATTCTGGTCTGACACAAGCCACCCCCTCTAATTTAACATTATCAGGAATAAAGGTGCTATTTCGATCTTCATTTCTCTGGCTCTTGGTCTGTCAATGGAGTGGTTCTGTAGTCGGAGAGGGTGAAAGTGGAGTTACAAATTTGCCCCCCTCAAACCTGAGAAGCAACTCTTTGGACCAATAGCAAAGTGATTTCTCAGCTGTGAACTAACAGTTTGCTTTTGGAATGAATCATGTGCTTTCAATTTTCCACTTCAAAAACACACACTTCAGCAGAAGTCACTTTACAGCAAATGAAAGAAGAAATTTCCCCAGGGGAGAAAGGTGTTTGTTACTTAGAGGAGGGTAGAAGGGATGACTTAGGAGCATCTATTTTTCCCAACTGTGAAGTCACCAGGAGGTCTTTTTGATATTATTGCCCTTCTAGCCAATAAGGCAGTGGTTTGCAAAATGCTAGCAATTAAGCAGTGCTCTAATTGGCTGAATTGTATCTCTCTGTCCAGAGTTCTGGGAGAGAACATAGGCAGGGTTAGGCATGGGAGAATGTGTCTGACTCACAACGAAGGTAGGAAGGGCTGGGTGGGTTTTATTGTGGGATAACTTTCCCAGAGCCTCCTCTATTTAGCTCTCCACATGGAAGCAGGGCTGTCAAAATGGCAAGTTCTACAGAGTGCCCCATTGCAACTGCTCCTCATTAAACTCCCTTCAGAGTCAAGAATGTGTTCACTCTCCTCTTCCTCTTTATATACTCACCACCGCCATCGCCAGCACCTTCACCTTCATCATTGTCTCTCTCATTTATGGAGCACTGTGCTAAGCCATTTTTATGCATGATCTTCTCCTCACAACAACCCTGTGAGATAGATACCCTTATTTCCCCCCATTTCCAATGGGTAAACTGAGGCTGCAGGAAATTGAGCCAATAAATGGTAGAGCCAGAATTCCAGTTCAGACCAAATGTGACTCCAGTACACTATGCAATGTAGATGCCTATCCAATGTCTTCTTGGATGCTTCCAATGACGAGGTGCTCAGTAACTCCTGAGCTTCCCGTTGCACTGTTGGACAGATTGCAAGCTTTCCTCCCCAGGTCTCTGACATTCTGCCTGTCGTTACACAGAATGCATCCTGTCACACCATGGCAGCATGTTTGATTGAGGCAGGGCCCTAGTTAATGCTTTGCAGTCAAGCAGGGATACTGGGCTGGTGTAATGTAAAATGCTGACCTGGGGAAATGGCATTTCACTGAACTCACTGAGGCTTGAAATGGGTGTGCTGTGAACTGTACGGCCTTGCCCTCCTGAAGAGAGGGCCCCGAGGGATAGCTGGAAGGCCTGGCAGAGTGCCTCTCCTCCCTCTCAGCATGCCATGGCCTTCTAGGGGGCTTCCAGTTCCATGCTGAGGCTATACTTCCCTCTCAGGGAGAGCTGGTTGCTCCCGCATGCTGTTTGTAGTGTTTTACATCTACCTCTGCAAACCTGCTGGGCGTTCTGGCTGGATGATGCTGTTCACATTCCGAATGCTTGTGTTTACCCACCTCCTCACTGAACAAATTTACAAAGTCAACATTTTGGGACATCTCAGAGATTTAAAAAAAAAATGGCAACACAAAACTAACACAACTATGTTGTCCTCTCCCACCCCCTTGTTTCTAACACATCATAGAGTGGAATTAACAAGATTCTAGTCCTTGGCACTGGATCAATTCTGGATGCCATCTCCACCCAGTCTCCATCCCGTCTTTCCCCTAACTCTTACTGTTCTGATAAGTGATGGTAAACAGAAAACAGGCCATTGTGTCAACTATACCTGGCTTCCAATCCCAACTCAGTCTCTCACTAGCTCTGTGATGATGAGTAAGTTACATAATCTCTGCGAGCTTTAGTTTTCTCATGGGAAACTGATACACGCTTTGCATTGTTGTGCTGAGCTTTAGGCAAGGTATCCAGGATGTGCATGGTTTTGGTTGCTGGTTGGTCATTCCAGGATTTCATCCTTTCGACCTTGACCAGTTCAGTGATTAATGGTTTTCATCAGTTAAATCTGGATGATGGAGTAATTGAGTCAGGAGTGGGACAGGGCAGCTGGACCCAGAGCAGACACTGAGCACCCCTGGGCAAGCCCCCAATCTTTCTGTGTTTTTGTGCCTCCATCTGTTGTGCCCTGATCTGAAATCATTTTGTCTCTTACTGGAAGGATGTGAGGCTGAGATGGAAAGAAGAAGGAGAGGTGCTCAAAAGTCTGCTGAAGAAAGATGAATAGCCCCTTGTAAGCCCCACTTACTGCTGCCCACCCTTGATTGTCTGTGGCCGTAGAGGAGAGAGAGCGTAATTCTATAAGAGAGGAGCACCCAAAACTGCTGCTTGATAACCCTGGGTGTCTCCTAGACAAAAGCCCTACTCCTTGGGGTATTGTTCATGTTCTTCATGTTCTGGTCCCAGGAGACTTCTGCAGAGGCATCTCTCTGCTCCCTTCTCTCTCCCCAGGGACTACCCACTCTGCCTTGAATATACTGTGCCCATTTGCTCCTTTGATTTTTTATTCTTGGAATGTCCTCCCTTCAACCTCCTTTGCCCCTATACTGCCCCACCAGGTGAACTCAAATTCATCCTCATGGTTTCCTCTAAAGTGTCCTCTGATCTCTATGTGGCTTTTTTTTTTTAACTCCTCCTGACTTCCTCTCCATTTTTATGCCTCTTCTCCCTGTACATGCAGCGATAGCCTCTACTACAGCACCTCATAGTGTGCTGCAATGTCTGTTTACATGGCAGCATCCCCTGTCAGATTTAGGGCAGGGACTGTGCTTATTCTTCCCCATGTCCCCAGTGCCCAGTAAAGTGCCAGGCAAATAATAGACAATTAATAAATACTTGTTGTTGAATTGCATTCAGAGCTGTGTGTGCCCCAGCTCTCTTCTTCCACCTCTCCCTTCCCACAGCACACTCATGGTCTCTCCCTCTTGCCCTGCCCTCTCCTCATTTCTCCCCTCCCTTGTCCCATCGCTGTCCTTGCTATCTCCTAATTGAATTTTTCTGGACAGTAACAAGGCCAGAGATATCTTGCAAAGTGAATACACCACCCACAAATAATCAAGTTGCCACCATTCTCTTAGGCGAGCACCATTTTGGGGATACTATTTATCTCCCCTTCTTCCCATATGTCCAACCCCAGGGTGGGTCATAAAGGGGACAAAACCAGCTCCTCTAATTTGGTGGAGTCCAGCGTGGAGCCAAGCAGCACACGTCCCTCCTCCTGCTCCTCTTACCTCCGCAGGCAGCTCTGGGCAAACAAGTCAGTCTTCATTAAGACAAGGCACACCTGTTACCTGCGTGAACTCTGCCCTTCTCCCCGGTGGCAATTAGCCGGGCTCTGGCTGGTGGAAAAGCATTGGCTTCCCCTGCTTTCTCTGTGAGCTTTTCTTAGTGAACCAGCTATCAGAATCTCCTGCCCAGGGGTCCTGCTGTCCGTTATTATATCACCGCCCCTGCCATCCTGCCTTTACAGCAGCCCTTGGAGAGGAATCTTAATGTGTGCTGAAGACAGCAGCAGGAGTAGGAGGGGGCAAGGAGAGACAAGAACTCGGGTTTCTGGGCAGGTGAAGGGGGCCTGCACTGTATTGTCTTAAACTTCAGAGAGACAGTTTCAGGAACCTTGTATTTATTTATTCCTTATTTCCAGCAAAGGTGAGAATGCAGTGAGGGCCGGTCCAGCATGGATAAAATAGAGCTGCCTGCACGGTGGGGATTGGGGCGGGGGTGGGGAGAAGAAAAAGTGCCACTTTGAACAGAGTAAGGAGGGAATGGGCTTTGTGGGGTCATTTAGTCCATCCCCCTGCCTCCCTAGCCCTCTGAACTATAAAAGCCTTCCCTTTCTCTCAATTAGGAATGAAGCATGCCGGGCCTCATCTCGGACCTGCACACTGCCCCTCATTATGTTCATGATCGGGTGAGGATTCTTGTCTCATGTCTTTCCAAGTCCTTGCAAGGCAGTGTCTCTCTGCTTACAGCATTCTATTCCAGCAGGAAATGGATAAAGAGTGGCCAGAAGGTGAAAAAGAAGAGATGGCCCCCTGAAAGGGACATCCACATTTATTTGAGCACCTACCAGGTACCAGACATTATGCTTGACCATTTTTATCCACAATTTTAGTTAATACTCATGATAACCCAGGAAATATTAATAGATCAATTTCCCCACTTTACAGAAGTAGTCACTAAGACCCAGAGAGAGGAAGGGATTTTCCAACGTTGCCCAGCTGTACGTAGTGCCCACCGTACCCTTCTACCCGTTGTATAGAGTTGAGCAGGTTTTTTAAAGCTCTCTACACCTCAGCTTTTCCATATGTAAAATGAGAGAAATAATAGTAGCAGCCTCACAAGGTTGTTGTTAGAATTAGAATTAGTTAACAGATACAATTCTTAGAAGAATACTTGGTACATCATAAACATCTTGTAAATGTTAGCTGCTATTATTAGTAGTATTAATTATTATTACTTGAGACACAGTCTTGCTCTATTGCCAAGGCTGGAGTGCAGTGGCACAATCATACCTAACTGCAGCCTTGACCTTCCCTGGTCAAGTGATCTTCCCACATCAGCCTCTTGAATAGCTGGGACCACAGGCATATGCCACCACCCCCAGCTAATTTTTTTATTTTTTATAGAGACAGGCTCTCACCATGTTTCCCAAACTGATCCTGAACTCCCAGCCTCAAGTGATCCTCCTGCCTCAGCCTCCCAAAGTGCTGGGATTACAGGTGTAAGCCACGGCACGTAGCTATTATCATTATTTTTAGTCTTTTATTCCTGAATGACAGAGCTTTCTGGGCTTAATAATAATAATTACTATGTATGGAGCACCTTCTATGTTCCAAGCCTGTGCCTGGCACTTTACATTAATTATCTTATTTAATCCTCAATGACTGTATAATGTAGTATTATTATTTCTATGTTTCAAAGAAGTCAATTGAGGTTCAGAGAATTTATAGAACTAAGTAAGCTGCAAGGCTGGATCTCCAAGCCAGCGTCATGTGATTCCCAAGCCCACACTCAGCCACTGCACTGTACCACTCTCCAGAAGAACCTGTGGGCAGGGGTGATCTACTTGGAGATGATCCATCTTTTCTTATTATCACGTGAGGCTTCAAAACCTCCTTCTGTGGCAGAACCTCCCACCCTCCACACCCCCAACATTTTCCAGCTGCAAAAGACATCGAGGGGCAGGGAGGCGGGTTTGCTTCCTCTTCCTTCCCCTCCCCTCTCTTCTTTCTCCTCACTCTCCAGTCCTTCCCTTGCACACTGAGGTAGCCTTGTGGAGCTATAACTGTGTCTTGGTGGGATGTCTCATAACTGAGGCTGCTGGGAGAGAATTTTGGACAGGGGGAACTTTGGAGGGGATTCCCTTTGTGTCTCAGGATGAGAAGTTCAGAGAAACAGCCGGTAGCCATTCATCATGCATGCCTACTCATACATAGGTCAGATATGAGGCAGGGAAAGCCCCATTACTAGAAGGGTTTAAACAGGGACTGTAGAACCATTGGCCAGGATTATGAGAGTAGCATATGCCTACTCATACATAGTTCAGAAATGAGGCAGGGAAAGCCCCGTTACTAGAAGGGTTTAAACAGGGACTGGATAACCATCTGCCAGGGACCTTATAAGGGGGAATTCCCTCTATTCTCTGAGGTTAAAAGAGTTTCCACAGTTTAAGCACATGAGAGGGGAGCTCAGGAGACTTAAAGCCAACTTCTGGAGACTGCTGCAGGGACCACAGTGGGTTCTGAGCAGTAGAAACATGATTCACATTCACATCCAAAGCCCCTACCAGCTATTCCTAGGAAAGCCCAAGCTGAAATGGCATATCGTTTTCCCACAGGTTTCTACTCTTACCCCACACTCTGGTCTTCCTTATGTATCCATTTCATTAGGCCCAAATTCCCCAGAACAGAAAAAGACAGCAGAGAGCTAAGAGCCTTTCTACCTGTCCAGAGCAAATATGTGTTGGATGTGTGTGTGTGTGTGCATGTGCAGAATGTGCTGTAGGGGCAGGATGGTGGCTACTGGTGGCTTTTCCTGGCCTTTCAAACCCCATGACCTGAATGATGTGGCTTCATGGGAGCTGGCCGTGACTCAACTGTGGGCAAAATTCAGCTTCTAAAATTCTGGAAATCCAAAGAGAGTTCTATTGGCTTGTAAGCCAAGGAGTGACCAAAGTACATGAACAACAACGTGTGTGTGTGTGTGTTGGGTTGGGTGTGCAGGGGTTCCTCCTCTTTGGGCCATCATTCAATGCCCAACTCAGCCACATACTTCTCTTAGGACTCTGAGGAGTTTCCCAAAACTCAATGAGCCTTCTTTTATTGAAGCATTGTAGAAATAGTAGTAATAGTAAGTAAAGCAATAATAATAGAACCAATTCCACAAAAATGTGGTAGGACCACGTGGATAGTGAATGCAAAGCACTTGGTGGAAAGAAAACACATGCTGACATGGTTTGGTTCTGTGTCGCCACCCAAATCTCATCTCGAATTGTAATCCCCAAGTGTTGAGGGAGGGAGGTGATTGGATCATGGGGACAGTTTCCCCCTACACTGTTCTCGTGAGAGTCAATGAGTTCTCATGAGATCTGATGGTTTTATAAGTGTTTGGAAGTTCCTCCTTTGCTCTTCTCTGTCCTGTCACCTGGTGAAAAAAAGTGCTTGCTTCCCCTTCCCCTTCTGCCATGATTGTGAGTTTCCTGAGGCCTCCTCAGCCATACCGAACTGTGAGTCAATTAAACCTCTTTCCTTTATAAATTACCCAGTCTTGGTATGTCTTTATAGCAGTGTGAGAACAAACTAACACATATGCCCTGGATGGAAGAGCTCATTTCATTAATGCTAAAGTCAACAGAGCCTTGAAAATGGCTTGCAGGCATGGCCTCAGGAAGAGCCAAGAACCAAGTGTGATCCCCTCTTCTACCCCTAGGAGCTATGGGCTGAGCCCCTTGACCAGCAGACTTCCCAGGATGAAAAGGAGAAGAGCTCAAGGAATTGCCATGAAGAGTTAGTGTAGAGAGTAGTTTGGTGATGAGTCAATGGTCATTCACCCCCCACCTCACGGTGCAAGACTTTGTAGTGAATCTTCTGAGTCCTATGTCTCATTTTCCTTATCTAACAAATGGCGTGGTGGTCCTCGCCCTAGCTAACCCATAGGATTGACTTGATTTGAAAACCCTGAAATGTTACTCGGTGGTGGGCTTCAGGCTCCCCCAGGCAGGATCTTGCAGCTGTGGGCTATGCATATGCCTCTGTGGACAGGGACATCATCAGCTCTCTATCCAGCCCACTCCCCACATTCCCACCCCATGGCAAAGCCTAAGCTTTGTGCCTTCTAGAGGGACCAGAGTCTCACTTAGGGAGAAACAAATCTTCCTCCTGGTGGAGAACAGGCAGCACTCTGGGTGTGTGCCTGGGAGCCCCACCCACTCTGGCCGTCCTCCTATGTGAGGATAGGGAGCCAGGTCAGGCCACCCCCTCCACGTTGCTGCCTTTAAACTACTGTGCTTTGTGCTTTCTGGTGTTTCAGTTTATCATCTCAGGATTTGGAATTGGGAAGAAGGACGCTCCTTCAGCTCAGATGTTTGCTTGTGCCCCAGACTCCAGAGACCCTCTCCCCACCTCCTTTCCTCCCTTGCCCCCTTCCATGGGGACAAAGAGGGGCTCCCGCCTCAGGCCTTGGGGAGGGGCTTGAATGCCTTATGGAGGCTTCCATGGAGAGTCAGTGGCAGAGGATGAAAAAGAGGAGCTGAAGAAGCAGAAAAAGGAAGAGAGGAGGAAAAGCCAGGAGATTACAAGGGATCAAGAAGAGGCTGTTTAAGTACATGGCAGGGTACCCAGGAGCTGGGCTCCTGTGGTTGTGTGGGCTGGAGGCTGCATGGCAGTGGATGCTGAGAAGAAGCTGTGCTTTCGAGAAGCTGAAAGAAGATGGTCTGTCCTCCCACAGGGGCCTCAGGGACCTCAGGCAATGCTGGGCTCTCAGAGGGTAGGGTGGGGGCATCCATGCCCTCATTTTGGCCTAGGAGGCAACAGGTGTTTATCTGAAGTGCCTCTGCATGCGGTGGACATCAGACAAAGACAGTGTGTGTGTTTGTGCATGTGTAGATGCACGTCGGAGACACGTTTCAGTGTGCAGACTGCATGCATTCACTTCTGTGTGTTTTCGAAAGTTCAGGCGTGCATGCCTGTCAAAGAGGCCCATGGGCAATCTGAAACCATGACTGGATACCAGCCCAGGCTGCGACAGCCCAAAGGACAGCCCTCTCCCCACATCAGGGCTGCTCTGACCATGTCCCAGCTTAAGCATGGCAGTTGCCCAAGGCTATCACCTTGCTCTCTGCTGGGCTCAATTCATGACTGACTGGTGGCCAGGACCCAGTGGTTTACCAGGTGCTTTCACCCTTAGGCTCTCACATGGTCCTGGTAAAAACCATGTGGTACACAGTACAGTTCTCTTTACAGAGACAGGAACCAAAACTTAACATCTCAAAAAACTGCCTTTCGAAGTCAGATCCAGTATTGTTTCCTTTGCCTGCAAATGTCATTAGGTACTGTTTCTTTATTTTTGGGCCATCTCCTCTTACATCTCTACCCTTTTAACCCCTAAGGGTCAAAAATGTGCATAAAAGGCCAGAGTAGGGACCTTGCTTTCCCCATCCATGTTCTTTGTGGCTGGACTTAAATGGTTAGGGTGAAGGTGGGTCATAAGTCCAGAGTTTAGCTCCTGGGGGACCTTCTTCCAAGGCCTGGGGGCCTATAAATTCCAAATTCTAGACTTACAGGGATTTTAATGTTGGGAGCAGTTCTGTATAGGAGGGAAGAGGTGCTGCTATCAGGAACTCAGAGAGGATTTTTCGAATCTGTTGGGACTGTTTTCGAATCCCAGTTATGTGACGGAGGCCAATCAGTATTCTCTCTCTCTGCATCTCAGCTTTCTCATCTATAAAACGGGAATCTAATAAAAATAATAATAGCAAATACTTGTAGAATGCCAACAAGATGTAAGACTCTATTTTAAGTACTTAATAGCTATTAATTTAATCTTTACAACAATCTTGTGAGTCAGGAATATTATCACCATTGAACAGACAAGAAAACTGATTCTCAAAGTATTAAGTGACTTGCCCAACATCACAGTGCTCATACACGACGAATATGGTACTTGAGCCCAGCAGTCTGGCTACAACATCTGTGTTTAACCACTGCAATACTTCACAGCAGGGCTGGATAACTACCTGAACCTTGGGTGGTAAAAAAACAGCTTAACAACATGTGGTGGTTTTAAAACCTGTCTGCAAACTCTTTGATACTCCTCCATCAAAAGGCAAAATCTAGGTCTCCTCCCCTTGAAAGTCCTAGATAAACTGTGTGACAGACTTCAAGAATTAGGATGCAGTGAACAGAATGCTATGAAATTTCCAAGGGTGGCTTAGGAAAGGCCTTTGGCTTCTGCTGGTTTCTCTCAGGATACCTGCTTTGGGAGCCTTCTGCTGCTGCGTGAGATCCCTGGCTACCCTGGAGAGACATCAGACAACAAGTGAGATGCCCAAGAGCCCTAGCTGTCTTTGTCTTTGCAGCCCAAGCTCCAGACATGTACTGAAGAAGCTTTAAGGATAAATTCAGTCCCAACTACTCCCTGGCTACAACTATGAGACAGACCCTCCCAAGTCAGAACTGCCTAGCCAAGCTCAGGCAACTCCAAGATTTAAGAGCAAAATAAAAGATAGTTATTGCTTTAAGCTACTGTTTGGGTGGTTTGTTATGCAGTAGTAGATAGTCAGAACATAACACTTACTTTACAATAGTTGTAAAGTAAGGAATGAGGAATCATTTCAATGAGGAATCACTGAAAATGTAGATGTCGAGCCCTTGGTAGTGACTGCCACCTCACTTTCCCTCATTCATCTGCACTCTCTGGGTATCCTCACAAATACCTCTTGTCTTAAAACAGAAGTGACTCATACACAAGTTCAATAGCCACCTCCACCAAACTCTGGAAACCAGTGTCGCGGATCGCAGCTTTCTCACTTATAACTGGTGATCTTCACAGCTCTTTAAAAAACAAAAACACTGCACATGATGCTACTGCGTGGAGGCACTGGCATGTATAGACAGGGAATTATCAGCACCTTATGTCATTCCAGAAAAGCTCCTGGAACTTACACTGGGCATGCTCTGTTGCTGACCTCTCTCCCTTCCCTAAGTACACATTAGGTTCACACTGTGCCAGCTTTTCCTTAGATGTGGTTTTGTGCGGGTAAAGACTTTAGCTTTATTTTATTCTTCCATGCATTTTGTGGATTACATCACTGAGACAGAGAATAATGCATATTACAGTATAATGAGGGAGCCACAGGCCTATCTGAGGGAAGAGAAGTGGAAAATGAAAGAATAAAGGGGAATGAAGAAAGGCTAAAGAAAAGAAAGAAAGGCATAGAGAGGAAGAAAAAATCGAAGGGGGGGGAGAGAGAGAGAGAGAGAAAAGATAAAAACGTGGAAGGCAAGTGAAAGGGAAATGGGAGAAAGGACAGGAAGGGGCTGGAGATGAAAGACAAAATGCAATGAGGAGAAAGTGGCCATTTCATTCTGACTGCTCTGCTCTCAGCTGAGTCCTGCAGCTGGAGAGCCTGGAGGCTGCAGTCCCCACATCTGCCCACTGCACTCGGTGCCAGGGCTGGCCTTGCACACATAGCTCTTGCCTGCAGCTCAACACCCTGAGCTCCTTAAATAGCTTTGAACCACACTGAGTGGTGGATAAACATTTGTTTCACAGCTCACAAAGCAGAGCTGCTGGCTACCAGCAGGTTTGATGTAATGAGTTCCATTCTGGACCCCGGGGAGCATTTAGAATGGGCTCTTCTTTGCCCAGGCTGCCAGTCAAGCTGGTACCAGGGGGAAAGAAAAAACACAACACTAATCTCTTCCCCACCATCCCTGTCCAGATTTGGAGTCCCCAGAAACCAAAGTACTCCATTCTCAGGGGATGGGATTAAGGAGCAGGGTGCCCCAGGAACCCGAAATGCAAGTGCCAGAAAGGGTGGCTGGATAACCTCCTTTTTACGCATCCTCAGGAAATTACTTGGACTCATGAGCAGTCCAAAATCCACTCACTTCTCAGGAGCTGAGAATTGCAGACAGAGTCTCTGGTCTCATCCCCTCTCTGCTTGCTCCACACAGCCTTCCTTTGCAGCTGTGGAGCTCAATTCTTAAGAAAGGAGATAGTAGAACAGCCTGGCATTGCTGCCCTTGGTTGGCAGCTGCCCTCCTTGACCACTGCTCTCTACCACCCAGATTGTGCCCAGAGCTTCCTGTTTACCTCTGTGCTCAGAGAGCCACAGTGCCCTGCGTTCTGACCCCCATTCCCATCACAGCAGGGGAGGGAGGGTGATGGGGAAGGGGCTGCTGATCCTCCTCTTTATTCCCCGCTTCCCCCCAAACTCCCCACTCCAGGACAATATGACATGCCACCGGAAGGAGCTGAAGACCAGTTGATATGATGAATAAATGGTAATTATGTGGTTGGCCTTTCAGCACTTCCTCTGTGGATATTAATAGCCATTAATGCCCTGCTGTTTTGCACTGCACCAGAGTCTGCCAGACAGAGCACAGGGCAGGTCACTGCCCCAGCCCTGTGCTCACCCCCCTACCAGCACTGCCTCATTTGCTTCAGAATTTCAGGAAGGAAATGAACTTGCAAAGACAGTGGGTAGAAAATTAAAAGGGGTGAAAACAAATCCAAGGGGGAAGTCATTTAGATTTCCAGGTAAATTGGTTGTTGAATTGGCTTCTTGGACTGTTATGATTGGGATCTCCTAGGGGTCATCTTGTCTCTTTCCAGATTCTAGGCAGGAGTCACCATGAAAACTTATATCCTTTTCCTTAGAGTTACTGGGGCTGAGAGAAATTAGCAGATGAGTACAGAGGCAGACTTGAATTTCCCCATCAAAGCAAGTTGGGCAAGAGCAGAACTGACCAGGCTTAAATGGCAGAAGTGTAGACAAAAGTGGACAGCCTGAATCCTACCATTCTTTGAGGCAGCAACATGGTGTACAGAAGGAGCATAGATAGGCCTTGAAATCAGACCCCGGGGTTAACCAGCTGGCCCTACCACCTGCTAGTTCTACACTCTGGACTACAGGAGATAACAAAAAGAGTGTAGCTACTGCATGAGAAGACTCAACTTTATCACTGTGTGATCTTGGGTAACTTGCATACCTTCTCTGGACCCTAATTTTCTCATCAGAAAAAAAATTTCCTAGAACAGGACTGTATATAATAAATAAATACTAGTCCTTGTTGAGTAGTGTGTTGGAGCTACCTAGTACCAGCTCATGAGAGCCAATGTTATGCCTCCCTTCCCAAATTTGTGTTCAGTGACATCACGTTGGTAGCTTGAAATTGGCCATGGTAGGAATATTTACACCAGAGAAATTGGTAATGCTACAAATTAGGTGTATTCTCACCTCCACCCCCCTTAGGAGAACTGATTGTTCAACATATACCAGCAAACGGCTGCTCCTGCCTGTTTCAGCTGTTTGGAATAGTGGGGTCTTAGAGCATGTCCTCGGGCTCCTGAAAGCCACAGGCCAGCCCTTTGGATGATCTATTTGCCTCCCATACACCTCAACAAACTGTTCACTTCTAACAGGGATTGTCAAAATCTCCTTGAGGCCCTATTAGAAAGCTGCAGTTCCTTGATCTATTCAGCACCAAGAGGCAATTGTCGAGGAAGTTGATTGTAGTTCAAATCCAGGTATCAATTCAAAATGTTTTTGCCTCAGACAACCGTGTGCGATCAATCAGTAATGTAATCCTCTGCTGGTAGAACACAAAAACAAAGCCCCACCTTGCCTTGTAAACACAACATCATTAGTCTTAGGATAAACTATAAATTGATGCATAGAGCAAACAGCCAGAGCTGCATCCCGGGGAATGGGAGCAGATGAAATAGCAGTACTTTATGGTGAATGACAAATCATTGCTTGTTCCGTTCCCTATCAAGTGGAACACCATCAATCACATGGTGGACTCGTTGGGTTCCAAGACAGATAGGACACCATGAACAGATGCTATGGCTGAGACTGCTGGCCTGGGCAGCACTGTACTTTTTGCTTTTCCTGGAAGGGGAAGAAGAGAACAATCCACTTTCTGTATGGTCCTGTCCTTCATTCGAGTTTATAACGGTGAGTAAGTCAAGGAATTCCATCAATCATAATGTCCTTGAGAATGGGAACCTTCATCCTTTTCATGTTACACAAAGTCCTGTTTGAATGGCAAGGGAAAGAAATGGCAGGCTTCTAACCAAAGAAAGAAGGAGCAGAGGACAGATCAACTGCTTTTTTGATTTCAGAAAGTCATTAAAGTCCCATCTGTCCTCATATAGTGACTCTCAATCTCTGGGTCTGCCATAGTGCCTGTAATACCAACCCCTTGGGTCACTCTTTTATATTAAGGTATTATATTCAAAAGGAGCATATTACTATGTGCATATCAGCTCCAACACAATGGGGCATTATCTGAGCACGTAATAGGTGCTCAGTATCTATCTTCTAAATGGATAAATGAAAGGATGGATGCATGATAATACACAGTAGGTAGTTTGGATGGAAGGAAAAGAGGATCGGGAAAGGAGTGAGAGGTATGATTGTAAAATTAACATTAGAGTAGGTGACACTGCTTTCAGGGATAGGAGACTGGAATGGGTGATTTCTCCAAAATGAAGAAAGGTGATACAAGAGGGGAAATAGGAAATCCTGAAGATAATACCCATCTCCTTTCTAGTGTTTCCTATGGCCAGTTGGTTTTTAAGCAAAGCATGTTGAGGGAATAAAAATCAAAGTCTGTCTCTATTCTAATGGGAACATGAGGCAAGGAGGAAAAAGGTGGCTGTGATTTGCTGTCGCTCATGCATAATCCCACAGGCCCTATTTCTGGCCTTCTGCCATTCGTGGGGCCAGGGAACTGAGAAGCAATGGAATCTTTCTGACTGCTGATTTAATTAAGTGTGGCTAGTCTGTGACAGAGGCTGACTCGGCACCAAGCCAAAGTCACAGGTGAGTTGGTCATGTCATTGATGGGTGAGTCCAGCCTCATGTTTGACCAAATCAACCAGTCATTTGGGATATCTGAAGACTTACGGATAGCAATTGATCCTGCTATGGTGCTGGAAGACACTGGTGATTTGGTTAAAACCCATCTCTCTCTCTATATGTATATATAGTAAAGAACATACTGGCTAATTCAGGCAATCTGACAGTCTGGGGTAGCTACAACTTTAGTGATACCAAGTATTGGACATTATGTAGTGAAAACCATGTTTGACTTATATCTTTTTTCATTTCACCTAGTTGTTGTGGACATTGTGCTGACACACCTAAGGGTGGTTTGGAAACAGTTGGCATGTTTTCTTTATGTATTTTTCACCTCTGCCATCTGTAACTGAGAAAGGGTATCCTTCCTCCTGCCAGTTCTCCCCAGCTGAAGTCTACACAATCTTTACCCAGACATCAGAAACAGCTGTCTCAGGCAGAAGGCGCTTGACTCCAGGTGGGCGCTCAGCAGCAAGGGCAGGTGAGATAATGAGCAACAATAAAGTCCTTTTCAAGGAGGTGGGAGTCTGTTGGAGGGGTGAGTTGGTTAGCATATGCTGGCCCTTACTTGGCTCCTAGCATTTGTTCTTCTGTGAAGCTTGTTTCTCAGTGTGATATCAGATTTACTCCTCCTTCTCTTCCTCCTTTCCTGCCTTCTTTTTTCCCTTCATTTACTGTGCATGACACTGTGCTTGATACCACAGAAGACTCAAAGATGATGCAGCTATCACCCCTACCCTCAAGGACCCAGCCACACTCTACCTAGGAAAAAGGCAAATCAAACGCAACCATGTTGCTAATAATAATAATAAATGAAGAAAAGATAAGAAGAGATTAAGCATTTGGAGTTCAGGGAAAAGGAAGTAGAAGTGTATTTGGGTTTCATAGAGGAGATAAATATTGTACACACATAGGCCTAAAAGGACAGGTGAGATTAGAATGGTTTCAGTGCATGGGGCCATCTAGAAAATTATTTGCAGGGGGAAAGGAGAGAATAAAGATGTAAATGCAAAAATAAATTAGAGTAGTGTAGTTAAAGAAGTCAAAAGTCCTGGAGAGAAAACACAGGTAGGTGGGTAATAAGAATAACACTTTTGCCCTGATGAAACAGTGGCAGAACAAAGAGGGTATCAGATGCCAGGTTAAGAATGTTAGACACATTTTGGCCATCCATTGGGAACCATGGAAGATTTCTTAGCAGTTTATGATGCTTAAACATCTTTGGGAAGAATAATCTTGCATCTATGTGTAAGGTAGTTTGGAAGGGGGCAAGATAGACAGTAGAGATAAAAGTTAATAGATACGAGTCCAGAAGATGGCAATTAAAAGCTCGTGCTGAGGCAATCATGAGAAATCCATGAGGGGACAATGCTGGAGAGCAAGTCTGATTGGAATAAATAGGACATGGTTCTAATAACTACACACTAAGATGAGGGGTGAAGAGTCAGAAGTCATTGCAGCTTTGTGCTTTAATATTTGGTTGAGCTGACTTTGGAGAAAGGATGCTGATGGTGTCAATCTCCCTTTGATCCACCTCTGTCTGCAGCACAGCTGTAGTGGAGAGTCCCACAAGGCCTCAGACTCACCCAGCTCTTGACCTGCATCCCACCTTGCGGGCTTTCTGTGCTTCTTTCCACATTGTGCACTAGGACCCTCTTCAAAACCTAGGAGATTGCTTGGACTGACCACAGAATAGCTTGAGTGTAGGGGAGATAATGCCCTGGGAGACTCCCAGCTAATGGAGAATGGGATCAATGCTGAACCTTCAGTCCTTCAGAAGAACAATTGAAAGCATCTGTCAACTTCTCAGGAGGTCCCAGTGGAATGGAGGCTCCATTGCCCACAGCACTGATCCTGATGATGTTTCTCACATCAGTGCTTCCTGCTCCTGACTAATTCTCCCTGCTCAATCACTGTTACATGCTGGGATCACCTCCCATATGAACTACCTGCACTCATTTCTTGCCTCAAGTTTTGCTTTTGGGAGAACCCAGGACAGACATACAGGTGGAGCTCTTCCAAAAACAAAGGTAATTGAGTCCAGAACTCTAGAGAGATGCTGGGGTTTGAGATATTTATTTCTAAATCATCTACACGGACAAGGTAATTGAAATTAGGGAAGTAAATACAATTGTCTAGGGGAAAGAATATGGAGAAAAAAGAGAGAAGGGAAGAAAATCAGACCTTGGAGAATTTTCCATCTGGTAGGTGGGAAGAGAACAAGCAACTAATGCAGTAGACGGAGAATAAGAAGGGCAGAGAGATGGTTGTGGTAAAAGTGAAGGGATCCTGAGAGTGACCATCTGAGATGAATGCTGCAGAGGCCCAAGGAGGATGTGGCATTTAGAAAGTCTTTGAAAACCTTGCAAGAGCGATTTTGTTGGTGACAGTGAAAGCCAGTTGCAAGTGTCAATGAGGTAAGGAAGTGGAGGCCCAGAGCATGGATTGGAGGTCCCTAAACCTGGCTCTTTGGGTGGCTTTAAAAAATACCAACATCTCACAATAGACCATCTGAAGTAGCATCTCCAGAGAGAAGGGCTTCTCTCTCAATTATATTGAGGGGAAAGAGAGGTAAAGTGATAGTCCGATAGCTTGAGGTATCAAGGCATGGAGAAGTATTAAGAGTAAAAGAGAAATAGAGAAGATGTATCCAAGGTGGAGAGAATTAGTCAGTGGGAAGGAAGATGTTAAAGATGCAAGATGGTGGGGAAAATGTCTGGAGAAGGACTCAGAGGAGAAGGGATCAAGAACATGACTTTCCTAAATTTAGTTTTAATAAAGAAGATTCATTCATTCACCCATTCAAGGGGCATGGGCTAGGTTCCTCTGTGGCAGGGCACTTTGCATAAAGAAAGGGCAAGTTATGGCCACTCCCCTCTAGGAGAGAAGGAGGTAGAAAGAATCACTAGAAAATTGTTAGATTTTAGGATAGAAACATTTGTGGTATTTTGAATAGTGCCTCTGCCCACATACCTACTGAGAGACTCAGGAGAAGGTAAATTCCCAGGGCTTCAGTTTTCTTAGCTTTAACCACCACTCTCCTGGGTTGCTACAATAATCACACAAGAACATTGTGCTAATGTGCCCAGCACAGTGATGAGCACATAGTAGGCCTTCCAGAGAGCTTAGTTTTCTTTATTTTGGAAGCAAAATACAATGACACTGCAGAGGAAGAAATGTTTTACTCTGCTCCAAGGGCTAAGTAAAGCTTTCCAGAAAAGCTATTACTCAAACTAACTTGGAGCTGAGAGGGGAAAAGAAAGGCCATCTGAAAATTTGGGAATCATTGGAGCAAAGAGCAGGGCAACTGGGGAAGGTAAATCAGATGGCTCTTGTCTTCCAATAAACAGAAAGCAAGGTTGTCATTTAAGGGTACGTAGTATGGGCTACATTGCATCCCTCCCCTGCCAAATTTATATGTTGAAGTCCTAACCCCCAGTACTTCAGAATGTGACTGTATTTGGAGACAGAGCCTTTAACAAGGAAATTGACGTAAAATAGGGCATATGAGTGAGTGAGCTTTAATCTAATAGGACTCCCTATAAGAAGAGGACATTAGGACACAGACATGCATTAGGAGAAGGCAGCCATCTGTTAGACAAAGAGAGAGCCCTTGGAAGAAACGAGCTCTGCCAACACCTTGATCTTGGACTTCTAGCCTCTAGAACTGTGAGGAAGTAAATTTCTGTTGCTTAAGGCACTCAGTCTAGTATTTGTTACAGCAGCCCTAGCCAACTCACACAGTAAGGGTGTGGGATAGCAGCAGATTGGAGAGACTGAGGAAAATGAGGATGGTTTGGAAGAACTCTGATGGGGAGGTCAGTTAAAGCTAAGGAAATGGTTCCCGAAGAGATGGTAGCCCAGCTCACCTTATGGATTGTGGGTGGGCCCATGACTTTTTTTCTCCTGCAGTGTTTGCTAGGGCAGCAGGTTGAACCTGGGCTGTGTTTGGGTTCTGGCACCAAGGGACTCATTGGTCAGGAGAGTGGGAACTTCCAGACTGGCTGAGGGCAGGTGAAATGACTGGCCAGGGGCACAGTCTCAGGGAGACAAATGAGGCCAGAAAGGACATGCTCCTCTCCTTAATCTGGGAGATTAAGGAGAGTTCTGGAATGGGAGAATAACTGGATGATTAAATGTGAGGGAGTGGGAGTTTGGAAAGTTCAGAGACTGTATCACAGAAGGGTAGTGGGCTTGGAGGTATGCTCATGGTTTAAAAATAATGGACAGAACTTTGTCATAACATGTGAGGACGGAATAGAATGGTACAGTGTCAGATTTCCCCATGGAGAGTTAGGGTAATGGTATTCTCCAGCTTCCAGGCATCTGTGTTTTAACAGCAATGTACTTCAACATCGTGGCTTGAAGCCCCTTGTTGTTGGGTGGATATCTGAGGCCTTGGACCCTTAATATCTTCCTAAAATTATTATGCTCTAGTGGGGCTAGAATCTATGTCTTTTAACTTCCAATTTAGGACCCTTGACAACACTGTTCCCATTAGTAAGGCCATGGTGGTCAGGGCACTGGCATCCTTCCTCCACAGAGAGATCACGTTTAAGAGCCATTTTCTCACACCCTCTCCAAAGCCCATGAATTCACAGAACTCGTGACCAGGTACAGGCAGGTGAGACTATGAACCACATGATAGAGCTGCTTCTTAGACTCTCATACTCTATAGCCCAGACCTGACTATAGCCCTGAAATCATCCCTAAGAGCTTGGAGAGGAATGGAAGGAAATGGGAATTAAATATCTTGGGAATGTCTTCAACCCAGGCCATTTTCTGTCAAATCTCTGCCTTAAATGATTTTCTACATTTTTGTTAAAGATATTCAGATTCCAGTTACTCTTGCAATAAGCAATCATGCCCCAAGCCTAGGAAAGAGCCTGGCACCAAGCAGGCACTCATTAAATGTTTGCTGAGCTATTATTAAATGCTCAAGTCTTACTACCTGGAAGTTCTTCCTTATATCCTGCCACCAACGTATTTCTTATAGTGTGGTTAGCTGATGGTTTCCGTATTCTCTAGCAACAGTTCTTAGCTTACTTGTCAAAACACACTGGTTTGCCTCATCTGTTTTGAGGTACACTGCAAGTAATTTGTTACCAATAATAAAACATCACATCTGAGAAGGTGATTTTGTAAATAGAGAAAATTCGAAAGAGTGCTTATTGTAACGTCTCTCTTGCTTTACTTGCATTTCAGTTTGCTTTCTTGAGTGGGAGGGTGGTGGTAGAGTCACAGCTGGATAACAGGGGATTGTGTATCACCTCTGTTAAGGCAGTGGGTGTGTTCGGAATATGTCACTTTCACCCGAGTGTCCTGACTAAGGAGAGAAACAGCTATGAGACTCACCGTTGGAACATTCGCTCCTCCACATGGAATAGATGGCTACATCTTTAGCTTTCTCCTTGCCAGGATAAACATTCACAGATCTGCCCAGTGGCTGGACATTCAGCACATTCCTGAAGAGTATTTTAATTGGCTGAGTGGGTCTCTGAGGACCTGCCCCCATTAGCAGGAGAGTGATTCCTGAGTGTTGCCCAAACATAGCAAATGCAGCTGTGTCCTAACAACACAGTCCTGGGGACCTCTGGAACCACATCTCCCTCCACAGCCTTGGCTATTTCAAAGAGATCATTAACAAGGTAGAATTGGATGCCCAGAAGGTCACTGCACAATATACATTGCTACTGTCTTTTAATGGACTTTCTCCAGACATGGCGATTCTTAAACTGCAGCTTCGGCAGCTGCTAAGGACAGGGAGAGCCATGCTGTCTGCAACCAGAGCCACCCTGCCAGTCCTGTTGAAGCAGATCTGAGCTTGGGCAGATGGATCAGGCTTGGAGAGGGGAGGAGGGGAAGTGGGTTTAAGGGGAGGGGGCATCAACAGAGAAGCTAGGCAGCCCTCAGAGGACTTTGTTATTGATTTAGCGTGAGGACTGAAAGTGGCAGGCAGGCAGGTGGCAGGGGCGGGCAGGAGGGGAAGACAGGTGTAGGCAATTGTGGGCAGTGATTAGCTGGGGTGGTGCAGATGTGGCTGGGGGTGTCAGCTGGTGGTGATTAGCATGGGTGCTTCTGAGAAGTGTTGCATCAGATGGTGGTTTCAGAGTCCAGATGTGAAAAGCCAGTGGTCCCTGCCTTCCCCTGCTTCCATACCCCTTTATACTCTCCCTACTCTCCCGAGCACGCACTTGCACTTTCACCTTCCCTGCCACAACCACCCCTTTCTGGGCATTCCTCTCTAGGTGAAGGGCATGGACATCAGATTGTTCTCCCCTCAGTCTTCAGTTTTTCAGCTAAGTTCTGACATGACGACACAGACTGAACACCCTCAGACACCAGGCAAGACGAAATCTACATAATAGGTCAGTGAAGTCATGCTTATTCCCATGAGAAATGCACCTGGTGACAGAGGACTTTTATACCCCAGTGTCTATTTTGCCTGTCCCCCTTTTTATAACCTGCCTAAAATTTTTATTAATATTAATATTTGTATGTGATTACAGTATATACAAAAAGTAAATACGCCAGCATAACTCCCACCCACATCAAGAAATAGAAAATTCCCAGCACTCCGTTGGACCCCATTCCAGCCACTAACTTCTACCTTTGTCTCCAAAAGTGATCACTTGACTTCAGTCACCATAGATTCATTTTGACTGTTTTGGAACTTTATATAAATGGATGCATACACAGTACATTATGTTGTATCTACCTCTTTTTGCTTAATAATATGTTTGTAAGCAACCGTTTGTTCTTTTTCATTGCTGCATATTATCCTACTTCTAAGTAAATCGCAATTATCACTTCCAGTGTTGAGAAACATTTGGGCTGTTTCTGGATTGGGGTTATATGAATAATGCTGTTCTAATCACTTTAACGGGTTGTTTAGTGGTTATACACATGTATTTCTATATAGTTAACAGTGAAATTGCCAGAATCATAGGGCATGGGTATATTTAGCTTTAGTAGAAACAATTTGATAGAAAGCATTTTGCAAAATGATAGTGCCATGTCTCTACTCTGATATCTCAGGACTAGCTTGCCCTCAGCCAGAGGCCCAGGAGCTGGTAGGAAACTAGCCACCATCAACAGCTGCCTGTCTCGGGCATTCTGTAGGACCCACTGTAGGACTTTTGCTCACCCATTTCAGCATTTGGTTCCTTATATTCATCCTCTCCTAAGTCTTGGCGCTTACAGACTCTCACACCCTATAACCATTTCAGGTGCTCCTTGCACTGATGACCCCTTTAGCTACGGCTTCTGTGACTTACTGACCAGTTTATCTGCTCAATTAAGCTCCCAACTACACTCCTACCCCATTCCACAAAGTTGGATCAGATGCATTCCGGTTTGGGCTCCACAGAGCTGATTCAGGCCAGTGCTAGTTTCTAGTCTCTCTGTTAGAGAGTGCAGGATGATCGGAGGTGGAGCTTGTCACACCGAGAAGAGAAGCAAGTGAACTGTAAGACAGGCAAATCAATGAAATTGGCATTTTTCTTTATTAATGGGCCCAATTTGTCCTGGGTTAATGGCTATTTACAAAGTTTCAAGATGCCTAGCCCTTTGAGTTTTACGGCATCTTGACCATACTTTCTTGATATAGTGTGTGTGCGTGCGTGCGTGCGTGCGTGTGTGTGTGTGTGTTGCTATCTCATAGCATCTGTTTATTTCCATGTCCGCAGCAAAGTGCTGGGCACACAGAAGGACAACGTGATGAAGCGCCATCACATGGCTGGTAGCCTGTGGTGAGTCACCGGACTTCTCGACTCCCACCTCACTAGGGTGGAAGGAACAGTAACCACAACGCTCTGCAACTCGGGCTGCGCCCGCATGATTGGAAACAATCTGTGAAGTGAGTCACATCAGTTGCAAAAACAATTAAGTCAGTGGGAAAAGAAAATCAGTAAAACTGGTTATTTGGCTTGATGAAAAGAAAGCAGTCCATTGTTTGGTTACATTTTTCACTTCCCAGCTGGTCACTGTGACACTAACTGAGGCTGGGCTTGCCTACACAAATGCTTTCAACAGTTTTGACCGAGACTATGTCTACACAGCTCTAAAACCATCTGGCAAGTTACTCAGTGGAGTCAAATAATCCATCAACTATTTGCCTCAATAATAATTTTAGCCTCATGACCATTTTATGGAGACCCAATAGAAAACTACCATAGACATTTTCAAGAAAGACAAGACTTGGAGGGCACAATCCCACTCCTATTACATTCTGTGTCTGGGAACTCAGTGACTTCAGGCAGTTCTAGGTAATATCTGCTAGTGGGAGTGGGAGGCAGACAGGGGTTAGGTGGAGTTCAGAGCTGTGAAATGCAGAGATGATTCCCCCAAGTCATGCTGACTGAACGCTTTGCTTTCATCCTAGATTGTGGAGTGAACAACCCCGAAGAAATAGACTTCTAATTCTAGCCTTTTGGAGATTATTAACCCAACTCCCAGATTCTACAGATGAGAAAAGGGAGGCCCAGGGAGGTGGAGAAACATGTGTAGGATCACAGAGGTGAAAAATGAGTGTTTGCTTGGCTAAGTTCAACTGTACCTACTTGTCTCCAGAGACTGCTCAGGAACTAGAACACCCTGATACAACACAGGCACTTGTGATGGAGATATTCCATCAAAAGTGGAATAGGGCATGAAGGAGAATTATCTCCTAAAAGCTGGGAAGTTTCTCCTAATCCTTTTTAGGGTGTCTTCCCTGTATCCCAAATGCTCTTCAACTGCCCAGGGCTCACGTCAGTCTCCAAAGAACAGTGTCCCAAGTAGAGGGGAATGTGTATGATGCCACGTTGGCTGAAGTGTGCTCTAATTGCACAGATATTCCCATAAATGCTATTTTATTAAGCTGAGCTACACTAAATCTGTCATATCCATAAGTAACACCACAGCGAATCTGTAGGTAAGTTCAGAACACTGCAGTGAGCCATGCTGGGCTATTAGTTTCAATTCAACGCTGTTACCTGTAAGTTACAGCATCTCGGGGGCACAACTTAGGCACCGAGTTTATAAGATTTGGTTCCTTACAGATGCCTTCAGCTCTCCAAAACAACAGAAATGATCAAAGATGGAGGCAAGAAGACCAGAGAACCCTAAATGTTTACTGTCTCCAGTGTGTTTGGAAACAGCTTGGACCAGTGTAGAGTGCTGGAACAGAGAGTCAAGAGCATCAGGTTCGATTCCCACCCTTACAAACTGCTCAGCCTATGGAAATTACTTTATGTTTCAGGCCTCACTCTTGCCATCTTTAAAATGGCGACACATGTACACACCCCTCCACAGTAAATACAGAGGTCCTGCAAGCCAGGATGTTAAGTACTTAGGATGAAAATGATGACGATTAAGTCTATTCTATCACTTGATCTGATTCTCTCTGACTAGTCTGCAGGGGGTAATAACATGGCCTGCAGATGATCCATAATCCACCATCTTCTGGTGAAAAGAGAGGAAAGGGGGTTAATGTGTGCATGTACATATATATATACACACACACACACACACATATATATACACACACACACAATTGTATACACATTAACATTAATGTGTATATAATGTATATACATTTTATATACGTATCAGTGTTAATATATAAAATGTATATATACATTTTATGTATATAATGTATATACCTAACATATACATATACATCTATATATAATTTATATATATTATATATATACACACACATTAACCCCCTTTCCTCTTTTGCCACCAGAAGATGGTGGATTTTATATATATATGTGTGTGTGTGTGTATGTATACATTATATATATGCATTATACAATATATAATGTCTCTATGTACATATAATGTGTGTATATATATGTATTATATATAATGTGTGTGTCTGCCCCCAAAGAAATTTAAAATAAGTTGATATCTAAACACATTGTTGATGAACAAGGGCGACTAATTATCTACTTGCGGTAGAGAAGTCAGACTATTGCAAATGTCTTAGCACTTCATAGTATATTAGGAAATTTCTAGAGCGAGCTGGCAATGTTTAAATCAGATTCAGTCCCACATATTGCACTCCAAAATTGAACACGGGCTACCATGTCTGGGACAAAGCTGAGAGCATTCAGAGGAGGCTGCCTCTGAAGGGACAAAATTGGAATGCATTTGCTTTAACACACAGGCTTTAATTAGTTGTTACTCATTAGAGGAAATTACATTTCATAGCTTCTAAGAAATAAGGCAAACTTTTTCAAAATTTGATTCCATATCCAGGAGAATCTCTCTCCACAGCTTTTTCATTGAATCATTGTAAAGTCTTCTCTTGCTTTTGTTTGTTTATTAACTTGAGAGGAAAACTGAGTTTGGAAAAGGATGTTGGAGGGACGCAAGTCACAAGAAAGGTTTTCTAGACCCAGGGAAAATATGCTTGAAGAAAAATGTCTCCAACTGGGGTCAGCAGACATTAAATTACAGACATGTGCATGATTTGTCCAGATCGGTTAGAGCATGTTTCTTTGCAGCAATAAAAAACAAGAGACATTAACAAGCCAATTATGTTACATGGAATTAAGTAGCATTCAAACGATGAAAGAGAAAATTAAGGAGCTAACCTTCCACTGCCCAGGCAGTTTGCACGGTCAGTAAAAATGCAAGGCTTCATTTCCACCATCCATGCCTTCAATAGGAGAAGTAACTCTGGTGGCCCATGACCATCATATGCCCTTGGTCAGCTGTCCTGTCAGGACCTACCTGATGGCCTTGGGTGACTTAAATGGCCAGCTAAATGCAATATGTTTTGACTGTGAATCTTGCCTCTCATGGCGGTTCCCTGTCACCTCCCTGATGCAGGCAATGCCATATATCACTGCTTTTCTGCAGGCGCGCCACCCAGATAGCATCTGAAAGATTGTAAACAGGATGATTCACAAACTGGTGGCAGCAGCTAAAAGCAGTGCAGTTCGCGACCCTCAGCACACGCCAAGATTCTAAATGGGATGTTGCGACAACAAAGCAGCCTGAAGATTCTAAAACATAATGGTGTCACCAGGACATTCACAGGGTGCTGTAACCTGTAACTGACAAGCATACTCATCATCATTTCTCCTTGGGCATGCTGCATCCTTGCGCTCCACTGGGCCTCCTGTTGCATTGCTATTTATTTGCATCTACAAGCAGGGGAGCAAGTATGCTGCGGAAATAGCCCCAGAGAGGTGTCTGATTCCCATAGGCCCTTGCAGCCAGCTACAACTGAATGATTTCCGATATCAGTTACTGAAAATTCTGACCATGATATGCAGACCATGGCAGATCTTAATGACAATAACATCATCTCACATTTTGATGGCGTTTAACAGTTTACAAAGTGCTTTCACATACATTATCACATTTAATCCCAGTGAGGTCGATAGTCTTCTTCTCCATTTTATTGGCAGCTTGGTGTAGTGGAAAGAGCTGTGGAATCAGACAGACTTAAGTTCAGATTCTGCCTCTGACTACCAAACCATGGACAATTTGCTTCATTTCTCTCCCTTTTCTTACCTATAGGATGAGGAATCATTTCTATTTCCGAGGTTTGTGGTGAAAATTAAATAACATATGTAAAGACATACAATATAGGGCCCGATGCATAGAAGTACTCGATAACCATTAGTTTCTGTCCACTTACAGAGGAAGAAAATGAAGCTTAAGAGGTTAAGGGAGTTGCTCAAAGTAATAGCTAGTAAATGGCAGAACTGAGACTTCATTTATTTTACAAATATTATTGAACACCTACTATATGCTGGTGCCTTGGGCATAGGAAAGTGGATGAGTCATAATTCTAGTTTTTGAGATGTTCACAGTAGAGCGGTGGAATCTGAAATGCAAATAATCAATTATAATCGAGCGTAATCTGAGAGGCAAAAAGTACTTAGGGAATATCCTAAAGCCATGGGTGCACCCTAGAGTATCTACACAAGAGATAAGTCTGAGGAAGAGGAACCTTCCAGGAGGCAGCAGTAGAGTTACACCTGAAATAAAATGTTGGCAGGTGGATGAGGGTGAGCAAGGAGAGGAGCATTCAGGCGAAGACAACAGTGTGTGCATTCATCAGGAGGGTCAAAGGAGCCTGGCATGTCCACTGCAGCACAGAAGAGAACCTGAGCAGACAGGAGAGAGAAGGGAGAGGAGGAGGCAAGGAAGCAGGAGTGAGAAGAATGAAGGGGCTTGCAGGTAATGCTGAGAAGCGTGCATCTTTGTCAGTCCACACTGGCACAAACTCTGTGATGATTTACAGAGAGAGCCAACCTGGTCAGATTTGCATTTTTGAAATTGTGGCAGCAATGTGAAAGATTGACTAGAGGAGGGGATAATGGAGGCAGTAGTTCAATGAGAGATAATTAGGCTATGAACTAAGAAAGTGGCAGAGCAGACAATTTCAAGCGGTATAGCAGAGGCAGAATTGACAGGATGTGGCCATTAACTGGATGTCAAGACAGGAGAGACAGAGAGAACTCTAGGAGGACTCCCAGGCTATGAGCTTTGGTGGCTGGGCGAACGAAGATGTCCCCCACTGACGTAGAAGGAGAGGACATTTGAAGAGATGATAATAAATTCATGTGGACATGTTGACTCTGAGAGACTCATGGATATCAAGAAGGAGGTGTTCAGTAGACAGCTAAAAATATGAGTCTGGAGTTTGGGAGAGGACTCACAATTAGATGCATTGATCTAGGGATCAATGGTTTTTAGACAATGGTTGAAGCTGTTTTTTTATGCCAAGAGGATAGAGCAAGAAGAAAAGTGGGTCCTGGAGAACTCTAGGGAATATCAATGTTTAGGTGCTAGAATGAGGATTGTTGGAGAGATGGAACTACCAGGAGAAAGGGAGAGCTCAGAGGCCAGGGAAGGCAAGCATTTTTTGATGATGAAAGTAGAGGAAAGTATCAAATTCCACCAAAGGATCAAAGAAGATGAGAACTGAGATATGCCTGGCATTTGGGCAATGATAAGATCACTTTGGCAACTTCAGTTTTAGACAAAGTGGTTAAAAAAGAGGCTTTTTTTTTTCTATGACCCAATATAAGAAAAATATTTTAGGCCAGACATGATGGCTCACACCTGTAATCCCAACACTTTGGGAGGCCTAGGCAGGTGGATCACCTGAGGTCAGGAGTTTGATACCAGCCTGGCCAATGTGGTGAAACCCCGTTTCTACTAATAATACAAAATTTAGCCAGGCATGGTGGCATGTGCCTGTAGTCCCAGCTACCCAGGAGCCTGAGGGAGGAGAATCGCTTGAACCTGGGAGGCAGAGGCTGCAGTGAACTGAGATTGCACCACTGCACTCCAGCCTAGGCAATAGAGTGAGACTCCATGAAAGAAAGAAAGAGAGAGAGAGAGAGAAAAGAAAAGAAAGGAAAGAAAAGAAAGGAGGGAGGGAAGGAGGGAGGGGAAAGAAGGAAGGAAGGAAGGAAGGAAGGAAGGAAGGAAGGAAGGAAGGAAGGAAGGAAGGAAAGAAAGAAAAATATATTTTACATTGTGACCTGAGAAAAACTTTCAAGAAACAATACTTACACTCTGACATGTCATGACGTGTCACACGCCACCTGTTCTGTTCTATTCTATTCTATTCTATTCTATTCTATTCTATTCTATTCTATTCTATTCTATTGCATTCTATTGCATTCTGTTCCATTCCATCCCATTCTATTCAAATGCTGCTTGGCCCTCACTAAATTGATTTTATGACCAACTAGTGAGTTTCAACCTGCAGTTTGAAAAAACAGTAGTTTAGACAAATACAGTTTTCTCACACAAAAATTATATGGAGCAAAGTGTGGGATAGAAGAAAGAACATTGGATTTTGAGTGAAGACACCTGATTTTCAGCATGACTCATTTACTTACTGACTGTGTGACCTTAGATGTGCCCATTAACCTTTGTGTGTCTCTTCTATTACCTGTAAAATTCAGATAATAGATCAGCTGCAAAGGGATCTTCTGGGGATCAAATGAGATAAAATGCATGAATGCAAAAAGCATAAGCCTAAAATAGTCCTGGTCAAAGTAAAATTACCATAATCAAAGAAAGAGCAGAATGGTGCATGGTGTATCCCAGTTGGCTCTGGGTCTGTCATCTGAATCCTAGAGCCACATCTCTCCAGAACATACTGAGAACCAGAAATGGGATCAAAATAATTTAACCAATCAAAACAGGTGTTGCTGCTATATTTATAAAATTCACAAAATTTACTGACACAGAAGCCCGTGTGAAATCCCATCAGAATCATTGTAGTCTTGTTCTAATACTATTGTAGCCATGTTGATTTTCTGATCTATATCTATGGACCTGTATCAGAAGGACATTCAATAAAATCCTATTGGAAGAGGAGCTGATAGAGGCAAGTATTTTCGCTACAGTGTGACATGACAGCAAACAGACTGCAGGGAAACAGCAAGATGAAATCATTTAATATAGGCAATATGTAAACTTCAGCAGACCCTGGTGATATCACTGTATTAAGGTATAATACAATAACTGATTTTTATGGTTCATTCAACAAACTACTGTGTTTGAGTACTCAATATATGTACTAATCTAGGTGCAAGGAAGACACAGATAAACTGGGGATGTTTCCTAACCCTAAAAAGTGAGCACACAGATGAGTGAGACAGACACATACACAGATAATTTCCACTAACATGGTACAGTGAAGAAAAATATGCATCTGAGCATGATATGATATTAATATGTCATGAGAGAAAAGAAGAAGAGCAGCTAGCCCAAAGTGGAAGTGGAATTCAGGTAATGCTTCTTGAAGGTCATTTGCCCAAGATGAGTCTTGATGAAGATAAAGAAAGATGGGGAAACAATTCAGAATGATGGAATAGCCTGAGAAAGGCATGAAAGTATGAAACCTTGCATAGTGTAGATAATATTTCTAGATCATAAAAAAGACAAGTACAGGCTATACTTAAGAGGTAGGTATGGTCCTCAATACTGAGAGTCTTCTATACCAGGTTAAGATGTGTAGAGGACATCACATTGACCAGAGGAAGCCACTAATAGGGATTGATTACTCTGGAAGCCTTATGGAGGAGGAATTTAAAAATGGATTAGGCACGTAAGTTAGGGAACAATTGCAGTGGTTCAGGAGAGACATATTGAGGGTATGAAGGAGAGAAGCAGTAATATGGATGAAGAAGAGGGGTTATATTTGAAAAATATTTTTGATACTATATTTAGATGTGAAGGCTGAGGCCAGGTAATAAATGCTCCACTTCAGGGACAAAAACATGACCTAGACTCCCCAATAGTATTCACTTTCTTGAGTTCATGATTGAGTCTAGAGAAATTAATACATCTCTACAAGGCATTATAGTATGAGGTAGAAGATGCTAAGTGTTGAAAGAAAGGCACAGACATATGGTTATGGGAGTTAGAGGAAAGAGGCATAAATTCCAACTGAGAGTTTTAGGGAAGTCTTCCTGGAAGAAGAGGCATGCAAGGCAGATCTTGAAAGATGGTTAAGATTTTGCCATGAGTTGATGAGAAGAAAGTGCATTTCTGATAAAGGAATAATCTGAGAAGACATAGGATGAAAGATGGTGTCATTTTGAGCTAAAAACACAGGCTCTGGAGTCACACAAAGTTGGGACCAAACTTTGGCTCTGTCACATTCTAATCACAAAATTGGGGATAATTTAATTGACACTTCAGAGCCTCGGCTCCTCATTTGTACGACAGTTATGACTATCATTTATCTTATGGGATTATTGTGAGGATTTTTTCCTATTAAACTTGATTTATTGATTACAATGAAATTGACTTACCTCCGAGTTTTATACTTTCATGTGTTTTTGTATCACTAATTTTTTATTCAGCTTGGAGCATTCTCTTTAGCATTTCTTGTAAGACAGGTCTAATGGTGATGAACTCCCACAGCTTTTGTTTGTCTGAAAAAGTCCTTATCTCTCCTTCATTTCTGAATGACTACCTTGCCAGATATAGTATTCTTTGTTGGCTGTTGTTGTTGTTGTTTACCTTTAGTACTTTTTTTTCCTTCTCCTCTTTTAGGGAATTTATTTTAAACCTATTATACTACACAATATGTTTTAAACACTGACATATAACTTCCTAATAAGATAGAGCTAAGATAGAGCAAAGACAAAAAAAGTTTATCTTATTGGAAACAAGATACAGCATCATTTATAGTCATTGTCAAACATTACTGCACTTTAACTTTCATAATTTGACAAAGCATTCATGAAACAATCTGCAGACTAGTTTTAAAAGACAAATACCTGTAGACAGACATGACTGTCCTAAGTTGTTTATTATGTAGGAATTTTATGAACTTTACTTATATTAGTGGTAACGGTAGAGCTGGAAAGTATTGTGCCTTCTCCAAGTTGCCCAGCGAGAACCACCAAGAGTGTGGTGGAATTTATGGCCCTTTCCAAGGCCATGGCTCTTTCAGCCTGCAGATGTCAACCCATGCATCTCCCTGTGCTTGCGAACTGGTTTGGTGATTCACTGGGTGTCAGGATTTCTTCTGATAGCTTTATGGAATGGATCAATTAGGATAACCTCCAAAAATTTGTACGTGGAATCTTCACCAACCCAGTTAGAATTCAAGACTCTTAAAGCTCCACAGTGGTGTCCAGCTTACTCCTCTGCAGTGGACTGAAGGCTTCAAGCAAACCCTAGCTGGTTAACATCATGGTCGACAGGCTTGCCATAAGTTGCACCCTTAGGAACTGGGCATTTTTGGCCACCATGGCGCATACAAATCCTATATATAATGTAACTTTGCTTGGCCTTGTAGCCCAGTTGGCATGCTTTATCAGGCCAGGTGGGGTGGGGATTCCTGTGCAGAGCAGAGAGCCAGCAGTACTGCCAACAGCCGACCTTCAGAAGAAAGTGCAAGACATCAGACTGCCTCTTCCATAGCTCCTGGATGTATTTGTATGCACCCATCTTGGTTTACCTGATGGCACCAGACAGAAAGTCTCCTTTAGTACTTTGAATATATCATCTCACTTTCTCCTGGTCTGCAGTTTCTGCTCAGAAATTCACAGATAGTCTTATGAGCGTTCTCTTGTATGTAATTTTTGTTTTCCTCTTGCTTCTTTCAAAATTCTCTTTTGTTTTTGACTTTTGGGAGTTTGGTTATGTGACTTGGTGAAAATCTATTTACATATTTATTTATTTATTTATTTGCTGCCTGGTCAGTAAGTTTATTGTATTTATCTGAAAAATCCTCATAGAAAATTACTTGACTTAGCTCTCAGCAGCCCACTCCTGGGCTCTGAGGAAGCCTGCCTTGTTTTGAGGTCCCTGATTTTTCTTCTGGGCAAGAGACATTTTGGGATGGTTCCACCTCTTCTTTTTAGCCTATTTATTGGGCTTCTTCTCATAAACTGGGTTCTTTTACATAGCAGCAAGAGCTTTCTTATACAACTCCTCCATCAGGTCTGGGGTTATGTTGTTCTTTATGTATTGAGAGAACTGTTTCTTATAAGCAGCTTTGTCATCTTTCATTAGGTAACACATGTAATCTGCAGCATTCTAACCAGTGATATTCTTCTGATGTATGTCAGCATTAAATTCCTTGCTTTCAGAATCATAACCAGGGAATCATTTGGTACTGTGAGGGATAGACAAGCCTCACATGAATACTCATCATGCATATATTTGTTCACATGATGGTGTCCTAAAATTTCTGTAGGCTATCTTTACTCTTTTTCTTTTTCTTTTCCATTTTGTTCCTCTGGGCAATTTCAAATGACTTGTCTTTGAGCTCACTGATTCTTTCTTCTGTTTGATCAAATCTGTGGTTGAAGCTCTCTATAAAATTTTTCAGATCGGTCATTGGATTCTGCAGCTCCAGAATTTGTCTTTGATCCTTTTTCATGGTTTGTACCCTTCGTTGAACCTCTCATTTAGTTTGTATATTGTTTTCCTGATTTTGTTTCTGAATTCTCTTATAGCTCATGGGGCTTCTTTAAGACTCTTATTTTGAATTCTTTGTCAGGAAGTCTATAAATCTCCATTCTTTAGAGTCAGTTACTGGTGCTTTATTTTGTTTCTTTGGTGGTGTCATGTTTACCCAATTGTTCATGATATTTGTGGCTATGCAGTGGTGTTTGCACATTTGAGAATGTAGGCACTTATTCCAGTCTTTAGAAACTGATGTCATCAGGAAAAGACCTTCACAAGTCAGCTCATCCAGAGATTCTAGGCAAGCCATCTGACACGATTTGTAGGTGAGCTTGCTGCTAGAGGCTTAGGCAGGCTGGTCTGATGCCTGAGTGAGCAGATGGGCAGGTCTGGTGCCTGAATCCATGGCGACGAGCCTGGAACTTAGATCCACCAGGGCAGCCCTAGAGTTTGGGTCTGCTTGGGGGTGGGCCTGGAGCCTGGGTCATTGGCCTGAAGCCTGGGTCCATAAGGGTGGGCCTAACACCTGTATCCACAGGAGCCAATTTGAAGCTTAGGTCCACAGGAGCTGATGTGATGCTGGGGCAGGCTTTGAACCTGAGTCTGCCACGGCCGACCAGGAGCTGGGATGGACCTGAACCCTGAGCCCGTGGGGATAAGTCTGAAGCCCGAATCTGTGAGTGCCAACCTGATCCTGGGACACAGTGGGCTTGAGTCAATAGGGGCCAGCCTGGACCTGAGGAGGTCCTGGAAGCCAGGCCTGTGGGCCCTGACCTGGAGTATTGGTCTGTGGGGGCTGACCTGGGTGCTGGGGATGTAAACCTTGGGCCACTAGGGTCAGCCTGACAGTGGGGCAGACCTGAAGTTTGAGGCAGGTCTGGAGCCTGAGTCTTTGGGGGCTGGCCCAGCACTGGGGTAAACCTGAAGGCTGAGTCTATGAGAGCTGGTCCACAGCCTGGGGCTGCTGGGGCTGGCCTGGCATAAAAGTAGGCCTAGAGGCTTGGTCTGTGGTGCTGGCCTGTAATCTAGAGCCACGGAAACCTGTTTCATGCTTGGTTTGACTGGGGTGAGCCCAGTATTGGGATCTGAGCCAAAGTCATGTGCTTGCTTCACTCTCCTTCCCCAAGCAGAGAGCATCTCTCTGTGCTGCCTGAAGTTGGAGATGGAGTTGATGCAGGTAATGTGAAACTATCCTTCCTGCCCTCTCAAGTGTGTCTTTTAAAAATCTCTGTGCTGCACCCAGGTGCTGCAATCTCTCACCTGCTTTCCTTCGCTCTGTGAAGGTATCATGCATGTATAGCTATTCAAACTAGACCAGTTTCTAAAGACTGTTTCTGTGAGAGGATGAGCACCAGAAAGTCCTATTCCACCATCTTGCTGATGTCACTCCTGTTGCAAGTATTTAATGAAGTAATGTATATAACTGTGTTTGGCTCAAAGTAAGCAATCAATACCTGTTAGCTGTTATTCAATTATGATGATGAAGTAACAGGGAGGGGAGATTAGGTCAGGAATTGTCATGGAAGGGAGAATGCATATAATGCAGAACCAAATAGAGAGAGTGAAGGTGGACCAGAGAGTCTCTCAAGGCTTAGGGCTAGGGTAAGAAACTTGAACTTTATGGAGTTGGTGATAGGAAGCCGCTGAGGACTTATGCATGGGATTGAGGAGTTGAGCTGTGTTGACTAAGATTAATCAGCAGCCATATTAAAGATGCTTTAGAGTAATGAGGGACTAAAAGCATGAAGACTATTTATAAAATTATCATAAGACTTCTTCCTTTGCCCATTGGCTGATGAAAAAAAATAAAGAAAAAATTATCATAAGACCTCAGATGAGAGGCAATGAAGGTCTGAATTGGTGTAGGGTTAGTAAGAAGGGAGCGGAAATCTTAAACATGTGGGAAGTTGTTACAGTGAAATAAGGGGAGCTATCAAAGATACCTAAGTTTGCAATTATGATTACTAGAATGAGAATTCATAAATATTAACAATATAGTAGCACATATTAAGAAGACTAGAGGAGAAGTGGGTCAAGAAAGGAGTTACAGGAGTCAGGAAATAGAGCAAAATGGTGGTTTCAGAGACTGTCAATTGTCCCAATATTCATTCCCTTCTATGTTGTATAGTTGGCCACCCAGCTAGAGACTTTATTTTTCAGGCTCCCTTGTAACTGGGTATTGCTATGTGATTAAGTTTTCATCAATGAGATGTGAACAGAGTGATGTGTACCACTTCTAGGTTGTTTCCTTAAAAAAAAAAAAGGAGGGGGGAGGCTACTTGTTTTTCATTCTTCTTTCCAGTTCCTGAAGGTCTGTACAGGAAAGTGGCATGCAGGATTCAGATTCCACCACGCAGGCAAAGGCAACATCCAAAGCAGTGGTATTGGGATAGCATGGACCCTAGCAGAGCTATTCCCACTCCCATAGCCCTCAGACCTCTACCAGCTCAGATTTTCACACAAGAGAGAAATAAACCTTGTGTATTGTTGAGACCATGTTATTTCGGCTTACGTTAAAGCAGCTGTAACAGTACGCTAACTAATAGAGAGATGATGCATTTATGGCATAGCAGAATGTGGAGGTGGCCAGGAGAGAGTTTGGATAGAGGCACTATAGCCATAGAGATAGGCTGAGGTGGAGATGTCCATCTAAGAGTCATCTGGATGATAATGATGATTTAAACCATCTAATGAATGAGATTGCTAAGGGAAACACTGGTGAGAAAGGAGAAGGATTGCTAAGGCAAACATTGGTGCGAGAGGACCACAGAGAACCCAGACAGTGCATATGGTAGGTGGAGGGAGGAAGAAAAGGAACAGAGATCGAGATGGAAACAGAGATAGATATGGATAGGCAGTAAGTTACGAAGGAAGACAAGAAAGCAGAGGAGACTAATGAATGGCAGGGGCAGTAGGGGGAGTTTTTTTCCATGAGAAAGATTGGCCAACAATGTCAAATTCTGCAGAGAGATCACAGAGGATCAGAACTGAGAAAAGGTCACAGAGTTTGGGGAATTTGAGTTTACTTATGGCAGGCGGTGATCTAGAACAAGTCAAATTATGTTCAAAATAATCTGCTTTAAAAGACAGGACATTTTATAGTAAAATTTACAGATCAATCTAAAATTAATTTTTTAAAAGTAGAGGGCAAATAATATATGTGTCTATCTTCCCCTCATGCAGTAGAGCTCAATCCTGCCTTCCTTTCTACTCCCCACCCAATATAAGTTGGAGTTAGTGACTGGCTTCCACAGGAAAGAACACAGAAAGGGCAAAAAAACAGTGACTTTACAGTTTAGAAACTTGATAAACACTATCTACTTCAACCAAGTGATGAAGGTCAACAGCAGCAGTGGTAAGTCACATGGATATAATGCACCCCCTGATATGATGTGATGAGAAGGGCAATTCAGCCCGGTGGTAGGCTTTCTCCAAGCCCATAACCCCAGTTTAAACAGGAGAAAAACATCAGACATACTCAAATTGAAGGACATTCCACAACATAACTGACCAGTATCCTTCAAAACTGCCAAGGTCATGAAAAACAAGGAAAGACAGAGAACCTGTCACAGACCAGCGACTAAGGAGACATGATGACTAGGTGCCACGGGGCACCCTAGATGGGATCCTTAAACAGAAAAAAAAATGATCAATAATGGAAAAACTGATGCAATTCAAATAAAATCTGGAGTTGACAGTATTGTGCCAATGTTAATTTTTAGTTTTGACAAATATTTCATGGGTATGTAAGATGTTAACAAAGAGCAAACTGGATGAAAGATATACTCTCTCTACTTACTATCTTTGTAACTTTTATGGAAATCTAAAATGATTGCAAGATGGAAAGTGTATTTTTTAAAAAGTATAAGGCAAGGGCAGAGCTTTGTGATAGTGACTTCTAGGAATAAGCAAGGTGGAAACAGAAAATATCTGGTCTCCCAGTTCCCCACCCTTCCCCTCCTCCTTCTCCCTAAGAAAAGTTTTTCCATTAGTCCATTATTATGGTACAATGGAATGTTCAATTTCACACTGCGGGTGACATTCCATGCCAACTAGAATAGTTAATGCAACTTTACATTTATGACTCTGCTTGGGTGTGAATTATTGTGTTTATGAAAATCTCCATATTAATGTCTGATTGTAAATCATTCTGCCGGCTCCTTTTATTAATAGCTCAATTCCCACTACTCACTGCTGCAAGCCATTCAAATTACCACAACTGTACAAGAAAGGGGCTGCTTCGCATTTGTTTACCATCTACATCCAACCATCCTGGGCTTTGCTCTGAAGCCCCATCCTCTGAACTGCTCAAGCCAGTTGTTTTTGACTGGGTTTCTTTGTTGGTGAGTTTGAGCAGCTTCTCTGAGAAGTAGCATTTCTTACTCTATGTCCCTACATTTTCTGCTCTTTAGAAATACTCACTGGAAAGTGGCTTTGGCATGGATTCTGAAGTCAGACAGATTTGGGTTCAAATCAATGATCTTAGTAAGTCATTTAACCTCTTTGAGCCCCAGTTTTCTCATCTACAGTGGGAATCATAACACATATGTTGTAGAGCAGTATGAAAATTAAATATGATGATGTATGTAAAGTTGTTAGTACAGTTCCTGGCACATAGAAAGTGCTCAAGGGTCCTTTTGTTATGGTAATTATACCAACAATAATGCTAACAATATTAACAGCGGATATAGTAGAAAGGATTTGAGGCTGGCAGCTGGAAGGCCTGCGTTCTGGTTCCAGTTTGTCTACATACTAGAAAGATGATCTTTGGAAAGTCGCTTCAAATCTCTGGTCTTCTCTTAGTTGTCTCATCTGTAAATGGGGAAGCAGCCTTTCTTAGAGCCTTCCAGGGCTCCAGAACGGGTAGTCCCACATGAGAGGTGTGTCCACCTTTATTCCTGCTTCCACCCCTTCCCCCAACCCCAACCCCACTGCCAGTTCTTTTTCCTTGGGTCAGACAGTGCCTCATTGGAGGTGACAGAGTCTTCCGGAAGGGGCCAGCCCGGGCTTTCTCGTGCTTCCTCATAGAATAGCTCAAATCAGACCCCATACCCCAGCCCCCTTACTGGCAGAAGGGGAAATATGAAATATCAGCAGGCAAGGAGGTTTTTTATGCTTCTGTAAATCATTAAAGTGGCCAATATTTTCCTTTGCTGCACTTCTCTCACCTCACAATATTTTTTTTCCTGCAGTGAAATCCATTCCCCCAGCCTGGAAATGTGGGCACTTTATAGAAAATCTTTAGCTTGTACCAGCACAAATGGATGGGTCTTATTTCCTGTCTGCAGTTCATGGTGTTGCAAAGGCATTGCCAAAAACTATTGACTGAGACATAAAAGCAAAAAATGGATGGAAATGAATGTGGGCACGTTCACATGTACATTTACAAACATGATCAAGTCCATACTTAAAGAAAAAGATTCCACAAAGTGACCTCCTAATTCATAGCCCATGCTCAGGACCTCTTCTTCATGGGAGAAAGAAAAGGGGGGTATTACCAGGCAATGTGATTTGATAAGCCAGGGAAGGCCTTAGACCCCTAATATTTCCCCCTGATCCTTGTGCTCTGATGTTGGATATGGCATTACTAGAGATCTATCCACTGTGTAATTTTAAACATACGAAGAGAAAAACATGTTGAACTCTCTGGGATTCTCTTTTAATGTGATACTTCCTAATAACACTTGTACTTTATGGTTTTAAAAGGACTTGATATTTTGGTATATATAATGTCACAGATGATCTTCACAGAAAATTTGTGAGTTAACTCCCATTGTATAGATGATGAAACTGAGGTCCACAGGGATGGGGTGACTTATTAAATATCACATAAGTAGGGAGTAAGACAGCTGGGCTCAAGCACAGTCTCTTGAATCTGGTCCCAACACTCTTTCCACTCTATCACATTGCCTCCTGGGAGTATCCTGAAATAGAGAGATAATTAACCTCACGAGTGAGGCTTCTTTCTGATCAGAGGGCTCCTGGTCTGTGTGGGAAAAAAAAAAAAAAAAGCAATGGAGCCCAAGCAGCAGGGAAGAGGGGGCATTGACAGAGAGGGGGGTGCACAGCCCTTTGTAGGGGTACAAATGTCGCTCACTTCATTTACACCCACCCTGTCTGCAGAGTCCAACAGAATAGTCAGGAGTCCCTGAGTTTGGGCATTCTGCTACGTCAAATCCACCTGCACCATTTATTTACTCCCTGTGTGACCTATTTGTGCCCCATTTCTTTGTCTTTGGAAATGGAATGATTATATTAATCCCACTGGGTACTGTGAAGATCACTGAGGTATAATAGATGATGCAAAGAAGTCACTTCCTCCCTCCCTTCCTCTCTCTCCCTCCCTCCCTCTCTCTCCCTCCCTCCCTGTTTCCTTCTTTCATTCCCTCCTTGCTTCCGTCCCTTCTTTCCCTCCTTTCTTTCCTCCTTCCCTTCCTCCTTCCTCTCTCCCTACTTCCTTCCTTCCCTCTTTCCTTGCTTCCTTCCTTCTTTCCCTACTTCTTTCCCTCCTTCCGTCTCTCCTTCCCTCCCTCCCTCCTTCTTTCCTTTCCTCCTTCCCTCCTTTCTTCCCTCTTTTCCTTCTATCATGCCTTTCCTCTGTTCTCTTTGCACTATTTGGTAGCTTGGAACCCAAATAACCTGAATCACCTCATTTGAGGAGCCGAAATTGTCCGATGTCCCTCCCCTCCCTGGGCAGCATGCACCAGTCTTGTCCTCTGGGAGGTGTAGTCCATGGGGCCACAGCTCTCACAGGCAGAAGCCTGTAGGCCAGGCCCATGTATGGGCATTCAGCACTGGCTACACGAATTCAAATTGAGGGACTTCCTGGACATCCTCTCATCTGCGACAGACCAAACAACCTCCCGGTGCCTCGCCTGCTGTGGGTGAGGCCTCCTTCCCGGGCTCAGGCCTGCAGGCTCTGCCCAAGCACTGCCCCCTTGCTTCCTCCATGGTAAGTAAACTCCCCAGAAGAGGAATCTTAGTGCCTGGTGCTAAAGAACCCCCAAAACAGAGGCGGGCTCGGAGCCCCTGCTTCGAGAGTCGACACAGTTCCTTCGGTGGCGGGGCCGGGCAGCTCAGGCCTGGCACCATGATACCTTGCTCAGTGCTGGGTGCCGCCTTGGCCCTTCCCCTGGCCCCGAGCTTATATTTTCCCCACCTTCTTCCTGACTTCCCACTTCCATCCCACTCTCAGCGCCACCTCCACCCCATCACATCCCCCTTCCCTGGACGGCACAGATTCTCCAGAGGTGTGGGGACAGTGGCTGTTTTATTTTTGTTCCTCCTTAGATGTTCTGTTTGTTGAGCGAATTATTTTCTTCCTGGCTCCGAGCTGGCGGCTGACACGGCTCACCCGCGCTAATTAGCTAAGCCAGCTGGTGCGTTGGTAAGGTTTTTCTGTGCTCCTCGGTGTGTGTTTCTTTTTTTAAACATGATCAATACCCTGTCCGGCTGGGCTCCCTCACACACTCCCTATTGTTCTCCTGTTTGCATTGTGCCTGAGTCCTGGTCAAGGACTCGGGGAGCCTCGGAAGACACGCTTTTCCCGCGGCTGGCGTTCAGCCTGGAGCCGGGGAGACACCGCGCAGCAGATGTGGCTCGACCCCCTGCTCCGCGCCTGCAGCTTGCAGTGATTTTCCGTAGCTGTGGACAGTGCCTCAGGAAGCCCACATGGATGCCAGACAGTCGGGTAAAGATGAGAAATTGCTGTGTGGCTCCGGGGCAGATTGCCTTGCCTCTCTGAGCCTCTGCTTCTTTCTTTGTAAAAGAAGTCGGTTCCCAGTTCCAGTGTGAGTCTCCTACATACTATGATTCTCAAAGGTTTCAAAGGGCATCCGGAGATGGGGGCCCTCCCCGTGAGTAGGGGTACAAGGTCACAAACAGGATCTTGTTCACTCCTGCTGCAGTCCTGGAGTTAAACAATATAGACCTTTGCCAAGTGAGCTCCGGAAGAGGCCACAACCAGACAGGGGTGGGCTGAAGGCCCGACCCCCCTCCTCCAGCTGGTGCTGTCCTCCCCACAGTTCCCTGGAGTCTGCCTGCTTATTTTGTGCAAGAGACACAAGAAGATTCTCTGAAGCTCTCCCTTCCCCACTGTCGTTCAGCTGTAGTGATTGGGAGCCCACAATGTGCACTGCGGAGAAGATAGCTCCAACATGTTTTTAATATGTATGTATATATTTTGTATATATAGAGTTGACCATTGAACAATACGGAGGTTGGGGCACCAACTCCATATGCCATCAAAAATCCACATATAACTTTTAACTCTCACGGAACTTAACTACGAAAAGCCTATTCTTGATTGAATGCCTTCCCAATAACATAGTCAGTTAGCACATATTTTGTGTGTGTATTATATACTGTATTCTTACAATAAAGTAAGCTAAAGAAAGAATGCTATTAAGAAAATCATAATGAAGAGAAAATGTATTTACTATTCATTAAGTGGAAGTGGATCATCATAAAGGTCTTCATCTTCAATGTCTTCATGTTGAGTAGGCTGAGGAGGAGGAGGAAGAGGAGGCGTTTGTCTTGC